>NC_000007.14:91900718-92203748 GCF_000001405.40 Homo sapiens
GCCACAGCACCCGGCCTAATTATTTTTGAAGCAAACATTATCAAAGAAAGAAATTAGCCAGACATCTAATTAAATTTCCTTTACACTTTGCAAAAAGATTCTCACATAAGATTACAATGATTAACTTTCTATAAAAATAACTGCAGGTAATGAGTACTTTATATACATTAACTCACTTAAGTCTTATAATAACCCTGAAAATTAGAAATTATTATCTTTTCTTTACAAATGAGAAAATTGCAGGTTAGAAGAATTAAATAACTTGTCTACAGTTATACAGTTAGTAGAGGCAGAGCTGGACTTGCAACTAGATCTACTCCAAATACTATGATCACTTATTCGTGAGTGAAAGCAAAGATATTTCGTAGATATTCATCTCCAGAGAAAAGAAAAAAGCCAGAAGAAATTATTTAAGGCTGGGCGCGGTGGCTCATGCCTGTAATCCCAGCACTTTGGGAGGCCGAGGCGGGTGGATCACCTGAGGTCAGGAGTTCAAGATCAGCCTGACCAACATGGAGAAACCCTGTCTCTACTAAAAATACAAAATTAGCCGGGCATGGTGGCGCATGCCTGTAGTCCCAGCTACTCAGGAGACTGAGACAGAAGAATCGATGGAACCGGGAGGCAGAGGTTGTGGTGAGCCGAGATTGCGCCATTGCACTCCAGCCTGGGCAACAAGAGCGAAACTCCGTCTCAAAAAAAATAAAACAAACAAACAAACAAAAAAGAAATTGATTTGAATTATGATGGGGAGCATTGAAGTTAGCTTATAGAGAGTGCTATGTTATCAATGAGGATGAGATGTGGAAAGGAAGCACTCAGGGAGATACAAAGGTACTGGTAATGCTCCCGTTATTAAATTGGGTGGTGGTTTCACTGGTGCTCATTATGTCACCATACTTTATCCCTTATGTATGGGTTACAGTCTCAGTGCATATTAAAATATTATGTAACAAAAATATTTTAAAAAATTTGTCAGAGAAATGAGTTATTGAGGAATGTTGTGAAGTCTTTGTCTAAGTATCTTAAAAAATAAAAACCAATATTCTTTTCCTCTGAGTACCGCATAATCCATGAGAGGGTTGGATGCTACCATGGCACACACAGAACTCCTGACTGTACACTTAACTGTCATTACTGTTTCTTTGCTATTTCTGTGTTAGAACTCAAATGACTCCACTGGGTATTAGAGAAAATCTGCCCTTACAATAGGATTAGAACAAAAATCTCAAGAGGATCAGTGCTTCCAGGAAGGTCATTTTGATTCAAGTGGACAACTTGAATTTGGATTATAGCCTTTGAGTAATTCCTATTACGCCAACAGCTACCTTTCCTTGATATTAAGGTACTAGACTGAATTTTTAGAATGGCAAGCCATTGCGACATCACGTTAAAGTGCAAACATGGGCCGGGCACGGTGGCTCACGCCTGTAATCCCAGCACTTTGGGAGGCCGAGGCGGGCGGATCACGAGGTCAGGAGATCGAGACCATCCTGGCTAACACGGTGAAACTCTGTCTCTCCTAAACAAAATACAAAAAATTAGCCGGGCATGGTGGCAAGCGCCTTTAGTCCCAGCTACTCGGGAGGCTGAGGCAGGAGAATGGCGTGAACCTGGCAGGCGGAGCTTGCAGTGAACCTAGATTGCGCCACTGCACTCCAGCCTGGGTGACAGAGCGAGATTCCGTCTCAAAAAATAAAAATAAAGCGCAAACATGTCCATGTTCTCAAAAATAGTAGTTTCTCTCTTTTAGCTGATGTGTTCTCTCAAAGTGACCCCAATAAGAACTGATTAATTCATGATTTTTTTTTTTTTTTAGTTCTATCCTGTTCTCACAGATATCTGATAGGCCAATTGATCTTATTCATTTATTTTTATTGTAAAAGCAGTCATGGCTATGGTCATAAAAAGTCCACCCCGAATCCCACTTTTCAGAGGTAACCATTGTCTCTTACCATCCTTGTTTAGTTCCTTTATTATTTCCATAACTCTAAGTGACATTTCTCTAATATTATTATTATTTGAGACAGGGTCTTGCTCTGTCACCCAGTCTGGAGTGCAGTGGCATGATCTCAGCTCACTGCAAACTCCACCTCCCAGGTTCAAGCGATTCTCCTGCCTCAGACTCCTGAGTAGCTGGGATGACAGGCATGCACCACCATAGCCAGCTAATTTTTGTATTTTTAGTAGAGATGGGGTTTCACCATGTTGGCCAGGCTGGTCTCGAACTCCTGGCCTCAAGTGATTCCCCCACCTCAGCCTCCCAAAGTGCTGGGATTACAGCTGTGAGCCACCACACCCAGCCTATTTCTTGATTTTAGATTAACTTTTACATTTTAAGTTTTATGTTTATCAAAATTCATTTATATAACTTAAGAAGTCATATAGTACTATTAAATTGATAATGGACAGGAACCTGTGAGTGTCCTATTCCTCTCAATCTTTCATGCCCAGCCTCCAGATTTAACTTCTTTCAACTCTTTTATCTCTTTCTTTAGCTATTTACACTTATATTTCTAGCTAATATGCATATAGTGCTCTTTTAATTATTCCATGTTAGATATTTATTTCTCAATTTCTTATGATGAAAAATTTCTTTTTTTATTTTAAGACATTTATTTCAATATATCTAAGACTTCATTGCATTAGAATATCAAATTGGCTCCTTTTCTCCTTTATAACAGCTACAGTTTGTTCAGCTGCAAATAGAGCAAAAAAAGATGATCAACAAGTATTACAACAAAAATACTAGATTTTTGCTGTAATTCCTGTCTATAGACAGACTTTTCTATAATACTATCTGGGAAACTATCTCAATACACAGCCAAGTAATTTAAAATTTCTTTCAAGCCAAATTGCTACTAGGTCACTATGCTCAGTTACTAAGACAGTAGCTACATAGTCATTCTACCTACTCCATCTTTGTTCTTCATTTGATCTCAGTCTTTTTTTTTTTTTAACTCATTTTTTTTATTATACTTTAAGTTTTAGGGTACATGTGCACATTGTGCAGGTTAGTTACATATGTATACATGTGCCACGCTGGTGCGCTGCACCCACTAACTCGTCATCTAGCATTAGGTATATCTCCCAATGCTATCCCTCCCCCCTCCCCCCACCCCACCACAGTCCCCAGAGTGTGATATTCCCCTTCCTGTGTCCATGTGATCTCATTGTTCAATTCCCACCTATGAGTGAGAATATGCGGTGTTTGGTTTTTTGTTCTTGCGATAGTTTACTGAGAATGATGATTTCCAATTTCATCCATGTCCCTACAAAGGACATGAACTCATCATTTTTTATGGCTGCATAGTATTCCATGGTGTATATGTGCCACATTTTCTTAATCCAGTCTATCATTGTTGGACATTTGGGTTGGTTCCAAGTCTTTGCTATTGTGAATAATGTGGCAATAAACATACGTGTGCATGTGTCTTTATAGCAGCATGATTTATAGTCCTTTGGGTATATACCCAGTAATGGGATGGCTGGGTCAAATGGTATTTCTAGTTCTAGATCCCTGAGGAATCGCCACACTGACTTCCACAATGGTTGAACTAGTTTACAGTCCCACCAACAGTGTAAAAGTGTTCCTGTTTCTCCACATCCTCTCCAGCACCTGTTGTTTCCTGACTTTTTAATGATTGCCATTCTAACTGGTGTGAGATAGTATCTCATTGTGGTTTTGATTTGCATTTCTCTGATGGCCAGTGATGATGAGCATTTTTTCATGTGTTTTTTGGCTGCATAAATGTCTTCTTTTGAGAAGTGTCTGTTCATGTCCTTCGCCCACTTTTTCATGGGGTTGATTGTTTTTTTCTTGTAAATTTGTTTGAGTTCATTGTAGATTCTGGATATTAGCCCTTTGTCAGATGAGTAGGTTGCAAAAATTTTCTCCCATTTTGTAGGTTGCCTGTTCACTCTGATGGTAGTTTCTTTTGCTGTGCAGAAGCTCTTTCGTTTAATTAGATCCCATTTGTCAATTTTGGCTTTTGTTGCCATTGCTTTTGGTGTTTTAGACATGAAGTCCTTGCCCATGCCTATGTCCTGAATGGTAATGCCTAGGTTTTCTTCTAGGGTTTTTATGGTTTTAGGTCTAACGTTTAAGTCTTTAATCCATCTTGAATTGATTTTTGTATAAGGTGTAAGGAAGGGACCCAGTTTCAGCTTTCTACATATGGCTAGCCAGTTTTCCCAGCACCATTTATTAAATAGGGAATCCTTTCCCCATTGCTTGTTTTTGTCAGGTTTGTCAAAGATCAGATAGTTGTAGATATGCAGCGTTATTTCTGAGGGCTCTGTTCTGTTCCATTGATCTATATCTCTGTTTTGGTACCAGTACCATGCTGTTTTGGTTACTGTAGCCTTGTAGTATAGTTTGAAGTCAGGTAGTGTGATGGCTCCAGCTTTGTTCTTTTGGCTTAGGATTGCCTTGGCAATGCGGGCTCTTTTTTGGTTCCATATGAACTTTAAAGTAGTTTTTTCCAATGCTGTGAAGAAAGTCATTGGTAGCTTTATGGGGATAGCACTGAATCTGTAAATTACCTTGGGCAGTGTGGCCATTTTCACAATATTGATTCTTCCTACCCATGAGCATGGAATGTTCTTCCATTTGTTTGTATCCTCTTTTATTTCCTTGAGCAGTGGTTTGTAGTTCTCCTTGAAGAGGTCCTTCACATCCCTTGTAAGCTGGATTCCTAGGTATTTTATTCTCTTTGAAGCAATTGTGAATGGGAGTTCACTCATGATTTGGCTCTCTGTTTGTCTGTTGTTGGTGTATAAGAACGCTTGTGATTTTTGTACATTGATTTTGTATTCTGAGACTTTGCTGAAGTTGCTTATCAGCTTAAGGAGATTTTGGGCTGAGACAATGGGGTTTTCTAGATATACAATCATGTCGTCTGCAAACAGGGACAATTTGACTTCCTCTTTTCCTAATTGAATACCCTTTATTTCCTTCTCCTGCCTGATTGCCCTGGCCAGAACTTCCAACACTATATTGAATAGGAGTGGTAAGAGAAGGCATTCCTGTCTTGTGCCAGTTTTCAAAGGGAATGCTTCCAGTTTTTGCCCATTCAGTATGATATTGGCTGTGGGTTTGTCATAGATAGCTCTTATTATTTTGAAATACGTCCCATCAATACCTAATTTATTGAGAGTTTTTAGCATGAAGGGTTGTTGAATTTTGTCAAAGGCTTTTTCTGCATCTATTGAGATAATCATGTGGTTTTTGTCTTTGGCTCTGTTTATATGCTGGATTACATTTATTGATTTGCATATATTGAACCAGCCTTGCATCCCAGGGATGAAGCCCACTTGATCATGGTGGATAAGCTTTTTGATGTGCTGCTGGATTCGGTTTGCCAGTATTTTATTGAGGATTTTTGCATCAATGTTCATCAAGGATATTGGTCTAAAATTCTCTTTTTTGGTTGTGTCTCTGCCTGGCTTTGGTATCAGAATGATGCTGGCCTCATAAAATGAGTTAGGGAGGATTCCCTCTTTTTCTGTTGATTGGAATAGTTTCAGAAGGAATGGTACCAGCTCCTCCTTGTACCTCTGGTAGAATTCGGCTGTGAATCCATCTGGTCCTGGACTCTTTTTGGTTGGTAAACTATTGATTATTGCCACAATTTCAGCTCCTGTTATTGGTCTATTCAGAGATTCAACTTCTTCCTGGTTTAGTCTTGGGAGAGTGTATGTGTCGAGGAATTTATCCATTTCTTCTAGATTTTCTAGTTTATTTGCGTAGAGGTGTTTGTAGTATTCTCTTATGGTAGTTTGTATTTCTGTGGGATCAGTGGTGATATCCCCTTTATCATTTTTTATTGTGTCTATTTGATTCTTCTCTCTTTTTTTCTTTATTAGTCTTGCTAGTGGTCTATCAATTTTGTTGATCCTTTCAAAAAACCAGCTCCTGGATTCATTAATTTTTTGAAGGCTTTTTTGTGTCTCTATTTCCTTCAGTTCTGCTCTGATTTTAGTTATTTCTTGCCTTCTGCTAGCTTTTGAATGTGTTTGCTCTTGCTTTTCTAGTTCTTTTAATTGTGATGTTAGGGTGTCAATTTTGGATCTTTCCTGCTTTCTCTTGTGGGCATTTAGTGCTATAAATTTCCCTCTACACACTGCTTTGAATGCGTCCCAGAGATTCTGGTATGTTGTGTCTTTGTTCTCGTTGTTTTCAAAGAACATCTTTATTTCTGCCTTCATTTCGTTATGTACCCAGTAGTCATTCAGGAGCAGGTTGTTCTGTTTCCATGTAGTTGAGCAGTTTTGAGTGAGATTCTTAATCCTGAGTTCTAGTTTGATTGCACTGTGGTCTGAGAGATAGTTTGTTATAATCTCTGTTCTTTTACATTTGCTGAGGAGAGCTTTACTTCCAAGTATGTGGTCAATTTTGGAATAGGTGTGGTGTGGTGCTGAAAAAAATGTATGTTCTGTTGATTTGGGGTGGAGAGTTCTGTAGATGTCTATTAGGTCCGCTTGGTGCAGAGCTGAGTTCAATTCCTGGGTATCCTTGTTGACTTTCTGTCTCGTTGATCTGTCTAATGTTGACAGTGGAGTGTTAAAGTCTCCCATTATTAATGTGTGGGAGTCTAAGTCTCTTTGTAGGTCACTCAGGACTTGCTTTATGAATCTGGGTGCTCCTGTATTGGGTGCATATATATTTAGGATAGTTAGCTCTTCTTGTTGAATTCATCCCTTTACCATTATGTAATGGCCTTCTTTGTCTCTTTTGATCTTTGTTGGTTTAAATTCTGTTTTATCCAAGACTAGTATTGCAACCCCTGCCTTTTTTTGTTTTCCATTTGCTTGGTAGATCTTCCTCCATCCTTTTATTTTGAGCCTATGTGTGTCTCTGCCCGTGAGATGTGTTTCCTGAATACAGCACACTGATGGGTCTTGACTCTTTATCCAGTTTGCTAGTCTGTGTCTTTTAATTGGAGCATTTAGTCCATTTACATTTAAAGTTAATATTGTTATGTATGAATTTGATCCTGTCATTATGATGTTAGCTGGTGGTTTTGCTTGTTAGTTGATGCAGTTTCTTCCTAGTCTCGATGGTCTTTACATTTTGGCATGATTTTGCAGCGGCTGGTACCGGTTGTTCCTTTCCATGTTTAGTGCTTCCTTCAGGAGCTCTTTTAGGGCAGGCCTGGTGGTGACAAAATCTCTCAGCATTTGCTTGTCTGTAAAGTATTTTATTTCTCCTTCACTTATGAAGCTTAGTTTGGCTGGATATGAAATTCTGGGTTGAAAATTCTTTTCTTTAAGAATGTTGAATATTGGCCCCCACTCTCTTCTGGCTTGTAGGGTTTCTGCCAAGAGATCCGCTGTTAGTCTGATGGGCTTCCCTTTGTGGGTAACCCGACCTTTCTCTCTGGCTGCCCTTAACATTTTTTCCTTCATTTCAACTTTGGTGAATCTGACAATTATGTGTCTTGGAGTTGCTCTTCTCGAGGAGTATCTTTGTGGCATTCTCTGTATTTCCTGAATCTGATCGTTGGCCTGCCTTGCTAGATTGGGGAAGTTCTCCTGGATAATATCCTGCAGAGTGTTTTCCAACTTGGTTCCATTCTCCCCATCACTTTCAGGTACACCAATCAGACGTAGATTTGGTCTTTTCACATAGTCCCATATTTCTTGGAGGCTTTGCTCATTTCTTTTTATTCTTTTTTCTCTAAACTTCCCTTCTCGCTTCATTTCATTCATTTCATCTTCCACCACTAATACCCTTTCTTCCAGTTGATCGCATCGGCTCCTGAGGCTTCTGCATTCTTCACGTGGTTCTCGAGCCTTGGTTTTCAGCTCCATGAGCTCCTTTAAGCACTTGTCTCTATTGGTTATTCTAGTTATACATTCTTCTAAATTTTTTTCAAAGTTTTCAACTTCTTTGCCTTTGGTTTGAATGTCCTCCCGTAGCTCAGAGTAATTTGATCGTCTGAAGCCTTCTTCTCTCAGCTCGTCAAAGTCATTCTCCATCCAGCTTTGTTCCGTTGCTGGTGAGGAACTGCGTTCCTTTGGAGGAGGAGAGGCGCTCTGCGTTTTAGAGTTTCCAGTTTTTCTGTTCTGTTTTTTTCCCATCTTTTTGGTTTTATCTACTTTTGGTCTTTGATGATGGTGATGTACAGATGGGTTTTTGGTGTGGATGTCCTTTCTGTTTGTTAGTTTTCCTTCTAACAGATAGGACCCTCAGCTGCAGGTCTGTTGGAATACCCTGCCATGTGAGGTGTCAGTGTGCCCCTGCTGGGGGGTGCCTCCCAGTTAGGCTGCTCAGGGGTCAGGGGTCAGGGACCCACTTGAGGAGGCAGTCTGCCCGTTCTCAGATCTCCAGCTGTGTGCTGGGAGAACCACTGCTCTCTTCAAAGCTGTCAGACAGGGACATTTAAGTCTGCAGAGGTTACTGCTGTCTTTTTGTTTGTCTGTGCCCTGCCCCCATTGGTGGAGCCTACAGAGGCAGGCAGGCCTCCTTGAGCTGTGGTGGGCTCCACCCAGTTCGAGCTTCCCGGCTGCTTTGTTTACCTAAGCAAGCCTGGGCAATGGCGGGCGCCCCTCCCCCAGCCTCGCTGCCGCCTTGCAGTTTGATCTCAGACTGCTGTGCTAGCAATCAGCCAGACTCCGTGGGCGTAGGACCCTCCGAGCCATGTGCGGGATATAATCTCGTGGTGCGCGGTTTTTTAAGCCGGTCGGAAAAGCACAATATTCGGGTGGGAGTGACCCGATTTTCCAGGTGCGTCCATCACCCCTTTCTTTGACTCGGAAAGGGAACTCCCTGACCCCTTGCGCTTCCCAAGTGAGGCAATGCCTCGCCCTGCTTCAGCTCACGCACGGTGCACGCACCCACTGACCTGCGCCCACTGTCTGGCAATCCCTAGTGAGATGAACCTGGTACCTCAGATGGAAATGCAGAAATCACCCGTCTTCTGCGTCGCTCACGCTGGGAGCTGTATACCGGAGCTGTTCCTATTCAGCCATCTTGGCTCCTCCGATGAAAAATTTCGATTGGCTCCTGTACATCATTTCCTCACATTCTTATCTAACCCAACCTTACAATTTTTGGTCAACTCAGTATTCATTTTACATATGCAAATATTGTTCATAACTAAGCCACAAAGTGTTATTTATGTATTTATTTATTTTAGAGACAGGGTCTTGCTCTGTTGCCCAACCTGGAATGCAGTGATATGATCCATAGCTCACTGCAGCCTCAAACCCATGGGATCAAGGGATCCTCCCACTCAGCCTCCTGCATAGCTAAGAGTACAGGTGCACAACACCAAGCCCTGCTAATTTTTTTTTTTTTTTTTTTGATAAAGACAGGATCTCACTCTGTTGCCCAGGCTGGCCTCAAACTCCTGGCCTCAAGCGATCCTCCTGCCTTGTCCTCTCAGAGTGTTGGGATTATAGGTGTGAGCTACCATGCCAGACCCATCTATTACCACCTTTTTCACAAAATCTCCAATAGGACTATAGAAGTCCTCTCATTAAGAGCAAATATATCAGGGGAGCTCTCAGTTCTGGTTCTGTTTTTTTTCCCCCCTTGGTGACATCTTTTTTGGAGTCCAGATCCTCCTGCTCCTGTCTGGACTGGTTGCTCTCTAGACCTTCTGCATAGCAACAGCCTAAAGTTTTCCCTAATTATCATCTTGGGTTTTCCCTTTGTCTTTCCTCTATGTTGAAATCCGTGTTTCCTGGAACCTATGTCTTCCTATTTCTTGGTTTTTCTTCCTCATTTTAGTGGATATATATCATCTGATAGCTTCCTAAGTTCATGAGAACAATACTTTTGAAATCTTGCAAATCTGAAAGTGTCTTCAATTTACCTTCA
Organism: Homo sapiens; assembly: GCF_000001405.40. Lineage (NCBI taxonomy): Eukaryota > Metazoa > Chordata > Mammalia > Primates > Hominidae > Homo > Homo sapiens. The sequence goes on from NC_000007.14 coordinate 91,910,548, forward strand.
TGCCCTATTAAGTTTGACTGGATATATAATCCAGGGATGGTGCAAATCATTTTTCCTTATATTTTTAAGGCCTTGATCTTCTGTCTTTCACCTTCCAATGTTGAGAAGCATGGTGCCATTCTGATCCCTGAATCTGTTTTTTTTTTCTCTATAGGAGCTTTTATAAAATATTCATTTATTTACAAATATTTATTGAACAGCCATTACTGTGCCAGGGTCTGTTTTAGATGCTGGGGATTACAGCATTGAAAAAAGAAAGCCACACCTACATTCCTACCTTTGTGGAGCTTACATTCTAGTGGGGGAGGCATAATAAATAAGATAAATAAGTAGAACATATAGTATATTAGGTAGTGATAAATACTCAAGAAGAAAAGGAGAATATGTAGTGTCAGGGGTAGAAATTTGGATAAGGGCCTTATTTAAAAGAAAACTTTTAAGTAAAGACCTGAAGGTAGTAAGGTACCAAGCCATGCTAATATCCAGGGAATTTCCTTTCTGGGCAGAGAGAACACTAAGTGCACAGGCTGTGAGACAGAAGTGTGACTGGTTTGTTTGAGGAACAAGAAGCACTTGTTTGGGAAGCCACTGTGGCTGGAGCAAAGTGAACAAGATGAAAGGTAGAAGGCAATGAGTTCAGAGCAATAAGATGGGCCGGATCATGTGAGGAAATGGGTTTATACTCTACAAGAGATGAGAGGCTATTAGAGAATTTTTAGCAGAAATGGGACTAATCTGACTTTGGCATCAAGCAAAAGAATCGCCTGAGGGAAGAGGTAAGGGTGAGGACTTAGAACGCTATTGCAGTAATTCAGGTGAGTAGCAATGGTGGCTTGCACCAGAATGATGGTAGTGGAGATGTAAGAAACGGTCAAATTCTGGACATATTCCAAAGGTAGAGCTAACAGTATTTGTTGACTTAATGCAGGTAGAAAGTGAGAGAAAGGAGTCAAGCATGAAAAAGTTTTGGCCTGCAAAAAGGAAGAAAGGAGTTGCCCTTAACTAAGGGTAACTAAGGACGGAGAAGCCTGTGAGAAGAACAGGTTGGGAGAGGTATCTGTAGCTCAGTTCTGTTCATACTAAATCTGAGATGTCAACTGGAGATATCAAATAGACAGTCTGGGAGAAGTCCAAGCTAAGATATAAATGTAAAACTTCTCAAAGTATCAATGGTATTTAAAGTCTTGTGATTGGATAAGATCACCCAGAGAGTGTGAGTAGGTACAAAAGTCCAAGGCACTCCAACATTTAGAGGTTGAAAAGATGAAAAGGAATCGGGAAAGAAAAAAAAGACAGAGAAGGAGCAGCTAGAAAATTAAGACACAAACTAAGTGTAATGTGTCCTGGAAGTCAAGTGAAGAAGTGTCTCAAGGAGGAGAGAGTGATTATCTGTGTCAAAAGCTGTTGATAAATCAAGGAAGAGGAGGCCTGAGAGATAGCCATCAATTTAACATCATGGAGGTCATCAGAGACTTTAGGTAGAGCAGTTTTGATGGCATGATGCTGATGAAAACATGATTACAGTGGGTTTAAGAGAGAATGGGGGATGGGTGGAGAGAAATTGGCAATGGCTAGAGTGTTGCTGAAAAGGGAAACAAAAATGGAGCAGAAACTGGAAATGTGGGTTTAAGAAAAGGCTGGCTTTATACACACACACAGAGAGAGAAGAAAAGAAGAGAATTGCTGGAGCAACCTCCTTGAGTAAGCAAGAGGGGATGAAATCTAATGCAGAAGTGGAGAAATTGGCCTTTGCTAGAAGAGTTCATCAAAAGTAACAGGGGAGAAGGCAGAACATAGGCCCCCGTGATGCAAGTAGAAGGATATTGTGGTGGTGGAAGTTTGTATAAGATCTCTTTTAGTTGTTTCAAAACCTTTCTTAGCAAAAGACAGCAACATTGTTAGCTTAAAGGGAGGAAGCTGGCAGAGTTGGAGTTTGATGAGAGAGGAGATGGTATAAGGTGGTCACTAGGAGCAAGAATGAACCTTGGAAATATGGCATGAGTAAAACAGCATTAGACCAGAATCTCTCATTCTAATTCTTGGGATTAGTGTCATTAATTTAAAATTATGCTAGTCAGTGTGGTTTTTCCACAGTTTTATTCAGCTGTGGCAGAGAGTAGAGACAAAGAGTGAGCTTTGAGTTGGATTTAATCCAAGTTGTGGTTTTCTCAAACAAGGACAAAGAAGGAAAAAAGGCAAGGGAGATGAAGGCACAAGATCTCTTTATACTCAGAGTTCTGTAATTTTTCAGTGATTGCCTTGGTATAGGACATTTTTCATTCATTGTGCTAGACAATCTGTGGGCTCTTTCAAAGTGGAGTTTCATTCTCTTTAGTTCTGGAAAATTCTCTTGCATTATTTCTTTCATAATTTATCCCCTCCACCTTCTCTGTTATCACTTTCTAAAACTTCTACTAGCTAGGCCTCTAATTTTCTTATTATTTCTTATCTATTTCCTTCTCTGCCTTGTTTTGTTTACTTCCTGGGTAATTTCCTAAAGGTTATCTTCCAACTCTTCTATTGAGTTTTTTTTTTTTCACTACTCTGTTTTACTTTCCAAGAGCTTGTTCTTGGTCATTGAATATTACTTTTTTATAGCCTATTGTTTTTGCCTCAAATGTGCAATCAATATCCTCTCTTTATCTCTGAAGACATACATTTTATGTACTTAAAAATGTTTTTCTTCACTCTCTGCACTGTCTCTGTTTTCTCTAAGTTTCGGTTTCAGTTTATTTTGGTGTCTTTTTTTATATTAAAAGTTTCCTTCAAATGTCTGGTGATTCTTTTTTTAAAATCTCTCTCTCTCTCTCTCTCTCTCTGTGTTTGTGTGTGTGTGTGTGTGTGTGTGTGTGTGTGTGTGTGTGTGTGTGTGTCTCACAGGGTCTTGCTCTGTCACCCAGGCTACAGTGCAATTCCATAATTATATCTCACTGCAACTTCCTCTGCCTCCTGAGCTCAAACAAGTCTCCCACCTCAGCCTCCCAAGTAGCTGGGACCACAGGTGCTTGCCACCACACCTAGCTAATTTTGTAGAGTTCAGGTTTCACCATGTTTCCCAGGCTGGTCTCAAACTACTGGGCTCAAGCTGTCTTCCTGCCTAGGTCCCCCAAAGTACTGAGATTACAGGCATAAGCCATCACGGCCAGCCTGTCTGGTGGTTCTTGATTATCTGTTTGCTTGTGTGTATATTGGCACTGTTTAATGATAAGTGGGTTCCTCTAAGAGTGATGTGCCAGGACTATTGAGTCAGAGGGCCTCCAAAAAGGACCTTCTCATCTTGTCTCAGGCTGATTCATTTCCTTGGAGAGGATTTCTGGCAACATCGCATCTGGGAGTATATGTCTAGCCTAAAAAGTTCTGGAAGCCAAGAAGGAAAACAGAGGCAGGGAGGTTTACTGACTCTTATATCAGTTTGACACCCCATCCCTAATCTCAGCTGTACCTGATGTCTCCAAGACCAGAGCCTCTCTAATTCAAAATTTCTAGATACAGTCCCAGAAGACTTATGTCTTCTGCCAAAATGACTTTGCTCTTCTGCAGACAATAGGGATTTCAAATTTATTTTTATCTACTAAATCTTTTACTGAGATCAACTTTCTATCTTCTAAAATTTTTATGATATCTCTGGCGTGATGTCATCTCCTCTCACATTCCTTTTATCCTTTAAGGTTTGTATCTTTTTAAAGGCCAAAGCTTCTATTTATGCTTTTTGGTGAAGCATATTCCATGCTCTTCCCTGACTCCATAGTAGAGAAGACAATATTTGAGATAATAAAAGTTAGAAGTCCCAAGAAAATGGCCATCTATATTAATCATAGACTGGCACTGTGGATTTGTGTCCCTCCAAAAGATGTTGGAGTCCTAATACCTAGTACCTGTGAATGTGACCTAACTTAGAAATATGGACTTTACAGACAATCAAGTTAAAATCAGGTCATTAGGGTAAGCCCTAATCCATTATGACTGTGTCCTTATAAAAAGGGGAAATTTGGACACAGAGACAGAGACAGACATGAATGGAAGACAGATTATGTGAAGACACACAGGGAGAATGCCATGTGTCAATAATAGCAGAGACTGAAGTATTGCATCTATAAGCCAAGGAATGCCAAAGACTGCCAGCAAAACATGAGAAGCTAGGAGAGAGGCATGAAACAAATTCTCATAGCCCTGAGAAGGGACCAACCCGGCTGACACCTTGATCTCACACTTCTACCCTCCTTAACTGTGAGACAATACATTTCTATTGACTAGGCCACTCGGTTTGTGGTTCTTTGTTATAGCAGCCCTAGCCAACTAATTTACTGGATGTTGGGAATGCATGAGCTCAACTCTTCCTACTCTTCTCCTTTGCCTTATTTTTCCAGCAGAGAGGATAGGAAATGAATGGCAAACAATCTGGGTGAACTACCAAGGCAAGATGGAGCTAGACTGAACAGAGGATACTGAGGTGAGATAATTATAAGGAAACAGATTTGTAGCCTCTGAAATTCATTCTGATACCTTTGAACACTGGCTGGCACCAGAGTCCTGGTAAAAATATTAGTCTGATTAGCTGGAGTGTGGAGACACATGCCTGTGGTCCCAGCTACTCAGGAGGCTGAGGTGGGAGAACCGCTTGAACCTGGGAGGCAGAGGTTGCAGTGAGCTGAGATCGCACCACTGCACAGCCTGGATGACAGAGCAAGACTCTGTCTCAAAAAAAAAAAAATTAGTCTGTTGTTCTCCTGTTCTTTCTGAATATTTTTCCTACCCACGTGTCTTTTCTGACCCTAGGCCCTCATTCAGTCGATGTCCAAAATTTATCCTTTTCAACCACAGACCTCTCCTCTCATGCTCAAAATTTCAATCTTTTTTCCATCAAATAACTCATCCCCTACTTCTTCAATAACACTACTACTTCCTTGAAGATAGCTGTTTTTATGAGTGGTGATCTGATTTAAAGTGAATGACTGATGGAATTTAAAAGAGAGATAGGTTTGGGCTTCAGGACCTTTCAGTGTTCTTTGCTGATTACCCTTCTTGTTTTTTTCTGAAGTAGTTGTGGTAAAGTGCTGTAGTGACTCAGAGCTTGGTTTGAATTCTAGCTCTGTCAGTTATTATCCATGCAATAAAATAGAAAACATTTCAACTCTCTCAGTTTCCATTTCTTTATTTGTAAGAATTATTGGCCAATAAAGTTTTTCTCACAGGGTTTTAGTGAGGATTAAATGAATAATATAAATAAAACCCCTAGACAGTGCCCTGTGCTGTACAAGCATAAAAATGAAAGCTAGCTCTCATACCTAAGCATTTATCTTACGCAGTTTGACCCAGAAGAAGGAGCGTGAAATCAGTCCTGCCCTAACAAACTATCCCCCTCCATTCATCACTGCTTTCCATGTCTTTATAAGAAAAATTCCACAGGGAGTCCGTAAAACTAAAGAAAATGACTGAGGCTCATCTCAAACAATTTAGAGGTTTATTTTGCCAATGTTGAGGATATGCCTGGGAAAAAGAGACACAAACCATAATAGGATGTGTGGCCTATATGTTTTCCAAAGAGGATTTGAGGGCTTCAGTATTTAAAGGGGGAAAAATGGGCAAGAGGGGAAAGGGGAAAGAAAATAAAAGAGGGAGGATGTGGTCAAATGCTTGTGAGGCTTTAGTTAGAACTCACTGAATCCACATGTTGCATGTGAAAAGGGGAAAGTAGATAGAAGAGTCCATTATGAATTCCTCTAGTGCTCAGTGAATCTGCATTTTTACATGAGATAATCACAAAGTAGGGGAAGCAGTCAAACATGCATTTGTCTTAGATGAACAGAGGGATAACTTCTAGCCCTGTCTTCGTCTCCTGCTTGTGAATATAAGCTGTTATTTACACTGTCAGGGTGAAATTCAACAGAACTCAGTTTTAGGGAATTGTGAGGGAGGCCTCCTGAGGAGATAGGTGACCTTCTAGTCAATGTCTTTGCAGTGGCCAGGCGCGGTGGCTCATGCCTGTAATCCCAGCACTTTGGGAGGCCAAGGCGGGCGGATCACAAGGTCAGGAAATTGAAACCATCCTGGCTAACATGGTGAAACCCCATCTCTACTAAAAAAAATACAAAAAACTAGCCAGGTGTGGTGGTGGGCGCCTGTAGTCCCAGCTACTTAGGAGGCTGAGGCAGGAGAATGGTGTGAACCCGGGAGGCAGAGCTTGCAGTGAGCCGAGATCGAACCACTGCACTCCAGCCTGGGCAACAGAGCGAGACTCTGTCTCAAAACAACAACAAAAAATGTCTTTGTAGCTATCTGTTTAGGAGCAAAAAGACAGTCTAACTTTTCTCCTTGGCATAGTGAGTTTGGGGTCCTGAGATTTAATTTTCCTTTCACATGTCATAATTTCAAGAAAGATCATGGGTGGGTCCAGGGCATTGTGGATATTCCTAAACTCCAGTTGGAATCTTTGTGAGTAGACAGCATCCTGCTTGAGCAATATTCGAGTCTTGATGAATGTAGTTCTTCATTACAATCACTTAGTGTCCTGTGTTATAGACATAGATAATATGAGACCCTTTGGGTTGTTCTGTATCTCCCCAAGATGTATCTCAGCACTGAATCTCTTGAATAAATGCGGGATATCAGTTTCATGTATTTTTCCTTACCTGTGTCTCATAAGGCAGAGAATTTGCATTTAGCTCTATGACTTGCTGAGCAACAAGTACATTAAGATTTTAAAATAAAATGAAGTTTTCTCTCAAGCCATTTTCTTTTCAATAATTCCTTTATGTATTTAATCTCCCCTTTTCTTTACGTTTTAGAACTATTCAAAAGATTCAAATGCTTCAGTATCTGTGGCCACAACTTCCTTGTTATTTTAACCCACTATCTAGCTTATTTGCTCATGGAGAAGAATCATTACTATCTTTTACACTTTGGGAATCATTGAAGAAATAGTAGTTTTTCAGTAATCAAGCAACTTACTACATTTTATGCTTTTTGTTGGTCATTACTGTCTGGTTTTGCTGCATTCTTGAATGTTTATATGATCTAAGTAATTGAGGCATGGCCACTAAACATATATCTATGTAAGATTTACGTAAGAAATTAAGAAGAATTCAATAGAGCAACAATTCTTTACTCCTATCTCTTCCCATTCCCTGACCTTCAGAAAAGGAATGGCAAACTGTAAATGCTATTTCTATTTTTTGAGAATGAAGGAAGGACCTTAGTATAATAGTGAAACTTCATGAACTGACCAAGAACTATATTCAGTTAAAATATTTTTGGGGAGTTTTCCTGAAACTTCTTTAGGCAACTGGCTGAGGAGGAGGATAAGGCTAGTCTCTATTTCTATGGCTTTACTAAATGTTTTCTCAAAGCCTCTGAATTTTTTCTTATTTGGAAGAAAAGTTATTTAATCTTTTGAAACCACTTTCTCATGGAATAGTTTTAATTAATGTTTTGACAATTACGCTATCACTGTCTTTCAAAGAGTAAAAGGATAAAATTGCAAAACTGAAAATATTCTAGTTATCTTTAGCAAGTTTCACTGTACATATTATACAACATCTTCTGAATTATCTGAGACTCTATATCTTATAAACAGATTATAACTGATCATTATTCTGAGATATTTTTTCCAGATTTATTAAGGTGTAATAGACAAATATTATTCTAATATCTTATACAAGGTTTTACCACTATTTAAATACTAAGACAAGGACAGATTATGGAATGTGTTAAGCTACAGAATTGCAGTGTAGTCCACACAAACTGTGATTATTAGCCACAATATCTTCCTTCAGTTCAAAGTAAGATTGTCTTTTAATTTTTATGAGGAAATCTAGTATGTGACTTATAGTTTATAAGAACACCCCATGAGGTCAGAAATTGTCAAGATTCTTTTCATATATTTGTTTGGAAAAAAAAAATCCCTACTTTAAACCCAATAAAATTCTCATGCATTGTCCTGTGGTGACAGGGGAAAGTAAACATGGCCATGGTAAGGGCACTAATCTTAGCTGTCTGACAGACCCAGGATCAAGGTCTGCCTCTACAAAAGTTGCTTAACCTCTCTGAAACTCAGTCTCCTCATAGCAAAATGGAAATAATACATTCCTCATAGAGTTGTTAGGATTATGTATAAAAAGTTTAGTACATGACTGATAGATACTTGGAAGGCACTCAACGAGTATTAGTTCTCACAATTATTTTTATGGTATGCAATTTGAACTTTTTCAGCATGCATAATTTCTTCTTATTTTAGCAAGTACTATTTTATTTTCTTTTAGAGACCAAATTTCCAGAAGCTATATAACATCTTGTTCTTTACTCATATCTGTCCTCTTGTTTACCTTTAGAACCAACACTTAACTTTTATAAGTGTACATTCTAGTTTATCATTGCTAATATTTAATCAATAACAAGGTAAATTTCCTTAATATGCCTATTTTCTCATGTTGATGCTTCCATGACAAACTATTTTGGGTCATTGTAGAATCCCATTGGGTGAGATGTGGGATGTAACAAATCACATAATATGAAATTATTATATCACTAGTGTCATTCAAAACTCCAAATAAAATGTATTTTTCATTTTCTTGATTAACCCAACCAGGGTAGCTAAAACAAATAGTTTATTTTTCTGACATAATGAGAAATCGAAGTGGACAATTACTGTAGTGGTTCAATGACTTAGCAAAGTTACAGTGAGTATCTCTGCATTTCTCTTGGTCTTTCTGCATAGACACAAATGAAAGTGGCAACTCCAGGAATATTGTCTAGGAAGAAAGGGGGATGGCTGAAGGGTATGTGAGCTACCACTCTTCCTTTTTTTTAAATTGTGATATAATTTCTATGTAATGAGATTAATATATCTTAAACATACCAATCAATGAATGTTGACAAATGTATATACACTAATGTGGTCATTACACAAATAAACATGTAGAACATTTTCATCACTCCTGAAATTCCCTTGTGCTACTTTACAGACAGTACCCTTACCTGTTCCAGAAGCAACTATAGTTATAATTTCTATAAGTAAAGGCTTGTTTTAACTATTTTTAAATTTCATAACAATTAAATCATACAGTATGTATACTTATCTGGATTTTTTCACTCAACATAATACTTTTGAGATTTTCATATGTGTATCAATAGCATATTAGTCTGTTTTCACACTGCTATAAAGAAATACCTGAGACTGGGTAATTTATTTAAAAAAGAGGTTTAATTGATTCACAGTTATGCATGGCTAGGGAGGCCTCAGGAAACTTACAATCATGGCCAAAGGCAAAGAATAAGCAAATACCTTCTTCACTAGATGGTAGGACAGAGAGTGCATGAAGGAGGAACTACCAAACACTTGTAAAACCATCAGATCCCAGCACTTCGGGAGGTCAAGGTGGATGGATTGCTTATGGCCAGGAGTTCGAGACCAGCCTGGCCAACATGGTGAAACCCCGTCTCTATTAAAAATACAGAAATTAGCTTGGCATGGTGGCACACACTTGTAATCCCAGCTATTCAGGAGGCTGAGGCAGGAGAGTCACTCGAAACCTGGAGGTGGAGGTTGCAGTGAGCTGAGATCGCCCCACTGTACTCCAGCCAGGACAACAGAGTAAGGCTCCATCTCAAAAAAGAAAAGAAAAGAAAAGAAAAAAACCATCAGATCTCATGAGAACTCGCTCATTATCATGAGAACAGCATGGGGGAAACCATCCCCATGATCCAGTCACCTCCCACCAGGTCCCTCCCTCAACATGTGGGGAATATGGGGATTACAATTTGAGATGAGATTTGGGTGGGGACACAGAGTCAAACCATGTCAAATAGATTGTGCCTTTTTATTGTGAGTATATTCCATTGTCTGTTCCTTTCTTATCAGGATACCAAAAGCTTTCCTAGAAACTTTCCTAGTAAATGTATTCTTGGATCTCTTGAGATGGGTCATATCTGGTCACACAGTCACTCCTTGCTGCAAAGGAGGCTAGGAAAGCATTTGTGTTTCTAGCTTCTATCATGGGAGACTACAAAGGAGAATCAGACTGGGAATGGCTTTTGAGTAGCCAAACAACATCCACCAAAATGAATTTCACAGTTTTCAATTATATGATGAAACTTAGGTTTTATTCTTTCTATTAAAAAGTGCTCATTATCTTATTTATAAACTACTATTATTATTTGATATATGCATATGTGGTCAGGCACGGTGGCTCATGCCTGTAATCCCAGCACTTTGGGAGGCCGAGGTAGACAGATCACCTGAGGTCAGAAGTTCAAAACCACCTTGGCCAACGTGGTGAAACCCCGTCTTTACTAAAAATACAAAATTAGCCTGGCATGGTGGTACATGCCTGTAATCCCAGCTACTCAGGAGGCTGAGGCAGGAGAATCACTTGAACTCAGGAAGCAAAGGTTGCAGTGAGCTGAGATTGTGCCATTGCACTCCAGCTTGGGCAACAAGAACAAAACTCCGTCTGAAAAAAAAAAAGAAAGAAATATGCATATGTATATTTCAAGGTAAATGTAAGTTTAACTTGGAAGAAACCTTCTAAAGAGTGGGTTAGAGAGAGAAAAATTAGGAAAATTTAAAAATGGGAATTATGAAGCTGTTTGCTCCACAATTTAAGAAAACAATTGTAAATACAATAAAGAAATTTAAAATAGAAGTATAAAATTATGAAATGTGGCTGGGCGCGGTGGCTTACGCCTGTAATCTCAGCACTTTGAGAGGCCGAGAGGGGCGGATCATGAGGTCAGGAGATCGAGACCATCCTGGCTAACACGGTGAAACCCTGTCTCTACTAAAAATACAAAAATTAGCTGGGTGTGGTGGTGTGCACCTGTAATCCCAGTGACCCGGGAGGCTGAGACAGGAGAATTGCCTGAACCCTGGAGGTAGAGATTGCAGTGAGCCGAGATCGTGCCACTGCACTCCAGCCTGGTGACAGAGCAAGACTCCATCTCAAAATTAATTAATCAATTAAAATAAAATAAAATTACAAAATGTGTAATTGGAATTCTAAGCCATCACATTCTATAAGACTACACTGTCCAGTATGGTAGCCATTAGCCACAAGTGTCTATTTAAGTTAAAATTAGATGAAATTAGGCCAGGCATGGTGGCTCATGCCTGTAATCCCAGCACCTTGGGAGGCCGAGGCAGGCAGATCACGAGGTCAGGAGATTGAGACCATCCTGGCTAACACAGTGAAACCCCGTCTCTAATAAAAATACAAAAAAAATTAGCTGGGCATGGTGGTGGGCTCCTGTAGTCCCAGCTACTCGGGAGGCTGAGGCAGGAGAATGCTGTGAACCCGGGAGGGAGAGCTTGCAGTGAGCCGAGATTGTGCCACTGCACTCCAGCCTGGGCGACAGCGCAAGACTCCATCTCAAAAAAAAAAAATTAGATTAAATTGCTGGGTAGAGTGGCTCAAGCCTATAATCCCAGCACTTTGGGAGGTCAAGGAAGGAGGATTGATTGAGGCCAGGAGTTTGAGACCAGCCTGGGCAACATAGCAAGACTGTCTCTACAAAAAAAAATGTTTTTTAAAAAATTAGCCGGGCATGGTGTGCACACCTGTAGTCCTAGCTACTCAGGAGGCTGAGGTGGGAGGATTGCTTAAATTCAGCAGGTTGAGGCTGCAGTGAGCTATGATTGTGTCACTGCACTCCAGCCTGGGTGACAGAGTGAGACCTTGTATCTAAAAAAAAAAAAAAAAAAAAAAAACAAAAAAAACCTAGGCTAGAGATGTGGTAGCTCATGCCTGTAATTCTAACACTTTGGGAAGCCAAAGTGGGAGGATGGCTTCAGCTTAGGAATTCAAGACCCGCCTGGGCAACACAGTGAGGCCTCATCTCTACAAAGAAATTTAAAAATTAGCCAGGCTCAGGAGTTTGAGACCAGCTGGGGCCACACAGTGAGATCTTGTTTCTACAAAAAAATTTAAAAATTGGCCAAGTTTGGTGGTGCACACCTGTAGTCTCATCTATTCAAGTGGCTGAGGTGGGAGGATTGCTTAAGCCCAGCAGGTCAAAGCTACATTGAGCCATGATCATGCCACTGTACCCCAGCCTGGGTGACAGAATGAAACTCTGTCTCAGAAAAAAAAGAAAAGGTAAATGAATTAAAAATTTAGTTCCTTCATTTGTGCTAGCCAAATTTGAAATGTTCAATAGCCACATGTGACTAGTGACTACCATATTAGTGAGTGCAGATATAGAATATTTCTTTAATCATTGTGGAAAGCTGTATATAATAACACTTGGCTAATAAAGAGAAAGAAAAGAACAAATAAAGATCATTTCCATCATTAGAATACCATCTTAATTGATTTGGGGAACTATCAAAGAATGTTGAGTAGTTTTACTACAAAAAGATTTAGTATATATTTAAGTGACTATCAAAAAGCAAAAGACGGGGAGAGAGAGAACTAAAAGACTTCATTCTTTCAGTAAATATTTACTGAGCACAGACCATGTGCCAAACTGGGATACGGCAATGAACAAAATAAAAAAAGTCACTGTTTTGGTGGAACTTCTGGTATGAGTTGAGAGAGAAACAAAATAAACAAATGATGTGATAAAAGAAAAACCAAATTAAATTTAAAGGAGTTTAACTGAGCAATGAATGATTCACGAATTGGGCAGCCCCCAGAATTATAGCAGATTCACAGAGACTCCAGCGCAGCCACATAGTGAAAGAAAATTTATAAACACAAAAAAGGGAAATAATGTACAGAAATCAGAAGTGAGGTACAGAATGGCTGGATTGGTTACAAGTTGCCATTTGCCTTATTTGAACACAGTTTGAACACTTAGCAGTGTATGAATGGTTGAAGTACAGCTGCTGGGATTAGCCAAGACTCAGCTATTGTTACAGGCACATACTCCTAAATTAGGTTTTTAACCTTGTCTACCTATTAAGCTAGGTTGCAGTTTGTCCACAAGCACTCAAATATAGAAGTACAGAGTCCTTCTCAGGCTATATTTAGTTAGCTTTAACAGATGTCAGGTAAGTTTTTTGTGGCAAGTGCCACACAAAATAATAATAATAATAATAATAATAATAATAATAATAATAATAATAACAGAGCTGGAGCTGGGTGCACTTGGAATCCCAGCTACTCTGGAAGTTGAGGAGGGAGGATCACTTGAGCCTGGGAGTTCATGGCCAACCTGGGCAACATAGTGAGACTCCGTCTCTAAATAAATAAATAAACAAATAAATAACACTGGGCAAGGAATGGGAGAGAACATGTTTATAGGGTGTGTAGGAAAGGCATTCTCTGATAAGATGATAATTACACAGAGGCCAGAAGGGATAAGGAAATGAGCCATTTGGCTATATGGAGAAAGAACATTCTAGGCAGTAGGAATAGCCAAGTGCAAAGAACCTGAAGTAGATCATATGCTTGGTTTTTTGGAGAAAAAGTAAGAAAGTCAGTGTGCCTGGGTCAGAGTAGGACTAGAGGATACAGTAAGACTAAACATTTTAAGTAAGACTAAAAATACAAAATATTAGCCAGGTGTGATGGCATGTGCCTGTAGTCTTAGCTACAGATGAGGTCAGAGACCAAATCCAGAAGGCCTTATAAGGATTTTAGGTTTTACTCTGAATGATATGGAATGCCATTGAAAGAGGTTTTGTTTTGTTTTTGAGACGAAGTCTTGCTCACTCTGTCACCCAGGCTGGACTGCAGCAGCATGATCTCGGCTCACTGCGACCTCTGCTTCTGCTTCCTGGCTTGAAGAGATTCTCCTGCCTCAGCCTCCTGAGTAGCTGGTGCCCGCCACCACACCCAGCTAATTTTTGTATTTTTAGTAGAGACGGGGTTTCGCCATGTTGGCCAGGCTAGTCTTGAACTCCTGACCTCAGATGCTCCGCCCATCTCAACCTCCTAAAGTGCTGGGATTACAGGTGTAAGCCACTGCACCTGGCCCATTAAAGGGTTTTGAGTGGAGGAATGACATGATGTGACTTACATTTTACAAGGATTAGTCTGGTTACCGTATGAAGAATATATTACAAGGAAGCAAGGGTAGAAACAAAGATATCAGTTAGGATCTTGGCAAAATTCAAGGTGAGAGATGATGGTGGCTTGGACCAGGGTAGCATTTGCAGAAGTGAAAACAACTAATAGGGTTATGGATCTATTTGAACACAATTTACTATTAGACTGACTATGGGTTATAAGAGAAACAGAAGAGACAAGGATGACTCCAAGATTATCAACCTAAGAAACTCCTAAAGTAGGACTACCATTTACTGTGATAGGAAGGACGACTGGAAGAGGAGATTTTGGAGGGAAAACCAAAGGTTGGTTTTAAACATATTTAAATGTGTGTTACTCGTTCAAGTAGAGTTGGTAACTAAGTTGATAAATAATCAGATAAACAAATTTGGAGTTCAAGGGAAAGGTCCAAGTTAGAAATATAAGTAGACAGCCTATCAGTGGAATTTTAAGCAATGGCACTATCAGGGAACCTGCCCCCGATAGTCACGTAGCTTCTTTTCTATTTTCCCTAAGTGTTGGCCGGGTTGAGAAATAAAGGGACAGAGTACAAAAGAGAGAAATTTTAAAGCTGGGCATCTGGGGGAGACATCACATGTCGGTAGGTTCCGTGATGCCCCCTGAGCCATAAAACCAGCAAGTTTTTATTAGGGATTTTCAAAAGGGGAGGCAGTGTACGAATAGGGTGTGGGTCACAGAGATCACGTGCTTTACAAGGTAATAGAATATCACAAGGCAAATGGAGGCAGGGCGAGATCACAGGACCACAGGACCGGGCGAAATTAAAATTGCTAATGAAGTTTTGGGCACCATTTTCATTGATAACATCTTATCAGGAGACAGGGTTTGAGAGCAACCGGTCTGACCAAAATTTATTAGGCGGGAATTTCCTTGTCCTAATAAGCCTGGGCGTGCTATGGGAGACTGGGGCTTATTTCATCCCTACAGTCTCGACCATAGAAGACGTCCACACGCAAGGGGGCCAGTTTAGAGGCCTACCCTCAGGGGAGCACTCTCTTACTCAGGGATGTTCCTTGCTGAGAAAAAGAATTCAGCGATATTTCTCCCATTTGCTTTTGAAAGAAGAGAAATATGGCTCTGTTCTGCCTGGCTCATCAGCGGTCAGAGTTTAGGGTTATCTCTCTTGTTCCCTGAACATTGCTGTTATCCTGTTCTTTTTTCAAGGTGCCCAGATTTCATATTGTTCAAACACACATGCTCTACAATTTGTTCAGTTAACGCAATCATCACAGGGTCCTGAGGTGACATACATCCTCCTCAGTTTACGAGATGACAGAATTAAGAGATTAAAGACAGGCATAAGAAATCACAAGGGTATTGACTGGGGAAGTGATAAGTGTCCATGAAATCTTCACAATTTATGTTTAGAGATTGCAGTAAAGACAGGCATAAGAAATTATAAAAGTATTAATTTGGGGAACTAATAAATGTCCATGAAATCTTCACAATCCACGTTCTTCTGCCATGGCTTCAGCTGGTCCCTCCGTTCGGGGTCCCTGACTTCCCGCAACAGGCACTAGATGAGATCACTCACTATCAAAGTAGTGAAAATCTGAGGACTTATCTTGGTCACTGCAACATTTAGAGGTCAGAAAAATAAGAAATAGCCAACTGTGAGCACTGAATTTGACAACATGTTGGCCATAGGTTACTCTGACAAGAATAGTTTGGGTAGAGTGGTGAAGGTGAAAGCCGGCTTCAAGTGGGTTCAAGAAACAATAAAGAAACTTGAGACAGTGAGCACAGACAACTCTTTTGGGGTGTTTTACTGCAAAAGGAATCACAAAATGGTGTGGTGGCTAAACTGCCCTGCCACATGGGGTTGAAAGTTTTTGTTTGTTTCTTTTCAGATAGGAGGTTGTCATTTTTATATGCTGATGCAATGATTGATCTATTAAAGAGGAAACCGTAGGTGAAAGAGGGAACAATTACTGAAACAGTGCCCTAGAGCAAGAAGAGGGAAAGGGAGGCAATGGAAGGGTTGGCTTTAAATAGGAGCGATAGAATCATTTATTTTTACATGCAGGAAGGAACTTGTAGAGTAAGCAAAATGTGGGTACATGTGCAGATATGTCAACTGATATGGTGGTGGGAGAATGTGAACATTTCTTCCAGTTATGTCTATTTTCTAAGTAATTAAGAATCAAGCTGGGCATGGTGGCTCATGCCTGTAATCCCAGCACTTTGGGAGGCTGAGCCAGGTGGATCACCTGAGGTCGGGAGTTCGAGACCAGCCTGACCAATATGGTGAAACCCTATCACTACTAAAAATACAAAAATTAGCCGGGCTGTGGTGGCATGTGCCTATAATCCCAGCTACTCAGGAGGCTGAGGTGGGAGAATCGCTTGAACCCAAGAGACGGAGGTTGCAGTAAGCCGAGATTGCACCACTGCACTCCAGCCTGGGAGACAGAGGAAAACTCTGTCTCAAAAAGAATCAAGATCATTACCTAAAAGCAGGAACTGTGTAGAAGGTATTGGAAGTTTATGGAGAAAAAAGATATTAATTCAGTCAACAAGATAAATTGTTAAAAGAATTGTCTATGAAAACGTAGTAAATTTAAAATAAGACTGGTTAACATAATTGAGTGCTTTGTTTTTAGCCAAGTTCAGCTGCTGGAGTGAATTTTATTCAAGGTAAGGGAGGGAGAGAGGCAAAATCAAGAGAGATAGGTTATATGCAAGGAGTGAATATAGTGATGGTCCATAAACCTAAGCTGGATAAGGCAAGAAGTAAGGATTTAATTGGGTGCAAGAAGATATTAAGGTCAACAGATTAAACATCATTATATAAAGAATTATTGGGAGTTAGGGTCCCCAAGGAAATCAGCTGAAAAATAAGAGGGGGTATTTGAGAATGGGATACTTTAAATTGAAATTAAGGGGTACAGACATTAGTAATGACAAAGTCTACAATGTAACAGTAGGTAAGGGTGGCTTAGGTAGGATGGAGGACAAAATCACTGGAAGATAGAAGGTCAAGTAACTGAAGCCAGGCGCGGTGGCACATGCCTGTAATCCCAGCACTTTAGGAAGTAGACACGGGCGGATCACTTGAGGCCAGGAGTTCAAGACCAGCCTGGCCAACATGGAGAAACTCTGTCTCTAATAAAAATACAAAAAATTAGCTGGGCATGGTGGCATGTGCCTGTAATCCCATAGTCCCATCAGCTCGGGAGGCTGAGGCATGAGAATCGCTTGAACATGGGAGGCAGAGGTTGCAGTGAGCTCAGACCGCACCACTGCACTGGGTGACAGAGTGAGACTGTCTCAAAAAAAAAAAAAAAAAAAAAAGAAAAAAAGGTCAAGTAACTGAGGGGTCAGGGTACTGGAAGGATCCTCTACATGAATGTTGAAATCACCGAGAATTATGATAGAAATTATAGTAAAATGAGTCAATGAGGGCAAGTCTAAAATTCAAGGAATGAGGGGCTGAGATCTGCAATAGAACGGTTGATGGGTAGTACCGTCTGATAGCATGAACTTCAGAAGGGATCACGGTCTGTGACACAGTAAAGGGTAAGACTCTTACCCCACCTCTAAGCCCAGTAACACTACGGCTTTGGGAGAGAAACAGCTCCCACATGAGAAGACTGCAGGGAAAGCAGTATGCTAGGGGAGAGCTGAAGGGAGAAACATCAGAAAAAAGGTTTTGAGATATCTAGGATTTTGCTAACTATAATACAATCGTGAGTTCTAAAGGGCACATTGGAAAGGTTTGGTTTGAAAGATGAAAGAGATTGGGGGAGGAAGCAAAAGACACGGGTTGTATTACAGAATGCGCGAAAGGTTCTCTTGAGTTGTTTAGTTTTGTTTAAAAAAAAAAGGACAGTAGAGAATTGAAGCCATTAGCTAGATGATTCAGTTGTTTGTTCTGCTCAAGTATTCTACATTATTATGTTAATCTGTTTAGTTTGTCTTGTGCAGATATAACTTTCATAAATTATCAAAGATGAAACAAAGGAGATTAAAGAGAAGAGATCAAAACTGTATACAGGCTCTGTTAATTCATCGTTTCCACTACTTTCTCATCTCTAGTTCCTAGGGACTGCAGTGATTGCTATAGCAATTTGGATTAAAATACATAGAATGGAAATTGTCATAAGACATTTATTGAAAATCAATTTATGTTTTTCATTATCTGAACAGGTAATGGAAAAAAGAGTAATCATGAAAAGTACAGCAATACTGATACTAAAGTGAGTTATCTGTTTCTAATTTTATGTCTTTACACCTGAGCTGTTTTTTTTTTTTTTCATGAATCCCTTGGTCAGTCTATGCAGAATTGAATTTCATTGATATACAAATCTACATTCCCTCCTGTATAAGAATGCAAAACTAATCAAATCACAAACAAGGACAAATTTTGTGAAATCATTATTTATACCAGTATAGTATAACACGTTAAAAATACATGTATACAAATAAGTTGTATATTTTATATTATAAGTTCTGGAGAGCTATTTGGTCATGAGTACATTTGTAAATAAAATGAAAATCAAATACTGGTTGGCAAAATGCTCAACCTAAGACTTTACAACCAATGAATATCATACTAAAAAATACAATATTTATATAGTATAAGGATTGGGAACTGGAAATGCTTGATGGTGACCTCTTGTAACAGTCAAAATGAATGACTTTTGAGTTATAAAGTGTATTCTGTGAACATCACCTTTATTAGTTTTTTGCTGATAAGGACACTTGCATTTTACATATCCACCTCACCTTATATGGTAAACGTAATTCCTTACCATCATCTAATACCCAGTCCATTGCATTGTCTCAAAAATGTATTTTTTCAGTTGTTTGTTACAAACAGAGTTCAGAAGATGCCTACAAACTTTATTTGATTATGTATCTATGTCTTGTTATTCTAGGACTGTCCACTTTTCCCCCTCCATTAGAGAAAACAGTTGTACGAGATCTAGTCATGTAGAATGTCTCACATTCTAGATTTGGATGACTGTTTTCTCATGGTGTCCTTTAACTCATTCTTTCACCACTTGGATTCCATATAAACTGGTGTTTGGCTACAGAGGCTTAATTAGATTCTGGTTCTTTTTCAAGGCACGAACACTACACAGGTGGTACTACTGCACTTCCTGTTGCATCGCATTATGAGTCATGTAATGTCTGGTTATTCCACTCTGAGTGATAGTGAGTCTGATCAGTAGGGTTAGATGGTATATCCTGATCCTTTCATTAGAAAATTTTCAATCAGTCTTACAACTAATGGCTTTAACACCCATTGATAAATGTTGCCCAGATCCATTATTTCTTTGGGGTTTGCAAAACAGTTATTTTTGAATTCTATCATTTATTTTGCATTTTATCTTTCCTCAGTGTTTTTATGCTACTACATTGGTGTACAGTGGCATTAGTATTTTTAAGGGATTCTTTTTTGTTTCCATTTTGATTAATTTTGTTTTTTAATTATGTAAAACATTGCATTTATGTACATTCAGAGAAGTCTACCTTTACATCCTTTCTCATCTATCCTCTTCTCTCCCTCCCTTTATAGGTAACTGCTTTTTAAAGTGATTGGTGGCAGGGTGCGGTAGCTCATGCCTGTAAATCCCAGCACTTTGAGAGGCTGAGGCGGGCAGATTGTTTGAACCTAAGAGTTTGAAAACAGCCTAGGCAACATGGTAAAACCCCATCTCTACAAAAAATTAAAAACTTAGCCAGGCGTGGTGATGCATGCCTGTAGTCCCAGCTACATGGGAGGCTGAGATGGGAGGATTATCTGAGCCCTGGAGGTTGAGGCCGCAGTAAGCTGTGATCGCACCACTGCACTCCAGCCTGGGCAACAGAGTGAGACCCTGTCTCAAAAAGAAAAAAAGTGTTTGGTTTAGGTTTCTATTGTTTCAAATACATACGCACACGCATATAACTTCTTTTGTTTACGTGAAACTGTCACATTATAAACACAGTCCTATACCTTGCTTATATCATCTAATAATATTCTAGAGATTGGGTCATATCAGCATACAGAGATTGAGTCTATTTCACAGCTGTAAAGTACCCTATGTGTGGATCTACCAAAGATTATTCAATCAGTTCTCTATTGAAAATTTGGTTTGTTTGCAGTCATTTGTCATTATACACAATGCTGCAATGAATAGACCTGTATATACATTATTGTACATTTTTGCCAGTAAATCTGTGGGTTGGATTTCTAGAAATGGGATTACAGGATTAAAGAGTAAATACATATAATCTTGCTAGTTTCTGCAAAATCCTCCTTGACAGGAATTATGTCATTTTGCATTCTTACCAGCACATGTAAGAGTGGCTGTTTCCCCAAAACCATGCCAACACAGCATGTTGCAAACTTTTGGATTTTTGGAACCTAATTAATGTATATATAAAATGGTATCTAAGTGTAGTTTCAGTTTGCGTTTGTCTCATTATTGGGCAAGGTCCAGCAATTTTTCCTGTTAAAGTACTATTTACATTTCTTTTTCTGTGAATTGTTAATATATTTTGCCTGATTTTCAAACCTAGATTATTTAAAGATGTGCTTCCTCTATTAGGAATTATAACATTTATAATTCTCCCCAAGTTTGAATTCTATAACAAAGACTATAATTAATATCATAAAAAATAAACAATAATTTCGCATGTGTGTTGATACATATTTGGCAAATCATTACTTACAGAATAGAAGGCTTGCCTTCAGACCACCTGCATCACTGGCACTGCCATATAGGCTACTTGTTAAACATGACCTGAGAAATTTATGTTCCTAATAAACACTCCATGTAATCCACTAGCACATTAAAGTTTGGGAACCACTGTAGTAGAAGATATGAAATCAATAAATCAACCCATGTAATTCATATGTTAACATAATGTCTAAGTTTTTTTAAACTTCTATAGAATGTATAAAGATTAAAGTTAAAATCTGTCTCGTAAAGGAAAATCAGCAAACTTTACAACTCTAAATAATAATTCTACCTGTAGACTTAAAAATTTTGTATTTTAAATGATTAAAAAACAGTGCTATGTCAGAACCAGAAATACCATTTTACCCAGCAATCCCATTACTGGGTATATACCCAAAGGATTATAAATAATTCTACTATAAAGACACGTTTCCACGTATGTTTATTGCAGGACTAGTTACAATAGCAAAGACTTGGAACCAACCCAAATGCCCATCAACGATAGACTGGATGAAGAAAATGTGGCACATATACCGCATGGAATACTATGCAGCTACAAAAAAGAACGAGTTCATGTCCTTTGCAGGGACATGGATGAAGCTAGAAACTATCATCCTCAGCAAACTAACACAGGAACAGAAAGCCAAACACCACATGTTCTCACGCATAATTGGGAGCTGAACAATGAGAACACATGGACACAGGGAGGGGAACATCACACACTGGGGCCTGTGGCAGGGTGGGGGAAAGGGAAGGGAGAGCATTAGGACAAATACCTAATGCATGTGGAGCTTAAAACCTATTTGACAGGCTGATAGGTGCAGCAAGCCACCATGGCACATGTATACCTATATAACAAACCTACATGTTCAGCACATGTATCCCAGAACTTAAAGTAAAATAAAATTTTTTTTAAATGGTACTATATCGTATCCTAGTTTATTTGTCAATACAGATGTCAAATTCAATACTTTCTTTCAAACTTTTAGGTAGCTTTTAGTAAATCATTGCTGCAGAGATCCAAATGGTACTCCAGTTGTCGGACTAGAAAGATAAATTTATGATTGTTGGCTGATAACTTACTCTGCAAGACTCTTTAGCGAGGTTCTATAGATGGCTACACTCACACAGAGGAGTGTATAATCAATCCAGAATTACCTTTCATACCTTCACAATGGTGAATTCTATTACTGGTTTCTTGGATGAAGGATGGGGGGATAAAGACTGATATGAAAACATGTCAATTCTGAAGATATAGAAGAGTTTAAATATTTTATAGTGTTTCCCTATTTCAAAAAAATGGCATTACAGTTTACATGAGATCTATTTGTTAAGCTCTTTAAAGACGCAAAGAAAAGCTATATCCATATCACCTTTGGCAATGGAGGTTTTGTGCAAGGACACAGTGGGATGTAAGGTAGCCCCGGATGTTATCTTTTCAGTTATAGAGTTTCTCTAAGCACTTCCAAGATGGGAAGCAATAGTGGAGCAGGCCTTATGGAAAACTGGAATCATGCCTAAACTCTAATGACCTGAATTCTCTTAATTCACAATGCGTCTTACTTTCCAAGACAGAGAGAATGTTATTAGATCCAAAAATCACCATTCAAAATGGAGTGCCAAAATTGGCTTGAATTTTATGCCACTCTAGCTGACAGGAGGTCAGCCTCCTTCATGTCTAGTCTTTATAGTGTCCAAACATTTGTAGACCAGGATAAACAAGGCTGGCTTCACTGAAAATCAACACAAGCCATAGTACCTAGGGGCAGTTTTCCTAAGAAGCCAATGTAACAATAGTGAGTATTTGGCATTTCACAGACTGTTGACTGAAACAGAAAGACTACTTGAAATTTCTTTTCACATTTAAACTAAATATATCTTGACTCTAAAAAACAACATGGACACTTGACACAACTCATTTGGGAACTCATTTAGTTTATATTATGTGACTGCTTGGCAATATGAAAATCCTTGGAGATCTGAAATTAGTATGTATAGACTATTATTCAGTAATCAATTGCAACATCTTGGAATATAGGCTTATAATTAAATCCTTTCATAATAGTAACACCTTAAATTTCTCTAACATTTCATTAGATTATAGGTCATTTTAAAAGAATACTCGTTTCATAAATCATTATTTCAAAAGAATTATCTTTTGAAACCTAAAACACTAATGAATTTGTCCTAAGTTTTCTTTAATACATTCTGTAAGAAGGTATTTACTCCTTTTAAACTCTAAACTGGTTTCGTTTGGAGACGCAGCTGAGCAAAATGGAGCAAGACTTAAATCAGGGGGCCTAGGACTAGAACTAGCTGGGACTTTTGCTACCCATCCATGGAAAATTGGTGAGTCATTTAATCTCTCAGGCCTTAGTTTCTTATTCTATAAAATGTGGAAGATGTACTATTGTGCTTCTTCCTATTTTATTTATATACCTTTCACTTCTATTAGTAAGAATAACCATTTTTGGTTTTAGCATTTGATGTCCTTTTCCTTCCGTCTAACCCTAGTTACAAAGGGCACCAATCATATTTGCAAAATAAGCTCAATTGGACGTCCGATAAAAACTGTAACATTGTGTATGGATTTCTGGCATTGTTCAGAATGTGATTAATCAGTCATGCACGTGGAGCCCAATGAGCCCCTGTCTGACTAGAATGGGAAATTGGTGAGAGGGAGCAGCTAGAGTTAGGGCTACACAGTTAAACTAGGGCAAATGATAGAGGGCCTTGAATGGACAGATTTAGGAATTTGAAGTTCATTTTATGGGTAGCAAGAAGTAATTTTATAATAAAATAATTAAATGAAATTTGCATTTTAGAAAGCTAACCTGACAGTTATGAGGACCAGAATGCAATGGGGAAGAATGAGGCAGACATATTGCTTGGATTCTTCTGGAATTTTTGAAATATGAGATAAAGGACTAGTCTACCATGGTGGCAATGGAAAAGGAAATTTTGCAAAGGAGTCAGATGCTGGGGAAAAGAAAAGCCCACAGGGCATAGTATCTAACATGATGGATGATGTAGAAAGGAATAAAATATATGACTTGGCTGGGCATGGTGGCTCACGCCTGTAATCCCAGCACTTTGGGAGGCCAAGGCACACGGATCACTAGAGGGCAGAAGTTCAAGACCAGCCTGGCAAACATGGTGAAAACAAATCTCTACCAAAAAATGCAAAAATTAGCCAGGCGTGGTGGTGTGCACCTGTAGTCCCAGCTACTTGGGAGGCTGAGGTGGGAGAATTGCTTGAATCCAGGAGGCGGAGGTTGCAGTGAGCTGAGATGGCACCACTGAACTCCAGCCTGAGTGACAGAGTGAGACCCTGTCTCAAAATGAAAAAACAGAGATAACTCCAAGATATCAAGTTGAGGAGAGTGGAAGAAGATCATTAACTGAAATAGTTTGGAAGTGTTGCCACTGGAGGGAAGAACTTGTGCACAGTTTGAGGTGGTTTGCATGGCAAGTGAAGGTTGGAAGTGTTTGGTGGAAATACTAACTGACAATGTCTTCTAAAGAGAAGCAAAGCCATGAAGATAGACATAATGGTTAAACAACTGAGTAGATCATTACTCTACCTAGTTTAGAAAAAAAAATCATAGATGCAAGTTTCCTCTGAAAAATTTTGGTCCTGTTTATAATCAAATAACAGTTTTATTACCATAGGATCATTTATCTAGATCTTTGGTATATTAATCTAGACTTCAAAAATTGAAGGAAGTAATTAGTAAAATCCTAGGGAATGAAGACAGGTTGATTAATGAGCACAAATAAACAGTTTGGAGAAATAAGACCATATTTTGACCATATCAAAATAATGTTTGATATGTCAGTAGGGTGACTATAGTGACTATAGTTTACAATAATCTATTGTATATTTCAAAATAGCTGCAAGAGAATAATTCGAATGTTTCTAGCATAAAGAAAAGACAAATATTTAAGGGGGATATATTTAAATATTTAAGGTGGTGGATATCCCTGATTTGATTTTTACAAACTGTATGAATATTAAATCATCACATGTACCCTGAAAATATATACATCTATTAAATATTAATTTAAAAAATTTAAAAATAAATAAATACTTCTGAGGAATGAGAAAGATGAATATCTGTTTGTGAAGAGTCATTCATGAGATGTTTGAGGGAACCTGACTCAGTACAAGATAACATTTTAAAAATGGTTTGTATAACAAGATACAGCATTCACTAGTGGGTGAGGTGCCTTAAAGAACTGGGTTAAATTTTAATAGCACATGTACATTTTAGAGATTCAAGGAAAATGGTATGATTGAATTACATATTGATAATTTACTCATGTGAAAACTCCAGAAGACCACATGCTAAAGAAAAGGCAAAACCAGCATTGTAAGGGAAAAATGTGATCTTCATTTAAATGAAAATGAGGTTAATAACTCAATCATGTTATATTGCTTTTAAAATATGTGTGACACAAATAGGAATTAAGCATATATGAAACACAAGTATGCTATGGAGAGACACATAATTCAAATATTTAATGACAATCATTTGGTTACTTAAATTAGTTATTTGAGAATTTGGCAGAGATTCAGAGAATAGCAACAAAAATGATCAAATATATTTTAAAAAGACCTAGTAAGAAATGGCCAAAGAAATATTATTTAATCCACAAGAAAATAGGCTAAAGACAAACTGTAATGTCTCGCCTCCTGATTTAGGAGGTATATTTTGTCCCAGACAAAATAGGAGAGTTTTTTAAATTATTATTATTCTTGACAGAATCTAAGGAATTGCTTTAATTGCTGCTGCAGCTTTTGTGAGGTCAAGGTTTAAGTGATATGTATTGGTGACTAAAATGAAATGACTGATAGGTTGTACCTGACTAATTTGTGAAAGATCAAATAACATGGAAATGACAACACATCCTGGGAGTAGGGTGGTGGGGTGGTGGAGAAAGCTCAAAATATTTAACTACAGTATTAGAACAATCTTGTTTGCTGATTCACATAGGTATCCTACATACACTAGTTTGCTATCTTACCAATGAAGAACTAGTACCATTCAAGTGGAAAATATAAAAAGTATCTTTAGAAATCTTGAATTTAGGCCTGGCACGGTGGTTCGCACCTGTAATCTCAGCACTTTGGGAGGCCAAGAAGGGTGTATTGCTTGAGCTCAGGAGTTCAAGACCAGCCTGGGCAACGTAGGGAGATCCCATCTCTACAAAAAAATTTTAAAAATTAGCCAGGTGTGGTGGTATGCACCTATAGTACCTGCTACTCAGGAGCCTGAGGTGGGAGGATCAATTGAGCCTGGAGGGTTGAAGCTGCAGTGAGCCGTGATCGTGCTACTGCACTCCACCCTGGGCGACAGAGTGAGAACCTGTCTTAAAAAAAAAAAATCTTGTATTTAATCTCTCAGGGGAAATGAGTGTTGTGCGGTATTCTTACTATTGGAAGGCACATCAACACTAAAAGAAATGTAGCTTAATTAAATCATGAATTTTACAGATGTTATAAACAGAATCACTAGAATGTAACCCCAATAGAGGAGACCAATTAGATTTTATTTCCCTTTTCAATTCTGGTCCATTGGACATGACTGCCAGAGGCTCTTTATTGAGAAGGATACTGAAGCAGTGCTTGCACTCATTTGGAAATAATTAATGATTGATTTACAGTGCCTTCTATGGAAGCCTCCAGTGACCTTCACCTTGCTATATCCAATCCTCATTTTACGTGACCTATTAGTAGCAGTTGTCTTGGTTCATCACTCCCTCCTCCTTCACTTTCTTCGCTTGGCTACTGATTCCTTTCACATATCTAGCCACTGTTCTCAGTCTCATTTGCAGATTCTGCTCACCTTGCCTCCCTCTTAGAGTTGAAGTATTCCAAAACTCAGTCTTTGTAACACCTTTCTATCTAAACTTGCTCCTTAAAGCAGCATGGTCCAATAGAAAAATAATGTGAGCCACAAATGCAAGCCACATATGTAATTTGAAACTTTGTAGTAACTTCATTTAAAAAAAAAAGAAACTGGTGAAATTAATATATATTTTATTAAACCCAATAGGTCCCAAATATAATCATTTTAATAATATAAAAATAGTGCAATATTTTGTTATTTTATTTTAATATTAAGTCTTCCAAATCCAAAGTGTTACACTTACAGCACATCTCAATTCAGACTAGCTAATAGCTGTTGTATTGAATAGCATGGCCCTAGATTATCTCATCCAATTCCTTAACTTAAAATACCATCTACATCCTGAATACTGACTACTCTCACATTTCTATTTCTAGCTTGGACCTGTCTCCTGAATCCAGACTAACTGATGTCTTAGGGTGACATCAGTTCTTGGATGCCTAATGTGTATGTCTAAATTACCATGTCCAAAACTGAACACTTGGTCCCCAGATTTTCTCTTCTCCATTTTGGTTACTGGCAACTTCATCACTTCAGTTGCTCAAGCCAAAAATGTTGGAGTCAACCTTGACTTTTCTTTTTGTCTCAAACCTCATATCCAATATACAACTCCTATGATACTATTGGT
Organism: Homo sapiens; assembly: GCF_000001405.40. NCBI lineage: Eukaryota > Metazoa > Chordata > Mammalia > Primates > Hominidae > Homo > Homo sapiens. Next base: position 91,937,765 of record NC_000007.14, read on the forward strand.
TCTATGTTCAAAAGATATCCAGAATCTGATTCCATATCTTTTCCTCCACTACAGTACTATGGCCCAAATTCCCATTATCTGGGATTACTGAAATAACATCCAAACTGATCCCCCTTTCTCCTCATAGCAGCCAAATGTCCGTGAACAACATAAGCCAAATCATGTCATTCATCTGCTCAAAATTCTCCAATGGCTCCTAATCTTACCCAGAGTAAAAGCTGAAGTCCTTACAATGACCTTTAGAACTCTACAGGATCTGAAGCCGGGCATGGTGGATCACCTGTAACCCCAGCACTTTGGGAGGCTGAGGCGGGCGGATTGCTTGAGCTCAGGAGTTTCAGACCAGCCTGGGCAACATGGTGAAACCCTGCCTCTACAAAAAATACAAAAATAAGCTGGCTATGGCAGAGTGCGCCTGTGGCCCCAGCTACTCAGGAGGCTGACGTGGGAGGATTGCTTGAGCCCGGGAGGTTGCAGTGAGCCAAGATTGGGCCACTGCATTCAGCCTGGGTGACACAGTGAGGCTCCGTTTAAAAAAGAAAGAAAGAAAGAAAGAAAAGAACTCTACAGGATCTGGCCCCCTGTTACTTTTCTGACTTCATCTCCTACTATTTCCCTTGTTTATTCCACTCTAGCCACCCTCACCTCCTACTCTTCCTTGAGAAGGTCCATCATGGTCTCGCTTGAGGGCCTTTCTTTGGATTTGCTGTACCCTCAACTATCTCCGTGGCTCTCTACCCCCACCCACCACCTGCTTGTTTTTTGGGACAGTGTCACCTGTTGTCTAGGTCCTTACTCTAGAGTGCAGTGGCACAATCTGGGCTCACTGCTTTGGCCTCCCGGCCTCAAGTGATCCTCCCGCCTCAGGCTCTGGAGTAGCTAGGACTACAGGCTCCCGCCACCACACCCAGTATTTTATTTTTATTTATTTATTTATTTATTTTGTAGAGACAGGGTTTCGTCATGTTGCCCAGGCTGGTTTCGAACTCCTGAGCTTAAGCGATCCACCCCGCTCAGCCTCCCAAAGTGCTGGGATTACAGGCGTGCACCACCCCGCCCAGCCTCCTCATCTCTTTCAAGTCTTTGCTGAAATATCTTCTGAAAGAATCACCTGAGTAAGTGAATGACATGACATGAATTAATGATTGGTATGACAAGTTATGACAGAATAGGTGCCATAAGGAAGAGTCAGAACACTAGTGCCCAATGCTTGCTCTTCTAATAGAAGTTAACACAAATCTAACTTTCAACATTGATTGAGCACCCATTATGTAAACTAGACATGTATATGATTGGCTGCTATCAGTGAAGGAAACATTGAAATAATCTTGTTGCTTTGGAAGGTATTCTTGAACATTCTCAGCACCTACAAACAGCTGACTTATTTAGTCACCGAGAAAGCAGTATCCTTTAACAAACAGGAATAGCTTTGGATACCCTGGGGCTTCCCCCTCCTAGGCAATCAGCATCTACACTCATAATCCCTCAATCCAGGCAGTATTTAAATCACTGCACTATTAGAACACTTAGTTCTAGTCCTTACTCTTAATTTGATGGGTGACTAAGTAAATCACTTATTGCCTCAATTCTTTCATCCCTATGATAAAATGTCTAATTTTACCTGGTTCCTAATTCAGGTTGAGATAACAGGACAATATGCACTTGGCTGTTAGAAGTTGGCAGAATGTATGCATTACGGAGCTTAAGAAAAAAATCTTTTTTAAAGCTAAGATTTCTAAATGAGGGCTATTTAAAACTCATCTTCAGTTTGTGGTAGACTTAAGGTCTTTATTATCTCCTTTTTTGTTTTTTAACCTCAATTTTTCACTTAACACCACTTCTACGCTTGAACTCATTTTAGCCTATTTTTTGTTCACAACTGCTAGTTTTTCAGTCCAACCTAGCTCAAAGCAACGGAGAAACATGATAAATCTGAGTAATCAACCAGAGACATTAAAATGTGTAGTTCACTCCAGGAATGGATGTGAGCATTGGAGGGCAGGGAGACGAACACAAAGGACTGAGGGAGCACATGTCGGGGAAACAAGGAAAGATAGTAATGTTAAATTTATAAACACTGCTCAATTCAATCCAAAAAGCGTTTATTGAGTGCAGAGCTCTGTGCTGGTCATTTTAGTAAAGCCAAGATGAGCAAGACTTATGATGAGTCTCTGTCATCAAGGAGCTGGGAGTATGAGCTGAACTAAGACGCACACAAATTATTAAAATATGGTGCAGGGTACTTAAAGGAAGTCCAAGGAGAAATAAAGCTGACATTATTCAGGACGTTTTAATATGTCAGGGCAGTCACATATATTAACAACCCTTCCAAAAATTCCAGGTAGGCTCAGGGAGGATAGGTAACTTGTCATTAACGCTAGAAAGTTAGTGTAGTCTGGCATTGTCCCTAACCGAGGTTCTAAAGCTCAGGCTCCTTTCAGAACACTACTGTTAAAGGGAAGCCCCAAAGAGTCGGGGGAGGGGACTAAGTTTTGACTGGATGTGTCTCGGTTGCCGTGGAGGGAACAAGAGGTCAGAAAAGCCATTTGGAGGCAGCGTGTGCGATGGGACTATAAGGATGAACCGGAGATTGAGTGGGAACCAGTGGAGGGAAGAGGGAGGGACTTTTCAGGCTAAGGAAGTAATAAGAGCAATTAGCTGCTCTCATAATTCTTGAGTCAAGCAGTTAATGTAGGTAGAAAACCTGGCGTCCGCCCCCCCACCACCCCCCACCGGAACTTTTCCGTTGGAGCTTGTAGGTGTTCGCCAATTTCACCATTAGGTGTGTTAGTTTTGTAACCTGAAGGAAAAAAAAAACTCATGTTTTAATAGCAGTGGATTCCTCGGACGGAGGGTGGGGGTCAGGCCAGGAGCCTCTGGCACACTCCGTCTCTCCTACCCCTCAGCTCGGCCGCCACCTGTGAGCCGTTGATGTGCGGGAAGGGCGCTCTCTACGGCGGGATCCTCGCTGGTAGGAGGCAGGTCCCAGGCCTGGCAAGGGTTGACCCCGGAGGGCTGGGCCGGGGCGGCACCCCAGGAGCACCTGCCCACGAGGCGGCTGCGCGGACAGACGTTCCAGCCCCTCCCGCCTCGCCGTGTGTTTACGTGGAGACGAAGATGGCGGCGGCGGCGGCGGTGACGGCGCTTCCCGTGCGGCTGAGGACGATCCGCCAGTGAGCGCGGAGACTGCTTCCACTTCGGGCGGGGGAGCGCCGGACCGAATCGGCTCTCTAGGCCGTGGAGCTTGCCGTCCCACCTCCGTCCAAATCGACCTTTCCTTTCTATCCCCAACCACCCCTCAACCCCTGTTTTCCCCTGCCTTCCTTGCAGAGGCCATGGAGGACGAGGAGAGACAGAAGAAGCTGGAGGCCGGCAAAGCCAAGGTAGGAGAGCCCGAGGCAACCGGGCCTGCGGTGGGAGGCGGTGGCTAGCACGGGGTGGGAGGGGGCCTGGGAAGCGGAGTTCGCCGCAGCCCCAGTGCACTGCCCGAGAGGGAGGTGCTGCAGGGTCTTAGGGTCTGCATCTCTCCTCGCCCTCCTCCTTTCCCCTTTTTCCAGTTGGGGGACAAAGCCTTGTGCTAGCTGATAATACTTCCGCGAGGATTGAATATTGTGGCTCCTTTCTCGTGAATGTCCAAATAAAACTCCCCTTTTACTGTATTGCTGTAAACTAGTGTTTAGTTGCTTCTAAACCTCCGATCTTTCATTTTTTTAAGGAGTTTTCTGGGTGGTGCAGGCATTGTGCTTTCCAGGGTGGGGATTTAGGGCTTTTCTTTATTGGGTTGGGGATTTGTGCGCTGATCATCAGCTTGTCTTCCTTAGGTAGCACGCTGGCACTCTTGGGTGTGTGTGATTGGCCTGTGACAGCTGTCTCAGCAGTGGCTTGTGTGTGCCACAAGTGCCAGCTGTGAACTTGGCTTTAGGGGCGTTTTTAGAAGCGTGTCTTTGTATGTTTGTACTTGAAGGTCTTTGTCATGGCATGCGCTTTTGTGTCCTATGGAATGTTAATGCAGTCTGTGAATGGAACTTCTGAGGACCGAAAGGTTCCATATGCCAACACCTATAGAATTCCTGCTTTAAATAATTTAGTTGTTATATATCTCTCTGGCGAATCCTGGTTGTGTGTGTGTGTGTGTGTGTGTGTGTGTGAACGGTTATGGAAAAGCCTGTAAAGCAAACAATACAATACACAATTATACACAGGCATCGTTCATTGGGCTTCATGAGAAATTTAACATATACAGAATATAAGCTGCGTAGCATATTTCTTTTAAAAATTACATATTTGAGCATATATTTTGTCTGGGCTCAAAAGCCCCCTTCCTCCCTTCAATGAAGTCTTCTTTTATGGATTATATTATTTTTAGAGATAATTGTTAGCAGTCATACTTGGACAAAAATTGTATTACAGGTAACTGTTTTTCCTCTCTTCCTTTCTCTTCTCCTCACATAAACAAAGGAAACCAGGTTAGTGATTTATTATCAATGAAGGGCCATACCGCAGAGATGCAGTGATAGAAGCTCAACACAAGTTTGTTAAATGAATATATATATAAAAACTAGCTTCATATTTCTAAAATATAGTTGACTTTCCTATAAGCTCCCTCTATTTAAGATCAAGGTTTAAATGCTTGTATATAGCCAGGTAAATTTTTACTTTCGAATCTATAAATGGTGGGAAAGGGGAATCAGGGTATCTTTAGAAGTCCAAAGCCTACACTTGTGCAATCTGAGGGGCTGAGCAAGCTCTATGCATCTACGGAAGTAGTGGAGGTGAAGTGTGTGCCCCTCCAAAAGCATTGAAGATCTGATTAGATGTCTTACTTGTCTGTTACCTCACAATTTTTATTGCCTGCCCCCAGAAATGTCTTTCCTGAATATATGTGAAGCAGTCCTACAAAACATGGTTTACTTTGGACATACACATTTCATAATAGAGGATTTATTTAAATTGCTTGCAGTTGTAGTTGATGTGGCAAAATACAATTCTAGTTTCTTTGTGTGTTTCTTTATCTTTCAGAATTCTATGTATGGGGTAAAAACCTGTTTAAGGTGAATTTTTGTTGTAAAAGATTATCTTCTTTTAGAATTTAGCCCTTTTTCCAGTAAGATATAAATCTATGAGACTTGTAAGGCAAGGTGTGTTTGCTGCAACATTAGCTATACAATATAAAAATGCTGACATTGGGAGCCTGGGGCGAGAGGATTGCTTGACACCAGGAGTTCAAGACCAACCTGGGCAACATAGTGAGACTCTACAAAAAATTAAATAAAAAAAAAAAATAGCAGGGCATGGTGGTGTGCGCCTGTATGTAGTCCTAGCTACTCAGGAGTCTGAGGTGGGAGGATCACTTGAGCCCAGGAGTTCGAGGCTGCAGTGAGCTATCATCATGCTACTGCACTCCAGCCTGGGCAACAGAATGAGATCCTGTTTCAGAAAACAAACAAACAAAAAAAAACCCCTGGAAATAACTTTTAAAGACAACACGAAGGGAATCATTTTCTAAGTTATATAAATATGATGGAATATTTTAAAGCCATTAAGATTATGAAGACTGATAGGAATATGAAAAATAGTGTGAAAAGGGCATTATCAAAAATAGTATGTACATTATTTCATTTGTATAAACGTGTGCTTTCAGATTAGAACTGAAAAACTCTGGATTATAATTTTATTCAGCAAACGTATATTGAATCCCTATTTTATACCTAGAGGTGGTGACAGTGTCTGCTCTCAAGTTGCTCACTGTTTAGTGGGAGAGACAGACTCTGGGTGATAAGTACAAAGAGGGATGAGCTGCAGTAGGATTTGGGGGATATTCTTCCACGTTTTGTTAAAGTGTTTTAAATACTACTATGTCATTTTATAGAATTACTAAGAAAGCTTTACTATTGATATTAATGCACCATAATATAATGCCTTTCAAATAGTTATTCATACATATTTGCTTAATGAATGAACAGAATGATTAATGAGTCATTAATAAGTGTTACTTTCCTAGCACGGTTGTAATTTAATAACATTAATCTAGAATTCTCTTAATGTGAAATCCATATTGCTGGCATCAGAAACAACTTTAAATGATCATTTTCCAAAGTTTATCTGAGACTTCATTCTGCAAATGTCTCATTTGTTCACTGGACTTAAGTATTGTATTTGATAATCTAGTTTTGCAAACCACAACTTACAAATCTTTTTGGGGGTAATTTATTGATAAACAGTTCCATTGGAAAATTCCCTTTCTGTATCTAAACCTTATAAATGATCACTTTTTAAACAGTTTGTCATGTATGCAGTATAATATATAGTATACTGTATAAAATGTTTTATACTACCCCAAATCTGTAATAATGGGTTAATAAATTATGATATGTAAAATAATTCTACAAAGACTTTTTGAGTGTGGAAAATGCCCACAAATAATGCCAGGTTAAAAAGAAAAAAGTTACCAGGAAAAGGTATATGTACATATTTAAATATGAAGACACCTGAAAAAAAGCACCAAGATGTAAATCGTGGCTATCTCTGGGTGGTGGCTTATAGGCAATTTTAATTTTCTTTATACTTTTAGTATTTTCCAAATTCTTGATACAATGTATCTCTTTTATGACCAGAAAAGAATATTCAAATGCCATTTTTTTTTTTTTTGAGACAGCCTGTCTCCCAGGCTGGAGTGCAGTGGCAGGATCTTGGCTCACTGCAGCCTCCACCTCCCAGGTTCAAGCGATTCTCCTGCCTCAGCCTCCCAAGTAGCTGGGATTACAGGCATTTACCACCACGCCTGGCTAATTTTTGTATTTTTAGTAGAGATGGGGTTTCACCATGTTGGCCAGGCTGGTCTCGAACTCCTGCCGTTAAGTGATCTGCCTGCCTCGACCTCCCAAAGTGCTGGGATTACAGGCATGAGCCACTGCACTCAGCCTCAAATGCCATTTTTTAAAAAACATAAAGGCTTATCAAATACATTATATTAAACACATGTTATAGTGTATGACCATTATCCAGAACAGGAAAATGAGGCACAGAATAACTAGGTTTCCTATTTTAGCGTAGGCCTGGAATTGTAATTGCTATTTCAGTGCAGAGTGTATAATATAGTTGGGATTATATTGTTAGACATTTTATAGATTTCCTTTCTGTTTTTGTTGTGCTTATTCTTTCCTTGCTGTTAGTTCGTATTGCTATGGGCATGCTCTTACTCCTCATCTGCCTCTTTTCCTAATTTGCTGTTTTAGATTTGCTACGACTAAGGAACCCAGAACTGAGGTTGACAGAATACTATGTAAAAAGAAAAAACAACAACAACAAAGACCTTAGGCGGGGTGTGATGGCTCACTCCTGTAATCCCAACACTGGGAGGCTGAGGTGGGAGGATCGCTTGAGCCCAGAGGTTCTAGATCAGCCTGGGCAATGTAGTGAGACCCCATCTCTAAAAAGAAAAAAGTATAAAAAACAAAACAGGTGGGGCGCAGTGGCTCACACCTGTAATCCAAGCACTTTAGGAGGTTGAGGTGGGTGGATCATCTGAGGTCAGGAGTTTGAGACCAGCCTGGCCAACATGGCAAAACCCCGTCTCTACTAAAAAATACAAAAAAATTAGCCAGGCGTGGTGGCAGGTACTAATCCCAGCTACTGGGGAGGTGGAGGCAGGAGAATCACTTGAACCCAGGAGGTGGAGGTTGCAGTGAACCGAGGTTGTGCCACTGTACTCCAGCCTGGGTGACAGAGCAAGACTCTGTCTCAAAAAACAAAACAAAACAAAAACAGAGGCCAGTGTAGCCTGCCCAGTGGGCTTTAGGGCAGTTTAGTTTTTCTGCTGCTTGTTGGTTGTTTTGGTTTACTGTTGGGTCCTCAGCTATTTCCTCAGTATTGATGTTGCAAGAAGCATGACCCTGGGAGATGTGAGACATTACTGCATTATGTATTAAGTAAATATTTTCAGAGCTGGGCTAGCTCCCTCTGCAGTGTTTTGACGAGGATGGCACTACATAGGTTGTCCTTGTGTTGAACCAAACTATTTTAACTCCATTTTAAATGACTTCATTTTTTTCCAAGTATAATTATTCATGGCACGTAAAGGAAGTATTGTAATTTAAGTGAACAGAATTAAATAGAGGACAGTTGTATATTTAATATAAAATTATTACTCATGTAAATTTGCATTAGGTATACTTTTTAAAGTTATTCAGTATTTTATATAATGGGCATTATTTGCTGAATAATTATAAAAAACTACTGTCTATTATATTCAGTAATTTGTAATTACATGACTTTTGTTTAACAAACATTTTCAGTGTGAAGAGTAGTTCCAATTGTGTACAAAAAAAAGGATGGTGCTCCATGCAAGCTGTATATTGATTATTGATAGCAGGACTTTTCAGTTACTGTTTCCACTGTGATAGACAAAGCTGGTTATGGTGTAAAACTGTTCTTTGCATATTTCAGATACTTTGTTCCACAGCTAAGAAAGTGTTTTCCCTTCCTGTTTTAAGCATTCTAGTTTTTCATACTTAGATGTGGCAGAGCTTACTTAGCATTCCGAGTAGATGCAGCAGTTTGATAGCTTCATCAACATTTATTGCAGCAATAGTGCAGTGCCTGTGACTTAAAACTAATTCATAACCTTCAGGCTTTTTTTTTTTTTGAGACGAGATCTCGCTGTGTTGTCCAGGCTGGAGTGGCAGCCTGCCTTGACCTCCTGAGCTCAAGTGATCCTCCTGCCTCAACCTCCTGAGCACCTGGGACTACAGATGTGCACCACCACACCTGGCTAATTGTTAAAATTTTTTTGTAGAGATGGGATTTCACCATGTTGCCCAGGCTGGTCTTGAACTCCTGGGCTCAAGCAATCCTCCTGCCTTAACCTCCCAAAGTGCCGAGATTATAGGGGTGACCCACTGCACCCAGCTTAGGCTTTGTCGGAATGAAGCAAAACATGGTGTTTAGAGAGAGAATGTGGAGGAAGGAACGTGATGCCCTGTCAGTGAAACTGAAAGTTGAATGATAGCTCATGGAAAGAGGAAGTGAAAAAGGTAGGATACATCCAAGTGATTGAAATATGACAAGAATGGAACAAAAATTTTTTCAAACAAAAACATCTCTTATTTTATAAATAAAAAGGTTCATAGTAAAAGCTAAACTATGTCTACAAAATATCTATTATAGGCTACTGAATATTGAAATGTAAATGAATTTCTTCTAATATAGCTAGAAAAGGTTATGGTAAATTGCTAAACAATAAGGGACATTATTTATATTCATTTCTTAGTAAGATTCCACTAAAATTAAGATTAGTCACTTTATGTAATTGCTTAACATCCATTTAAAAACTATAATTTGGAAAAGCTACGGAATTTTTCAAAACTTATTTATAAAAGTGGTTTGGTGTCTGGGGTGTGTGTGTGTGTGTGCGTGTGTGTGTGTGTGTGTGTGCTGGAGAGAGGGAGAAAGAGAATTTATAATACTGCTATCTGGTCTGGTAGAAATGGCACTAGGACTTTGGAGACATTTATGTGTTCATTTGTTCAACCAACATTTTTGAATGCCTACGACTGCAGCTATGAACTTTTACTTAGCAAGCATTTTTTTTTCCCCCCGAGATGGAGTCTCACTCTGTCACCCAGGCTGGAGTGCAGTGGCACGATCTCGGCTCACTGCAACCTCCACCTCCTGGGTTCTAGCTATTCTCCTGCCTCAGCCTCCCGAGTAGCTGGGACTACAGGCGCCCACCACCACACCCGGCTAGGTTTTTATTTTTAGTAGAGACAGGGTTTCACCATATTGGCCAGGCTGGTCTCAAACTCCTGACCTTGTGATCCGTCCACCTTGGCCTCCCAAAGTGCTGGGATTACAGGCGTGAGCAACCGCGCCCGGCCGCAAACATTTATTTAAATGATCACAAATTCTGTGCCTTATTGTCTGTTGGAATAATCTTATGATGTGTACCTCAACAGGTGTTTTGAAGGATAAATGAAATAATGGTTGGGAGCTTTTTGAGTTCTCTAGGTGCTAGATATAAAGAAGCTATAATTTTTTTTAATTGAGGTGAAATTCATAAGCAAAATTAACCATCTTTAAGTGAACTTAACACAGTGGCTTAACACAATCTTATGCAACTACTGCTTCTGTCTACTTCCCAAACATCTTTCCATCTCAAAATATAACCCTGTGCCCATTAAGCAGATATTCTTCATTGCTTCTTCCCTCTAGCCACTAACAATCACCAACGCACTCTCTGGATTTACCAGTTGTAGATATTTAATATGAAAGGAATCATATAATATGTGACCCTTTGTGTCTGGCTTCTTTCACTTAGTATGTTTTCAAGGTTCATCCATTTTGCTGCATATATCAGTACTTCATTCCTTTTTATGGCTGAATAATATTCCATTGTATGTATATACCATAATTTGTCCAATGATAGGCATTTGGGTTGTTTCTGTCTTTTGGCTATTGTGAATAGTGCTGCTGTGAACATTTGTATGGATGTATTTGAGTACCTGTTTTCATTTCTCTTGGGTATATACCTAGTAGTAGAACTGAGCAAGGTCATATGGTAGTTATATTTCAACTTTTTGAGGAACTGCCAAACTGTTTCCATAGTGACTGTACCATTTTACCTTCCCATCAGCAATGTATAGGACATTCCAATTTTCCCATAACCTCATTAACAGTTGTGTTTTCTGTTTTTTTTGTTTGTTTGTTTTGTTTTTTTGTTTTTTTAATACTCATCCTTGTGGGTATTAAGTGGTTTCTAATTGTGGTTTTGGTTTGTATTTTCCTAATGAATAATGATATTGAGTATCATCTTTTAATGCACTTTTTGGCCACTTGTAGATTTCTTTTTTTTTTTTTTTTTTTTTTTGAGATGGAGTTTTGCTCTTGTCTCCCAGGCTTGAGTGCAATGGCGCAACCTCAGCTCACTGCAACCTCCACCTCCTGGGTTCAAGTGATTCTCCTGCCTCAGCCTCCCTAGTAGATGGGATTACAGGCATCCACCACCATGCCCGATTAATTTTTTTGTATTTTTAGCAGAGATGGGGTTTCACCATGTTGGCCAGGCTGGTCTTGAACTCCTGACCTCAGGTGATCTGCCCGCCTCAGCCTCCCCAGTAGCTGTGATTACAGGCATCCACCACCATGCCCGATTAATTTTTTTGTATTTTTAGCAGAAATGGGATTTCACCATGTTGGCCAGGCTGGTCTTGAACTCCTGACCTCAGGTGATCTGCCCACCTCGGCCTCCCAAAGTGCTGGGATTACAGGCCTGAGCCACTGCGCCTAGCCCATTTGTAGATCTTCTTTAGAGAAATGTCTATTAATATCCCTTGCCCATTTTTTAATTGGGTTGTTACCAACTTCTTTTATCTAATATTAATTATATATGTATATAAAATATATATATATCCTTTCCGTATGTGTGGAGAGAGAGAGAACGTGTGCACTCAAGCACCAGAGAGGAATGGGTAGAAATACGTATCCCCAGTGGGATTATCTTCCATATATATATATTTTTAGGCTTTTTGGGCTTTGCCAAAATTTAAATTGTTGCTTCCTTTGAGTGATAGGTTCTTGGTGAGTTGATAACAGCATGATGCTGAAGCTTGATTTCTTTGTTGGCCAGTGAGTCATTCCATTCCATGAGCAGCTGTTTTACAAGTGCATGCAGTTGGTTAAAGGGGCACCTGTTGGATTTTTGGCTTGATCATTGCCAGTCCATTTACACTGTGAGAAAAAAGTAACTTAGTGTTCAAAAATGAAAAGACCTGTCATTTTAAACATGGGGGATCTGTAGCTACTTCACTAGTATGAGATGTCTTTGTTGTCATATTGACACCCCTTTTATTTTTTGTCTTAGTCATCACCAAACTGTAACTTACAACACTTAGTGCCCTTCTAGGTACATTGCATAAAGCTTTGGTTGATTTTTGCATGGGTTTAACAGTATTCAAAAGTGTTCAATATTCAGAGTATTCAAAAATTTAACATTATTTCAGGAGTAGTTTTGCTTAGGTTCTTTGTTTAAATTTATAGATTCTTTTGTAATATGTAAAATTCCTTTTTCCTCCTTGTTCACTAACAATGTAGTGTTTGTTTTCAGTTACCATCAGAGTTAAGATTCTTATTGTGGTTTACTGTTCTCTGAGATTTTTGTGTGGTGTGAAAGTTTCTCTGTAAAAGTCTAAGAGTTTTTCCCCCTTTTAAGAAATAATTTCTTAAAGCCCCCAAGATTATTGTTTTGATGATTCAGAACTATAATCAACTTTACTATACAAAGTCCTAATCTGTAAAGATTGATTTCATAGGTTCTCTGATTTACAGATCTCTGAAAAACTAATAGGGTATAAAATCTAGGCTCTCTCTCCTATTAGTACTGAACACACTATAAAATTCCTTGTTGTTTACTAGGATTGCTCATTGTGGGCTCTGTGGTTAGGCTGTATTTATTCCTCCAGGGTCTCACTTTTTTTTTTTTTTTTTTTTGAGACAGAGTCTTGCTCTGTCACCCAGGCTGGAGTGCAGTGGCACTATCTCGGCTCAGTGCAAGCTCTGCCTCCCGGGTTCACGCCATTCTCCTGCCTCAGCCTCCCCAGCAGCTGGGACCACAGGTGCACGCTGCCAAGCCCGGCTAATTTTTCTGTATTTTTAGTAGAGACGGGGTTTCACTGTGTTAGCCAGTATGGTCTCAATCTCCTGACCTCATGATCCGCCTGCCTCGGCCTCCCAAAGTGCTGGGATTACAGGCGTGAGCCACAACGTCCAGGCTAGGGTCTCACTTTTATTCAAGTTAGTATTGCCTTATTAGTTGTTTCCCCAGAGAAGATAGTGACAGGGATCAATTATAACTAAAATAGTAGTTCTCCATATGTATCATGAATCAAATTTTGTGTGTGGAGACCTTGTGGGGATTGCAGTGGGCATGGGGCAGAGATCTCAGTTAATTCTTACGCCGTTTATATCCTCTACTCCATTTCTTGAGAGCCAAATAAATTAGTAGATCTTCTTCTAAATGGCAAGATATTAGAAAATATGTTAAAACTGCATTAGGAAATATCTACTAGGAGTTTATATATGAAATAATGAGTTTTGGCTGAAAGTTACAGAAACTCTTTTCTATTCATATACAACTTAAAAATACTGGAAATTCTTTTGGTGTGAAATTTTTTATATTTGCCAAAATAATATTTAATTTTAATTTGTATAAATTCATTTCACAATGAAAATTCATATCTGAGCATTTCTAATGACTCAACAAGAGAACTCTCACTTTTCCACTTTAAACAACCATTAGTAATTTTTATAATAAAGTTTGAGAAAAAGAAAAGATAATTTGAGGTTTTTTTTTTAGTTGAGAAGAATGCGTAATTTTTTAATAAATTCAAAGGGTGAAATAAGGTAGGCAATTTTAATAAGCCTCAGAATTTTAATTGTATGGCAGGAGAGTCTGTCTACTTTTTCTCTAGGATTTGTACTTAAATTTTTTTAATGTTCTAAGCTTTCTCTTCTTTCTTTCTCTATCTCACTCTCTTTCTCTCTATTTTCTTTTATTTCTCTTTTTTTTCTTTTCTTTCATTTTTTGAGACAGGATCTCACTCTGTTGCCCCAGCTGGAGTGTGGTGGCATGATCACGGCTCATTGCAACCTCGACCTCCTGAATTCAATTGATCCTCTCACTTCAGGCTCCCGAGTAGCTGGGGCTGCGGGGGCTCACCACCATGCCTGGCTAATTTTTAAATTTTTTGTAGAGACAGGGTTTTGCCATGTTGCCCAGGCTGGTCTTGAACTCCTGGGCTCAAGCGGTTCTCCCACCTTGGCCTCCCAGTGTGCTGGGATTATAGGTGTGAGCCACCACGCCCAGCCAATTTTCTCTTTTCTGTCTCATGTATCATCATATTTTCTAGGCTCAGTAGTTTAGTTCATACCTATTAATATATTCAGAAAGCATCTTGATTGAAAGATCCTTTGAATTATTCTGTGATTATTTTCCTTTATTCTATATACTCATAACCACATCCTACTTTTTAAATTAAAAATTTGTCTCACACGCTTGCAGTGAGCCAAGATCATGCCACTGCACTCCAGCCTGGGCAACAGAGTGAGACTCCGTCTCAAAAAATAAAAATAAAAAATAAAAATAAAAAAATTTGTCTCCCACTTAACCTTTTTCTTTCTATTCTAATATTGCAGTCCAATAAAATCAGGCCCACATCCCCTCATCTGTCTAGTTCCCTTGCCTCTATTCATCTTCTCTGGTTCATCCTATATATTGTCACTGGGTTCATCTTAAAACACCCTTTTCATTTTGTTAATCCTCTACTCCATTCTTTTCAGTCTTTCAGATCAAATCCTAGATAACTTAGTATTTACTCGAGCCTCTACTTTATGCAAGTCAGTGGGAATTCAGAGATAGTCACAAGCTTGCCTCTGATACTTTCACATTCGAGTAGAAAGTCAATCACGATACAATAAGTTAAGTATTCAGAGTGATCTACAGGGAGCTATTTATTTACTCATTCAGTAAATATGATTGAACACTTACTACTTGCTAGGCACTTTGCTAAGATGATAGGATATGAGAGACATGGACTCTGCCAAGCATAAGCATTATTTAGTTAGTAGGCAGACACATAAAGAGATAATTATAAATACACAATGGGTAATATAATTCTGGGTCCATGAAAAACACAGAAGAGGGATATCTGATTCTATCTTGGCAGTTAGGGAAGGCTTTCTGGATGGATAAACACTGAATGAAGCCTTAAAGGATGGGGAGGAACTGCCCAGGTGAGAAGGGAGTGGAAGGTGAGTAGAAGCTTCCAGAAGAATGAGACAAAATGGAAAAAGCACAGAGATGTGGAATCGTTTGACTTGTTTTGGGGAAGGTATTGTATTACCTACCTTGTTTGGTATTATTGGAGTATAAAGCTATTAGCAAGATGTGGCAAGAAATGAGACTATAGGCTAGGGCTCCATCTTGAAAATCCTTGAATCTATGTTAAGGAGATTGGATTATATCCTGTAGATTGTGGGGATCTATTAATGAGGGGTATTTTTGTGTTTTATATATTTTTTAGAGGCAGAGTCTCACTCTTTCACCCAGGCTGCAGTGCAGTGGCGTGATCATAGGTCATTGCAGCCTTGAACTCCCAGGCTCAAGCAGTCCTCCTGCCTCAGCCTCCTGACTGAGGACTACAGGCATGAGCCACCCCACCTGGCTTATTGATGAGTGTTTAAGCTGGGGAATAATATGGTTAGCTAGATTTGCATTTTAGATAGATGTATTTGACAGCTGTGTGGAGGATAGGTTGAGGAGGATAAAACCATTTACGAGGCTGTTGAAAGTACAAATGACAGACAGTGAGGCAGGAACAGAGGGGATACATCAGTAAATATTTAGAAGGTAAAATCAGCAGAACTTGGTGACTGGCTGGATCTGAAAGGTAAAGGATAGTGAGCATGGAGAGGAGGTTTCTGTTACTACTAAGAAAAATGTGGTCAAGGTTTCAGTTGTTGACCTAGGCAAGATTGTGAAATCAGTTTTGTACATTTTTTAATTAGAAGTTCTTTATTATACATCTAAATGGAATTTTTCAAAGATTTTGAATTGATAATTGTAGTGGTTATGAGGTTGGACTGGACCAGACCGTCTAGGCTCAAATCCTGACTGCCATTTACTAGTTTTTTGGCATCAGGAATTTACTTAACCTCTCTGTTGCTCTGTTCCTCCTCTGGAAAATGAGAACAATAATAGTACCTGCCTTGGTACTTGCGGTTGTTGTGAGGATTCACTAATAAGTCTAAAACATTTAGAACACTGTCAGTCTATAAGAAGTGTTCAAGAAGTGTCAGTCATTATCATCATTATCGTCATTCTGGAGCATAGAGGATTAAGCTATATAGCAGAAAATGGGATTGGAGAACTAGGGATCAGATAATGAGGAGCCACATATGACATTTAAAATGGTGTGGATGTTATCCTAACAGTAGTGGAAAACTGTTAAAGAATGTCTGTCATTGATAACTTCTAATGTTATTTCTTTACCCCCCGCCCCCCACCACACACAAAAATCTCATCTTAAGATAGGTATGCTGCCACCAGGTGGCAGTTATATGTTATGTTGTACAAATGAAGTAGTAAAAACCATTATGTGTTTCTTTTTTAACATAAAATATTTACTTGATTAAAATAGCCAAGTGTAAGCAGTCTAATTCTAGTAGGACTCTTTTGTTCCAAAACAAAACAAAACTCGTTAAGCGAAGGAGAGAAAAGAGAGGGTTATTGTAAAGATGTGGAGATTTCAGAGGAAGGTCAGTGTATAGCTGGGTCTCATGGAAACTGAAAAGCCATTGGAAACTGGTGCCATTCTCTCCATCATTTTTTCTCTCACTTTCACAATATGTTATACTCCTCTGTTTGTAGATCAGCTTCCTTGCCTGCATGTCAGTTTGCACATGACCAAAATTATGGGATGAGTCTCCAAATCTGTTCTATCCAATGGAATTGTTTCCTACTAAATATACCCTTATTTATTTATTTTGAGACAGGGTCTCACTCTGTCACTTAGGCTGGAGTGCAGTGGCATGATCATTACTCACTGCAGCCTCAACCTCCTGGGTTCAAGTAATCCTCCCATCTCAGCCTCCCAAGTAACTGGGACTACAGGTACACACCACCATGCCCAATTATTTTTTATAGAGGCAGGGTCTCACTATGTTGCGTAGGTTGGTCCTGGACTCAAGTGATCCTCCCACCTCAGCCTCCTGAAGTGCTGGGGTTATGGGCGCAAGCCACTGTGCCCAGCCCCAGTAAATATACTTTAAAAAGAAAGAAGGGGAAAATAAAAATTATATAAATCATAGAAACACATCTACTCATAGAGTAATCATCTAGCCTAGAGGCTCCCAAATTTTGCTGCATATAGGAAACACCTGGGAAGCTTTACAAATTTTTTGATGCCTACATTACATCCCATACCAAAATCAGAAAATCTGCAGTGTCAGGCCTCACTATTTTTTGTAAAGATCCCCAGTGAGCAATAGACTTTAGGACCCACTAACATAGCCACTTTACTTGATTCTACAATACTGTGCCAGCTACTTTACTTGGTGTGGAACTAAAGGAATAGGGATGATTCAATGCCAGAAGGAAAATTGACTATGTTGGATACAAAGAGAAGTGTTTTATAGTCTGTAACATGTTTAATAGGTTGATTATATAAACTGTACTTTATAGATGATTTTAGGAGTATCTGTAGATTGATATGATTATTGTATGACACACTCATTTTAGAATCCTTTATATAAGATGAATCTCCTCGTGTTATCTTTCTGGACAGCTTCTTACCTCCTTGTTCCCTAATTCTAAGAGAAGAATCTAAGTGACTGACCTTTCTTTCCTTATCAAACTTAGGGTGGGAGGAGAGGCAGGGGTGTCATGGATGGGAGAAGCTATGAGCACTGACCAGTTCCCTCAGAAGGAAGTTCTACTTACTTTAAAAATACTTAAATATTTCTTCTAAAAAAGAATATATGTAAAATGTATGTATAAAATAAAGACTGATGATAAAAAGAACACCTCTATACCTATCACCCTGCTGAAGAAGCATACACATACGAATATATTTGAAACCTTTCCTCATCTAATCCCAACCCCTCACCACTTGAGGTACCTATAGTTCTAAATTTGTTTATTTCCTTGCTTTTCTATACCACATATATGTACACATACAACATACTAGTTTTCCTGTGCTTGAACTTAATGGTATCATATGAAGTCATCAGTGATTTGCCTTTTGTTCAGTATCATGTAGAGCATGTTCACGTCTGCATAGTATTCCATTATAGGAATTTACGTCAGTATCCATTGTGAGGTCAGTAAGTATTTGGGTTGTTTCCAGTTTTTGCTATTGTAAATACTGCCACTAAGTGACATGATCTTGGCTTGCTGCAACCTCTGCCTCCCGGGTTCAAGTGATTCTCCTGCCTCAGCCTCCCAAGTGGCTGGGATTGCAGGCACCTGCCACCATGCCCGGCTAATTTTTGTATTTTTGGTAGAAACAGGGTCTCGCCGTGTTGGCCAGGCTGGTCTCGAACTCCTGACCTCAGATGATCGCCCACCTTGGCCTCCCAAAGTGCTGGGATTACAGGTGTGAGCCACTGCACCCAACCGCCTTGAATTTTTTTCTAAGTTTACTTTTTATTTTCAAAAAATTATTATGTATTTCCTCATTTTCCATAAGAACATTTTAGTAGTGTTTCCTCATCAATAAACACAAAAAAGAGTCTTTACTATGCTATTTTCACTATTAACTTTAATTCAGTAATAAGCAAATCTTTGTTAAAAGTAGAGATGGAGGCTGGGCGCGGTGGCTCACGTCTGTGGTCCCGGCACTTTGGGAGGCTGAGGCGGGCGGATCACGAGGTCAGGAGATCGAGACCATCCTGGCTAGCACGGTGAAACCCCATCTCTACTAAAAATGCAAAAAGTTAGCCGGGTGTGGTGGCAGGCGCCTGTGGTCCCAGCTGCTCAGGAGGCTGAGGCAGGAGAATGGCGTGGACCCGGGGGGCAGAACTTGCAATGGGCCGAGATTGCACCACTGCACTCCAGCCTGGGCAACAGAGTGAGACTCTGTCTCAAAAAAAAAAAAAAAAAAAAAGTAGAGATGGGATTTCTAGCCTCCTAAATGCCAGACAAACAATCTAACATAAAATTTACCTTGAATAAGATATATGATATTGATTCTGAGCTGCTTTGTATTTTTTCTAACTTTGGCATCTGTATCTTGGTGCTTTCTATTAGACTGATAGAGTTTTAGAACCTAAGGAGTATGCATTGTACTTCAGCGCTTTTTTCTTCATTACTTTCTGTGTATATAGACAGCATATTTTTTTTTGTAGAACATTAACCCAGATTGCTAATAGCTTCATGTTATGGCATTCTTCCACACAGTCCAGATTGATTTAAGGAAAAGCAGAAATGGAAGTCAAAGTGTGTTATAAATTGAGACTGAAAAACGTGCTCTAAAAAAATAGATTTAATTTCTTACACTGTGAATAGCCATTGTATTGTTTTGTTTCTGATAAATCAGTTGTTTTGGGCTTCTATTTTTGAACTGTTAAAAAATTTTGATGCTTTTTGTGGATAAAAGTAGTGCCTCTCTTTATACAACTGATGGGGTTTTGAAAAGTATGTAAGTTGCCTTTTTTGTTAAACTTATTTTAAATGCTTTAGTATTTAAAGGGTATATGTTTTTAATTAATCTGCATATTTAAAAACTTTTTGTAACGCGAATAACTACTTCCTGATTTACATCTCAATATATTCTCCTTTCATTTGCCCAATTAAAAAAATATGTAGTCTCTATTATTGCTGTTTACTAATAGTTTTAGATCCCAATGTGTATTAGAATTATAGCTACAAAAAGTTGCAAGTAAAATTTAACAATTTCCTATTGAAACAGGATCTCATTATTATGTTTTTAAATGTGTAGAATTAACACTTTAAATAAACAGGTGTGAAAATTGTAAAGGAATATATATGACAACTATTTTCTGTACATTAACGTCCAAACATTATACTTGTTTTTCATAATAAAAAACATTTTGAAACAAAATTTGCTGAGTTTAGCATAAAAGCATCTTTGAATTATTTCTGAGTTTCCTAAAATATGCAACATTTTAATCTTGGCATATCTAATCCTATGTGCTGTTCTATAAGAGGTACACTGGACTTCTAACCACTATATGTATTTAGTAGAATAATGGAATCACAAAGGAACAAGAATTCCAGACTTATAGTTTGAAATGTATCATAAACAACCCTTTCATATTTTAGGTTAGTAGCTTTGGATAGCTATTTAACACAGATGAGTACAGTTAGCTTTATATATATTATCCTCTGAGTCTTATCTATGACAATGTATATTTAGATTAAATATGTTCCTCCTGTAACTAAAGTTGCATCTTTGCAAATGATGAAAGTTCATTTCAGCAGACACAAATTCTTTAAAAGATTTGGGCTATAAACTAACACTTCAAATTTTGTAATAATCAGTATACTTTTATCAAGAATGAAATTATTTCATGCTTAATTACCCTCCTTATTTTGTTTCCATAATAAAACTATTTTCAGAAAAAAAAATACTGCCCCTGTGCTATTTTTTTCTGTTCTGACGTACAGCACATGCCAAGGGTTTAGAGATATGCAGAGATTATGATCCCAAGGTCCTTCAGTCCTTGGGGAGTAGTGACTACATTCAGGAATGGAGTAAGAAGAGGGAGTGAAGTCAAAAGCAAACTGATATTCATGTGTTTATTACATGCCTGGTTTCATCACATAAATGATCTCTGACAGATGTCCATGGGAGCTGATGATGGATACCTGATGTCCATCAACATGGATCACTATGCTGACCAGATGCAGCAGTTCTTTTATTTTTTAGTAAATATTTCCTGCAAAAATATATCCATATGAAAGGGAATAATGTATAATGTAGGTTTATAAATGAGTTAACCTCAGATGGTAAACTGGCATGCATTTTATGCTGTTGAGAGAGTGTCTATTTGTTACAAATATACCTTGCTTTGGGCATTCTCCTTTACATAAACTGTGCAGTGTTATTTGTTGTTTATTTTTAATGGGATTAAACTTAATAATATACTTAGGGTAGATAACGTTAGGGGTAAAGTGCCGTTCTTCTCACTGTTCATTGTTAGCAGTAACTGAGATGACTGTAAAATGAAGCAGAGATAGGATAGGTGACATCTAAACAGCACTTTCTTTAGGGATAAGATTTCTAGTAGGTATGTAGTTGTATATATCCTTTAAAAATAGTGATATTAGCATATGGGCCCACGATAATTTTATTAGTAAATATACTTTAGAGTTGTGTGAGGGAGGCAGGCAGTAAAGATCTTTCAAAGAGAAAAACAATTACCTGTTGTGTTATAACCTGCAAGTAATGATTTTGAATAGTTTGTTGTTTATTCTTTTTCTTCTATGCATAAGTAAAACGTTACTTAAATCTTACTCTATATATGCAGCTTTGTTCTTTTTTA
This sequence comes from Homo sapiens, assembly GCF_000001405.40. Lineage (NCBI taxonomy): Eukaryota > Metazoa > Chordata > Mammalia > Primates > Hominidae > Homo > Homo sapiens. The sequence continues at coordinate 91,958,822 of NC_000007.14, forward strand.
TCCAAGTTTATGTTGAGAGCATTTTTGCTCATTAAGATTTTTTTTTTGAAAACATCATTATTATTATTATTATTATTATTTGAGACAGGGTCTCACTCTGTCACCCAGGCTGGAATGCAGTGGCATGATCTTGGCTCACTCCATTCTCCACCTCTCAGGCTCAAGTGACCCTCCCACCTCAGCCTGCCAAGTAGCTAGGACCACAGGCCTGCACCACCACGCCCGGCAAATTTTTGTATTTTTTGTAGAGATGAGGTTTCACTATGTTGCCCAGGTTGGTCTCGAATTCCTGGGCTTAAGCAATATGCCCACCTCAGCCTCTCAAAGTGCTAGGATTACAGGCATGAGCCACCACACTGACTTGAAAACATTATTTTTGACAGCTACATGTTATTACATTGCATAGTTGTGCAATAGTGTAACCATGGACCTGATATTCACCTTGGTTTTTAAAATAATTTTAATTTTATTATTACTACTATTTTTGAGATAGGATCTCACTCTGTTGCCCAGGCTGGAGTGGAGTGCGGTGATGTGATCCTAGCTCACTGCAGCCTCGCTCCTGGGCTCAAGCAGTCCTTCCACCTCAGCCTTTCAACTAGCTGGGACCACAGGTGTGGGCCACCACTCCTGGCTAATTTAAAAAAAAAAAAAAATTTACTTTTTTAAGAGATGGATCTTGTTATGCTGTTCTGGCTGGCCTCAAACTCCTGGCCTCAAGTGATCTTTCCACTTTAGCTTCCCAAAGCACATACTCTTTTTGAAACATTATTTTCCAACAAACATTTGTGTCTACTATGTGGCAGGCAGTGAAATTGTGTTAAAATATGTAACATTAAGATGGTTCCTTAAGCTGCAGAATTTGTTTTCTTTTTAGACATGACGGTGGTCCAAAACCTTTATTTAAAAAAAAATTATATTAAATGAGATTATAGGCTATAAGTAGGACTGGACTGGTCACTCAATATGTAAAGTCCTGTGGTCTTTTCCATTCCTGATTCCCTCAGGCCTGTTTGGCACTGTTATTTTCCAACAGTTTGTATCTTTGTGATATTTAAGAATACTTTAAAGCATCCTTAAAATGTTGCTTTTGTCTTCTTTACTTTCAGTTGCCTTACTTCAACTTCATTTACAAATGGTCTTTGGGACAACTGTTATAATCTTTTTATTTCCCTAGTTAGGCTACTGGAGTTTTGTTGTAGTTGTTTGTATTAGCATTCATGTTTATCATTCATTAAGGAATACTAAAAACGTTTAAAGGCAGCATTGACAAGTATATATAGTCATCATAATTAGAATTAATTGGTATTTCTTAGCTTTTCTACAGCAAAAACAAAAAACAGCTCTATTTACTGCTATTTTTGAATACTGGAGAAACTAGGTAACACATTTAAGTAATATTTTGTACCATTCTCTCGAGTATATTTGTTTCATCGTGTTTGTTTTTATTTTCTCTCCAGTCTTGTCAAAAAAGCACTTGTCTGTTTGGTGATATCACTTGCTCATGTTCTTTAAGTTACTGTTCTAGGATTGGGGTGTAATGACAGATGAATGAAAAGCAGGATGAGAATGCATGGAAAGCAAATGGTATAATGGAAAGTTGGATTTTGAGTCAGATATTGTTGTTCCATTTTATTTTGCTGCTTACTGCTTATGATCTTGGGCAGATAACCCATATTCATCTTTAAATCTTGGTTTCCACATTCTTTCAACATTTCCTGACTTCTCCCCACACGACCCCATTTAAATTAAATTTTTTCTGTGTGAGGCTCTCCTAATACCTTTTTCTTCAAAGCACTTTTTATCACTTGAGATGATATATTTCTGTGTTTATCTATATTTAATTTGTTTTTCCCACCTGTATTACAATTCATGAGAGTAGGGTTTATACCTCTTTTATTCCTCACTACATGTCTTACTTTAGCACAAAGTTGCATGCATGATGGGCAGTCAATAAATATCTGTTGAATAAATAAACTACTTACTACCTGACATATGCCAAGTTATTTTCTTCACAGGTAAAACTCTACAACCACATCTCTTTTGGAAAGACTTATATGAAGAAATCAGGACAAGGGAGGTTCCCATACCACCTCCTTAAATATATATAGGACTGCTGAGTTTATGAAATTGTGTATTAACTTTTATCTCATTTATTTCTCACAACTTGATGAAATGAGAGACTGTTATTAAATAATAGTAGACTAAAGGGTCCTACTGTTAAGATCATATATTTTGACACATGTCTAGCACAGTGCCTGGCACATAATGAACAATGAACACTCAAGAAACTGAAGAGATTCCAAATAGTTGATTTTTTTGAATTGACATTATAAAAACTTGGCTTTTTTTTTTTGAGACGGAGTCTCACTCTGTTGCCCAGGCTGGAGTGCAGTGGTGCCATCTCAGCTCACTGTGACCTCCGCCTCCCGGGTTCAAGTGATTTTACTGCCTCAGTAAAATCCCGAGTAGCTGTAATCCCGAGTAGCTGGGATTACAGGCGCCTACCAGCACACCCAGCTAATTTTTGTATTTTAGTAGAGACGGGGTTTCACCATGTTGGTCAGGCTGGTCTCTATCTCCTGACCTCAGGGGATCCACCCGCCTCAGCCTCCCGAACTGCAGGGATTACAGGTGTGAGTCACCACACCTGGCCAAAACTTGGCATATTTTATACAGCATTTTGAAAATTCATTGTTTTATTCAGAATGATCATTTGTTAAGTTAAAAATATTGAGTTTGGCTGGGCGTGGTGGCTCACGCCTGTAATCCCAGCACTTTGGGAGGCCTAGGCGGGCGGATCATGAGGTCAGGAGATTGAGACCATCCTAGCTAACATGGTGAAACCCCATCTCCACTAAAAATACAAAAAATTAGCCGGGTGTGGTGCCAGGCGCCTGTAGTCCCAGCTACTCGGGAGGCTGAGTCAGGAGAATGGCGTGAACTGGGGAGGCAGAGCTTGCAGTGAGCTGAGATCGCGCCACTGCACTCCAGCCTGGGCAACAGAGTGAGACTCCGTCTCAAAAAAAAAAAATCTTGAGTTTAAGGAATAAGTTATTATTTGTATTAAGTCATTTATTCATGTTCTGATCAGGGTAAGACATTTGCTTGAGATCCGAACCAGTTTTGAAAGGCAATTATATATGGACATAATATCTTTCCAGTAAATCTTGCAACTATTTCTGTGACTACATATGTTAACATTTTTATAATTGGCTTCCAAATAACAAACACAGATGGCTGTAGTCTGAATTTTCACCATGTTTTAGAATAAATGTTTTCTCAGAAATTTAAAGTGCATCATTTCAGTATAAGATGATTACCTAATTGAGTAGAATTTTTTCCTTATCTGCTAGCTTGCCATTTTTCAGATTGAGAGTAAATAGCTTAAATATCTATTAGTATAAGAAATTGGATATATATGATCTTGTTCCCTCTCTCACATTTTTACCAAACAGAACTCTTGCTAAAAAGTTATTGTAGATATTATTTTTCTGAGAATTTAAATTTTGTTTTGCTTTTTGTCTTTTGGTGGAGGAGGGAGATTATAATTTTTTGTGTTTTAATTCATTTAATAAGTAACTAGAAATTTGTTAATTTTGAAACCATGAGTTTTTAATGTAGTAGAATTAAATATGCCCGTTAAACTGTTTTGGTTCTCAAGTCTTGTGAAGTGGTGCTTGAAATCATTGCTTAGTGGTGACTTTTCTGTAAAAGATAAATTATCTTTTTTTACTCTGAATATTATTTTAGGCTTTGTATATATAGCAGAGAACAAAAGAAAGCCCTAACCCTCAGTGAACTTACCTTCCGGTTAATCTGAAAAATAATATGACTTCATATAATCAGTAACATAGGCCTAAAACAATGCCATGGTAATTTAATGTCCTTAAAAGTGATTCGTTCTAAGCACTATAATAGAAAAATTCCTATTTTGATTCCATATCTATCCATTATCTTTTTAATTTGGGTTCATTTAGTAATGAATATTATTGTTTCAGATTTTTAATCGAACTGTTTATGATGCAAAGTTTTAGTTTTTCTCATTTATTATGTGTTTGCACATCTGAATAAATATTAAATATAAATTATGTATACCCTAATTACAGTTGGAATCTCAAACCAAATTTTCACCTTTGCCCTGATATATTTTGCTGTCTAAATGTATTTTCTAATGCAGACAATGTGGAATTTTAAGTTTCTGAAATTGAGCATAAATATCAAAAATGCTATTAATTTCTTTTGGTTTTGCATTCTCTCTGAGGGATCTTTTCTTTTTAAACAATGCACCTAGAATTCTGATTCCATTTACAGATAATATATTTAGCAGTATTCCAGTTGGTTTATTTTTAAGAATGAATTTGCTACCCTCCAAAGTAGTTTAAGTGCATTCCAGTTTCTTAATGTACAAGTAGAGGCAACTGGTCTTGCACCTGTTCCTCAAGGAGACATGAGGTGGAATAACTGTGTAGTTGCTGAATAACTGGGAAAAAATTTAAATATAATTTATTTTTATATCCTACTAGGCTAGTGATTAGCTATTTCTGATTTATAAATTAGATGTCTTTATTAAGTAAATAGTACATATGCTTTCCTTCATCCACAGCAGACAAAATAAGTATAAAATATGTTGTGTGTTATTCTGTAGATAACATATTTGTCACACACACACACACACACACACACACACACACACACACACACACATATTTTTGAGACGGAGTCTTGCTCTGTCGCCCAGGCTAGAGTGCAGTGGCATGATCTCGGCTCACTGCAAGCTCCGCCTCCCGGATTCACACCATTCTCCTGCCTCAGCCCCCTGAGTAGCTGGGACTACAGGCACCCGCCACCATGCCCGGCTAATTTTTTTGTATTTTTAGTAGAGATGTGGTTTCGCCGTGTTAGGCAGGATGGTCTTGAACTCCTGACCTTGTGATCCGCCCGCCTCAGCCTCCCAAAGTGCTGGGATTACAGGCGTGAGCCACCGCGCCCAGCCATTTGTCACATATTTTGATAGTAATATGAGCATCATTAAAAATTGCTTTATTTTTATGATAAATTTTCTGGCCATTGTTGTAACTGGTCTAATTAATAGTTATATTAATACTAGTAGTATATTTCCTTTTTTTAAAGCACAACAAAGCTTACACCTTTTCTTATTCTTTGGTTTCTCTCCTCTCAGAATGACCAAAGAGCTCAAATTCAATTTAGGAATAGGTGGCTAATAGTTGCTTCTTAGAAAAATTAGAAAATCTATTGCATAACAAAAGGAAATTTCACATTAGCAAAAGGAAAAATACCTGTAATCTCAAGTCAGAGATACACCAAAGTTCTCAGTTATATTCTTCCAGAGTTTCTCTATGCCTACAAGTACAATGTTATTAAAATTCAAGCTAGATACGATTGTTGAAGGATGTGAGTTTGAGTCCTGCCTTCTCTGTTAAAAGAAGTGTACATTATTTTTTTCATAAAAATAGATTATGCAGCAGTAATATACCTACTACTGTGTCATGAACATCTTTGTTAGCAATAATGGTTTACATAAATATTTTAATATGGCGTCATCATAGTTAACCTAATGTTGCCTAAAGCATGTAATACATACTTCTGATGTTAGGTGGTGATATTTTAGGTCTATCCTGATCCAGTATTAAAAACATTGGATAAATGGGTACAATGTACACTATTTGGGTAATGCCTACCCTAAAAACTCAGACTTCACCACTATGTAATATATCGATGTAACAAAACTGGATTTGTACCCCCTAAATCTATAAAAATAAAAAAATAGAAAGAGAAAAACATTAGATAGTATTGTAAGAAAGTTATTATGTTTGCCAGTTTTCTTTTAGTTCATCTGCTTGTGATAGCCAAGAGTCTGTTTGATACTCATATATCTTTAACACCCTTTTAACACTTGCCCATTTCTCTCATACCCTTCAACAAAATCTAACTAAAATTTTAATAATTTTTTCATTGTATTTATTTTTGTTTACTTTTCTAAAAAAGAAATGACAGTGATACTGACTTTTAGTTTGTGCCAAGGATAGAAAGTCTCCTTTTAGAATAAATTTACTTTAAAATTTTTATTGTTATGTAATGTATATATTTTGGGAATACATGTGATAATTTAATGCACTCATATAGTTTGTAAGGATCAAATCAGTGTAATTGGGATGTCCGTTAGCTTTAATTAGTGAAATATTCAAATATTTTTTAGAAATATTCAAATTATTTTATTCTAGCTATTTTGAAATATTTAGTAGTTTTTTGTAAACTATAGTCACCCTACCAATCTATCAAACACTAGGTTTTATTTCTTCTGTTAAACTGTTCTTTGTATCCATTGTCAGCCCCTCTTCATCTTCTCCACCTTCCTACTCTTCCCAGTCTCTGGTAACCACCAATCTACTCACTATTTGCATCTACTTTTTCAGCTCCCATATATGAGTGAGAACGTCTGATATTTGTCTTTCTGTGCTTAGCTTATTTCACTTAACATAGTGCCCTCCATTTGTGTCCATGGTGCTGCGAATGACAATTTGTTCTTTTTTTATGGCTGAATAATATTCCATTGTGTACATACCACATTTTCTTTATCCGTTTATCAATTGATGGGCACTTAAGCTAATTTCATATTTTAGCTATTGTAAATAGTACTACAAAAAAACATGGGAATGCAGCTATCTCCTTTGTATATTGATTTTCTTTCTTTTGAATATGTCCCAGTAGGGGAATTGCTGGATCCTGTGGTAGTTCTATTTTTAGTTTTTTAGAAATCCTCCATACAGTTTTCCATAGTGTGTGCTGATTTACATTTCTGTTAACAGTATACAAGGGCTCTTCTCTCTCCACATCCTCCCCAGCATCTGTTATTCCCTGTCTTTTTGATGAAAGTCAGTTTAACTGCAGTGAGATAATATATCGTGGTGGTTTTGATTTGCAATTCTCTGATGATTAGTAACATTGAGCATTGTTTCAGATACTTGTTGACCATTTGTATGTATTCTCTTAAGAAATGTCTGTTCAGATATTTTGCCCATGTTTTAATCAGATTATTTGCTCTTTTGCTGTCCAGCTGTTTGAACTTCTTGTATATTCTGGTTGTTGTTAACTCCCTGTCAGATGAATAGTTTGTAGCTATTTTCTCCCATTCTGTGGGTTGTCTCTTCACTTTGTTGATTGTTTCGTTTGCTGTACAGAAACTTTTTAGCTTTAAAAACATTTTTTAAATTATTTATTTTTTGTAGAGATAGATCTATGTCTCACTATGTTATCCAGGCCAGTCTCAAACTCTCAGGCTCAAGTGATCCTCCTGCCTCGGCCTCCCATGGTGCTGTGCTTACAGGTTTGAGCCACCACACTCTTCTGAAACTTTTTAGCCTGGTTCCATTTGTCTGTTTTTGTTTTTGTTGCCTCTGCTTTTGAGATCTTAGACAAAAAAAAACTTTCCCCAGACCAATGTCCTAGAGTATTTCTCTACTGTTTTCTTTTTGTAGTTTCAGGTCTTAGATTTTTAAATCCATTTTGATGTGATTTTTTTTGTATGTGGTAAGAGATACTTATGTAGTTTCATTCTTCTACATATGGTTATCCAGTTTTCCCAGCATTATTTATTGAAGAGATTGTCCTTTTCTCAGAATATATGGTCTATTCTGGAGAATGTTCCATGTGCTGAGGAAAGGAATGTGTATTCTTCAGCAGTTGGATAAAATGTTTTGTAAATATCAATTTAGCCTATTTAGTGTGTAGTTTAACTCTGATGTTTATTTTCTGTGTGGATGTTGTATATTCTTGGCACCTTTGTAGAAAATGAGTTGACTGTAAGTGTGTGAATTTATATCTGGGTTCTCTGTTTCGTTCCATTGGTCTGTGTGTCTGTTTTTATGCCAAGACCATGCTGATTTGTTTGTATGGCTTTGTAGTATATTTTGAAGTCAGGTAATGTGATGCTTCCAGCTTTGTTCTTTTTGCTTTGGCTGTTTGTGATCTTTTGTGGTTCTATCAAAATTTTAAGATTGTTTTTTCTATTTCTGTGAATAATGGCATTGGTATTTCAATAGGGATTGTATTGAATCTGTAAATTGCTTTGGATAGTATCATTTTTACAATATTCTTCTAATCCACAAACATGGATTTCTTTCCATTTTTAATGTCCTGTTCCATTTCTTTCATCACTCTTTTATAGTTTTCCTTGTATAGATTTTTTACTTCTTTAGTTAAATTGATTTCTGGGTATTTTATATTCTTTGTAGCTATAGTAAATGTGATTACTTTCTTGATTTCTTTTTCAGATTGTTTGCTGTTGGTATATATAATTTCTATTGATTTTTGTATGTTGATTGTGTATCCTGCTATTTTACTGAATTTGTTTATCAGTTCTAACAGTTTTTGGTGGAGTCTGTAGGTTTTTCTAAGTATAAGATCATATTGTATGCAAATAAGGCTAAATTGACCTTTTCCTTTCCAATTTGGTTATCTTTTATTTTTTTCTCTTGCTTAGTTGCTGTGGCCAGGACTTCCAGTATGTTGCATGAAAGTGGACCTCCTTGTCTTGTTCCAGACTTAGAGGAAAGGCTTTTAATTTTTCCCTATTCAGTGTGATATTAGCTGTGGGTTTGCCATATATGGCCTTTATTACTTTGAGGTATGCATCTTCTGTATCCAGTTTGTTGAGGGTTTCTATCCTAAAGGCATGTTGAATTTTAAATTTTTTTTCAGCGTTAATTGAAATGGTCATAGGGTTTTGTTCTTGATTCTTTCAATGTGATGTATCATATTTATTGATTTGCACATGTTTAACTATCCTTGTGTCTTTGGGATGAATCCCGCTTGATCATGGTGAATGATCTTTTTAATGTGTTGTTGAATTCAGTTTGCTAGTATTTTGTTGAGGATTTTTGCATCTATGTTCATCAGTGATATTGGCCTGTAGTTTTCTTTTTTGTTGTGTCCTTGTCTGGTTTTGGTATCAGGCTAATGTTGGTTTCATAGAATGAGTTTGGAAGTACTCCCTTCTCTTAAGTTTTTTGAAGAGTTTGAGTATAATTGTTATTCTTTAAATGTTTGGTAGAATTCAGAAGTGAAGCCATCAAGTCCTGGGCTTTTCTTTGATGGGGGATTTTTTGTGTCTGTGTGTGATTGGGTCTCCTGTTGCCTAGGCTGGAGTGCAGTGGTGTGTTCATAGATCACTGCAACCTCTGCCTCCTGGGCTCAAGCCGTCTTCCCATGTCAGCCTCCCAAGTAGCTGGGACCACAGGCATGTGCCACCATGCCTGGCTAATTTTTTGTATTTTGGTAGAGACGAGGTTTTGCCATGTTGCCCAGGCTGGTCTCAAACTCCTGAGCTCAAGCTCAAGCAATCCACTTGCTTCGGCCTCTGAAAGTGCTGAGATTACAGGTGTGAGCCACCGCTCCCAGCTTGATGAGAGACTTTTTATTAAGGCTTTGATTTCATTGTTGGTTTGTTGAGGTTTTCTATTTCTTCATGGTTCAATTTTGGTAGGTTCTATGTGTCCAGGAATTTATTTATCTTTTTCTTCTAGGTTTTTGAATTTGTTAGCATATAGTTGTTCATAATAGTCTGTAATGATTTTTGTATTTCTGTGGTCTCAGTTTTTACATCTTCTTTTTCATTTCTGATTTTATTTGACCTTTCTCCTTTTATGAAAATTAGTATAGCTAAAGGTTTGTTGATTTTGTTTATGTTTTCAGAAAAGCAACTTTTTGTTTCATTGACTTCTGTATTGACTGTTTTGGCCTCAATTTCATTTGTATCTGCTCTGATTTTTGTTATTTCCTTTCTTCTACTAATTTTGGGTTTGGTTTGTTCTTGGTTTTCTAGTTTCTTGCAGTGCGTTGTTTGGTTGTTTATTTGAAGTCTTTCTCATATTGTTTTATTGGTATAAACTTCCCTCTCAGTACTGCTTTTGCTTTATCACATAGATTTTGGTATGTTGTATTTCCATTTTCATTTCTTTCAAGAAATTTAAAATTTTCTCTTTTAATTTCATCATTGACCCATTTGTCCTTCAGGATTATGTTGGTTTTTTGTTTGTTTTGTTTTTTGAGACAGGGCCTTTCTCTGTTGCCCAGGCTGGAGTGCAGTGGTGTGAACATGGTTCATTGTAGCCTCTACCTCCTGGGCTCAAGCGATCCTCCTGCCTCAGCCTCTCAAGTAGCTGGCACCACAGGCGTGGGACACCATGCCTAGCCAATGTTTTGAAATTTTGTAGGTTTGAGACCAACCTGGGCAACAAAGTGAAATCTTGTTGCCCAGGTTGGTTTTGAACTTCTGGGCTCAAGCATTCATCCCACCTCAGCCACTCAAAGTGCTGGGATTACAGACATGAGCCACCATGCCCAGCAGGAACATACTTAATTATTATTTGTTTGTGTTTTCTGAGGTACTTCTTGTGACTGATTTTTAGTTTTATTCCATTATGGTCAGAAACGATACTTGATATGATTTCTACCTTTTGAATTTGTTGAGACTTGTTTTATGACCTAATATATGGTCTATTCTGGAGAATGCTCCATATACTGATGAAAACAATACTCTTCAGGAGTTGGGTGAAATGTTCTGTAGATGTCAGTTTGGCCTATTTGGCGTAGTGTATAGTTTAATTCTGATGTTTTCTTTAATTTTCTCTTTGGATGATCTGTCCAATACTGGGATTGGGGTATTTAAGTTCCCTATATTACTGTATTGCAGTCTATCTCTCCCTTTAGATCTATTAATACTTGCTTTTTATACTTGGGGCTCTGGTGCTGGGTGCATAGATATTTATAATAGTTATATCCGCTTGCTAAATTGACACCTTTATCATTATATAATGACCTTCTTTGTCTCTTTTTATAGTCTTGACTGGTAGCCTATTTTATCTGATACAAGTATAGCTACTCCTGTTCTTTTTTGGTGTCCAGTTGCACGGAATATCCTTTTCCACCCCTTCACTTTCAGTCTGTGCGCATTCTTAATAGGCGAAGTGGGTTTTTTGTGGGCAGCTTATGGTTGGGTCTTACTTCTGTATTCATTCAGCCACTCTCGCCATTTTAATTGAAGAATTGAGTGTATTTACCTTGAGTATTATTATTAATAAGTGAGGTCTTACTAATGCTATTTTGTTGCTTGTTTTCTGGTTGTTTTGTAATTCCTCTCTTCTTCCTTTCTTACTGTCTTTCTTTGAAGTTAAGTGATTTTTTTTTCTGGTAGTATGTTTGAATTTGTTGATTTTTTATTTGTAGTGAATTTATTATAGTTTTTGGCATTGTGGTCACCATGAGACTTAAAAAGACATAGGTTCAAGCAGTTATTTTAATGATATGACAACTTACTTTAGATCACAAAGAAAATAATGGAAACAAAAGAAAAAAAAACCCTCTATACTCTAACTCCATTCCCTCCACATTTTGACTTTACTTTGTCTCAATTTACATGTTTTTATATTGCCTATTTCTTGATAGGATGCTGTAGCTATTAATGTTTTTGGTAGGTTTGTCTTTTGGACTTCATCCTAGAGTTATGAGTGGGCGCTACACCACAATTACAGTATTAGAGTATTGTGGGTTTGTCCACGTACTTAATTTTACTAGTGGGTTGTATACCTTTACATGTTTTGTTTTTTCACATTAGTGTTTTTTTCTTTCAGATTGAAGAACTCTCTTTAGCTTTTCTTGTCAGACAGGTATGTGTTAGTGAATTCTCTCAGCTTTTGTTTGTCTGTGAAAGACTTTGTTCCTCTTCTTTGTATTTGAAGGATAGCTTTGCTGGATACAGTATCCTTGGGTGGCTGTTTTTTTCCTTCAGCACTTTGAACATGTTGTCCCACATCCTCCTATATGGTTTCTTCCTCCTGTATGACCTGTATGGTATCTGTTGAGAAGTCTGTTGCCAGACGAATTGTAGCTCTTTTATACATTGTTTGCTTCTTTTCTTTTGCCACTTTTAGGATCCTCTCTTTGTCCTTGACCATTGAGAGTTTGATTATTACATGCTTTGGAGTAATCTTTTTTGGGTCAAATCTGCTTTGTTCTCTAACGTTCCTATACCTGGATATTTTATCTCTTTCTCAAGTTTTAAAAAGTTTTTATTATTTCTTGAATAAGATTTCTACCCCCTTGCATTAAAGTTAGGCATTATATTATGTAGTGCTGAAAAACAGGCGGTGACATGGTACCAAAAAAAAGATACAAAAACAATACATAAATTGCAAAGACTCTCTAAGTGAACACATTCAGTAAAAAACAAGCCAGACAGTGAAGACTAGAACTCCCTTTTGAACACTGATAATTCTTAGATTTGATATTTCGAGGTAATTTTCTGTGTCTTCTAGGTGATCTTTGTTCCTTTTCATTCTTTCCTTTTCTCCTCTGTATTTTTAAATAGCCCGTCTTTGAGCTCACTGATTCTTTTTTCTGTTTGATCCATTCTCCTGTTGAGAGCCTCTAATGATTCTTTCTGTTCAGCAAATCTTTCTCAGTTCCAAAATTTCTTTTTGATTTATAAAAAACTTTTAATCTTTGTTAAATTTTTCTAATACATTTCTGAATTGTTTTTCTGTGTAATGGAGATCACTAATTTCCTTTAAACTGCTGTTTTGAATTCTTGTTCACAGAGTTCACATATTTCTGTCTTGTTAGGGTCATTCACTGATTCACTGGTTCTTTGTGCTTTGTCCATTTGACTAAGTCAAGGTTTCCCATTTGCTGTTGTTTCTTGTGGATATACATCTATTTCTTTTTTTTTTTTTTTTTTTTTTTTTGAGACGGAGTCTCGCTCTGTTGCCCAGGCTGGAGTGCAGTGGCGCGATTTCAGCTCACTGCAAGCTCTGCCTCCCGGGTTCACGCCATTCTCCTGCCTCAGCCTCCCGAATAGCTGGGATTACAGGCGCCTGCCACCACTGCCGGGCTAATTTTTTTGTATTTTTAGTAGAGACAGGGTTTCACTGTGTCAGCCAGGATGGTCTCGATCTCCTGACCTCGTGATCCTCCCGCCTCGGCTTCCCAAAGTGCTGGGATTACAGGTGTGAGCCACCGTGCCCGGCCTACATCTATTTCTTAAAGTGAAGATTTTGTTATTTATTCTAGTCTTCTCTGTCTGGCTTGTTTTAGCTTTTACTGGATATGTTTGCTCATAGAGTCTTTTATGTTTTGCCTCTCTTTTTTTTTTTTTTTTTTTTGCACTATGTCACTGCCTCTGTTTCAGTACTACATAATATAATGTATATGATGTCTTTAGCCCCAGTTTGCTTCAGTTCTAGTAAACAATCAGTGTTATCCATCCTTGATCGGTAAGGTCCCAAAGGCCCCTAGTCTGGCTAGGGGCTCGTGCCCAGAGGACCTGTGGCATGAACCTCTTACAGTGTGATGCTGCTGAACAGCCAGTCTGATTTGGCGTCTCCTTTGGCCAAGTTACAAAGCAGGGTTTTTCAGGGCTAGGAATGGTAGTCTTGCCTTCCCGCTTTGTCTCTGGCTGTTAGGAATATTTCTCCCTTCAGATATTCCCAGTACTTCCTGGTTGTCCCTGGTTGAGCCAGGGACAGATCTCCTGTCAAGGAGCCCAAGTTGATGGAGAAGCTGGTTGTCCACCTTGATCTCACTTTTTCCAGTGTAGAAACTGTGAGTCAGGGGAATATTTTCCATGTTTGGTGATGGGCAGATTAGGAGAATGGGAATCATGAAAATCAAAGTCTAATTCTTTTAACTTCTGCTCAGAGTTTTTTCACTTCTCCATGGTCTTGAATACTGTTTCTTCCTCATATTTGAGTTCTGGGATATCGCCAGTAATAATCTAAGCTCTGTATATTTGCTTTTGGTTTTCTGTTAGGGGAAGCGAAGGCAACTTGCTTCTGTGCCACCATTTTGGAGCTATTAGGTTGGTGCAAAAGCAATTGCAGTTTTTGTACCGACCTAATGGAAGCCTCTGTTCTTAAAATAAATTTAAATAAGAAAACTACATTGGTTAAAACATGTTAAGTAAATGATACATAAAGGTGGCTCTAGGATAGGACAAAAATCCTGATGATGATATGTAAACGATTAAGGGCTGGAAAGCACTGCTGTTTGATATTTAAGTTATTTCCAGTTTTTTTTCCCATTATGAATAAGGCTGCAGTGACCACTTTATATAGCTAAATCTTTTTGCATGAACTAAATCTTTTTAGTATATAGTAATAGAAGACACAGAAATTCCAGAAAGCAAATTCATGTAGTGCTCTGTGTGTGCATGTGTGTATGTGTGTGTTTTCATATAATCTAAAATCCAGAGCTTGGCCAGCACACTGGCTCACGTCTGTAATCCCAGTATTTTGGGGAGGCTGAGGCAGGCGAATTGCTTGAGCCCAGGAGTTGAAGACCAGCCTGGGCAACGTGGCAAAAATCTGTCTGTACAAAAAAATACAAGAATTAAATTAGCCAGGTGTGATGACATGTTCCTGTAGTCCCAGCTACTTGGGGGCTGAAGTGGGAGGATCTGTGGAGCCCAGAAAGTTGAGGTGAGCTGTGATGGCGCTACTGCACTCCAGCCTGGATGACAGAGTAAGACCCTGTCTCAAAAAATAAAATAAAATCTTGGTGAGATTATATTCTCACTAAGCAGTGAATGACAGTGCCTGATTTCCCTTATTCTGCCTAATTCTGGGCTTATTTTCTTTTATTTAGACATGACATTTTCAGTTCTTACCCCTCAATATTTCAGTAGGTTTATTCAGAAATGTTTCTTTGCATTCCAGTAGTTACATTAAAGACTGTAATAATTGTTCTTTATTTTTTCATTTTTATTTAGTGATAGTTTGATCTTTAAAAGAGAGACTCCCAAAGCTGCTTTTTTCTTGGTGGCAATAAAGAAAAATTATCTTTGACAATAACGGTTATTTTCTTTTTTCTTAGCTTGCCCAGTTTCGACAAAGAAAAGCTCAGTCGGATGGGCAGAGTCCTTCCAAGAAGCAGAAAAAAAAGAGAAAAACGTCAAGCAGTAAACATGATGTGTCAGCACACCATGATTTGAATATTGATCAATCACAGTGTAATGAAATGTACATAAATAGTTCTCAGAGAGTAGAATCAACTGTGATTCCTGAATCTACAATAATGAGAACTCTACATAGTGGAGAAATAACCAGTCATGAGCAGGGCTTCTCTGTGGAAGTAAGTATTCTCCCAGATTTTTAATCATTATGGTTCTCGATGGAAAGTAGTCATAACAACAGTCATTAGCAACTGTGCGCAATTTGATCATGATTTTTATGTCCTCTTGAAAGTTTTAGTAGTATGGTAACTAAACAGTCATAACTAAAATATTTGATCATCTCAGAGAGGGAGTTTTGTGAGTTTAATTTAATATATGTTGAACAACTGCAGTACACCAAAGACTGAGCACCAGAGTTACAAAGATGGATATGACTATCTCTGCCCTTTAGGAAAATTATTCTAGTGGAGAAGGCAGACTTAAAGGTATGCAGTGTGCTATGATTAGACCTTTGCTAGTATGAGAGATAGATGTCCAACTTCATTTTTTTTGTTTGTGGCTATCCAGTTGTACCAATACCATTTGTTGAAAAGACTATTCTTTTCCCAATGAACTGTCAATGAATATAAAGGTGAGGGTTTATATTTATCCCCTCAATTATATTCTGTAGATCTGTATGTTTAGCCTTTGCTACTATGCCCCCAAGTCTTGATTAATGTAGCTTTATAACAACTTTTGAAATCAGTAAGTGTGAGTCTTCCAACTTTCTTCTCTTTTGGGATTGTTTTGGCTGTTGCCTTGCATTTCCGTATCAATTTTAGGGTCAGGTTTTTCTGTTTCTGCATTAAAAACACCACGGATTTTGACAGGGATTGCATTGAATCTGTAGATGAATTTGGGGAGTTTTGTCATCTTAACAATATTAAGTTTTCAACCTATGAACACAGGATTTTTTATTTATTTAGGTTTTTAATTTTTTTAATGTTACCTTGTTTTCAGTGTAAACGTCTCACATTTGTTTTGTTAAATATACTCTCAAGCATTTTATTTTTATTTTAATTTTCATTTATTTACTTTTTGAGATGGGTTCTCACTCTGTCACCGAGACTGGAGTGCAGTGGCATGATCTTGGCTCACTGCAACCTCTGTCACCCAGGCCCAAGCCATCCTCCCACCTCAGCCTCCTGAGTAGCTGGGACCACAGGTGCATGCTACCACACCTGGTTAATGTTTTGTATTTTTGGTAGAGATGGGATTTTGCCATGTTGCCCAGGCTGGTCTCAAACTCCTGAGCTCAGGAGATCCACCCACCTTGGCCTCCCAAAGTCCTGGGAGTACAGGCATGAGCCACCGTGCTTGGCCTTGTTTTTGTTATTTTATTTTATTTTAGTTTTTTGTAGAAATGTGGTCTCACTTTGTGTCCAGGCTGGTCTCGAATTCCAAGACTTAAGTGATCCTCCCGCTCTGGCTCCCAAAGTGCTTATGCCTGTAAAGTTTTATTTACAGGCATGAACCACTATGCCTGGCCACCAAGCATTTTATTGCTATTTTATTTCTAAGCATTTTACTGCTATTCTAAATATAATTGTATTCTTAACTTTATTTTCTGATTATTCATTATCCATGTATACAAATACAACTAAATTTGTATATTGATCTTGTCTCCTGTACCCTTGCAGAGCTAACTCATCTGTAAGTTCTAATAGGTTTTTTGTTTTGTTTTGTTTTGTTTTGGTGAATTCCTTCGATTTTTCCTGTATGCAAGACCATATTATCTGCAACTAAACTAGAAATGTTCAACTTCTTCCTTTCCAATGTCGATGTTCTTTTTTCTTTTTTGTAATTGCCATAGCTGGAAGATATAAGACAATGTTGAAAAGAAGTGTTGAAAGCAGACATCCTTGTATTATTTCTCCTAATAAGGGGAAAGCATTCAGGTTTTTTTTTAACCATTGAGTTTTATATTAGCTGTTTTTGTTTTGTTTTGTTTTGTTTTTGTAGCTATCCTTTATCAGATTGAGGAGGTTCCCTTTTATTCCTGGTTCATTAAGTGTTTTCATTATAAAGAAATGTTGAGGTTTTTTTGTTTTGTTTTTATTTTTTAGTTTATTGGTTTGTTTTTTGTTTGTTTGTTTGTTTTTTTTTTTTTTGAGACAAAGTCTCGCTTTGACTTTGCACTCCACTGCTGGAGTGCAGTGGGGTGATCTCAGCTCACTGCAGTCTCCACCTCCCAGGTTCGAGTGATTCTCCTGCCTCAGCCTCCTGAGTAGTTGGGATTGTGAGCCATCACGCCCAACTAATTTTTGTATTTTTAGTAGAGATGGGGTTTCACCATGTTGGCCAGGGTGGTCTCGAACTCCTGACCCCAAGTGATACGTCCACCTCAGCCTCCCAAAGTGCTGGGACTACGGGCATTAGCCACTATGCCCATCCACTTATTTTATTGTTTTTTGAGACAGGATCTCACTCTCGTCCAGGATGGCATGCAGTGGTGCAATCATGGCTCACTGCAGCCTCAACCTCCCAGACTTCAGTGATCCTCCCACCTCAGCCCGACAAGTAGCTGGGACTACAGGCCCATGCCACCACACCTAGCTAATTTGTGTATTTTTTTGTAGAGACGGAGTTTTGCCATGTTGCCCAGGCTTGTCTTGAACTCCTGGATTCAAGTGATCTGCCTGCCTTAGCCTCCCAAAGTGCTAGGATTACAGGCATGAGCCACTCACTGCTCCCAACCTGAGTGTTGAGTTTTGTTAAATGCTTTTTTTGTGTCTATTTGCAATGACTTTAATACAAAAACCATCACTAGGGACAAAAGATGTTACAGCACACATTTTACATTATATAAATTCAGCCTTTTAAAATATTTTGGGTATTTAAATGGTCTAACATATAGTCATCTTTCTGTTCTTCAGAGTGGATAATTGCAATTCATCTATCTTGAAGTTTGCTGATTCTCTCTTCCTACTTAGATCTACTACTGAGTCCTTCTAGTGGCTTTTCATTTATTTTCCTTTTCAATTCCAGAATTTTTATTTGATTATTTTATAATTTCTTCGTTTTATTGATATTCTTCATTTGGTGAGGTGTTGTTCTTACAATTTAAATTTTGTTTTGTTTTGTTTTTAGATTTTATTTCCTTTAGTTATTTGACTGTATTTAAAATAGCTGAGTCAGAATCTTTGTTGGCCAGGCATGGTGGCTCATATCTGTAATCCCAGCACTTTGGGAGGCAGAGGCAAGGGGATTACTTGAGCCGAAGAGTTCGAGACCAGCCTGGGCAAAAAAGGGATATTCTGTCTTTACAAAAAGTAAAAAAAATTAGCCGGGCATGGTTGTGCACACCTGTGGTCCCAGCTACTCCAGAGGCTAAGGTGGGAGAATCGCTTGAGCCCAAGAGGTGGAGGCTGCAGCAAGCTGTGATCACACCAGTGCACTCCAGCCTGGGTGACAGAGTGAGATCCTGTCTCAAAAAACAACACAAGGGCCGGGCGCGGTGGCTCATGCCTGTAATCCCAGCACTTTGGGAGGCCAAGGCGGGCAGATCACGAGGTCAGGAGATCGAGACCATCCTGGCTAACACGGTGAAACCCTGTCTGTACTAAAAATACAAAAAATTAGCGGGGCATGGTGGTGGGCAACTGTAGTCCCAGCTACTCGGGAGGCTGAGGCAGGAGAATGGCATGAACCCAGGAGGCGGAGCTTGCAGTGAGCCGAGATCACGTCACTACACTCCAGCCTGGGCGACAGAGCGAGACTCCGTCTCAAAAAAAGAAAAAACCAAGACAAAACCAAAAATAACTTTGTCTGTTAAGTACAATATCTGTGTTCCTCAGGGACGGTTTCTATTGACCATTGTTTTTCTTGTGCATAGACTATCCTTTCCTTTTTTTGTACATCTTGTAATTTTTGTTTTATTAAAACTGGAATTTTAAAAATAATGCAGTGTGGCAACTCTACTGCTTGATTTGGCTCAAAGGTATATTATTTATTTTTTAATATAACAAACCAATATTTGGGTTCTCTATTCTATAGTTTTAGCATTTTGAATGCAACAACTGTCTTATTCACCATTTAATTCTCAGTACTACCGTTTCTAGTACACAATATGCACTTAATGAATATGAGGGATTGTATCATGAAAGTATTTCAGATTTAAAAGATAATCTCGGCTGGGTGCAGTGGCTCACGCCTGTAATCCCAGCATTTTGGGAGGCTGAGGTGGGCAGATCGCTAGAAGTTAGGAGTTCAAGACCAGCCTGGGCAACATGGTGAAACCTTGTCTCTACTAAAAATACAAAAATTAACTGGGCATGTTGGTGCGTGACTGTAATCCTAGCTACTCGGGAGGCTGAGGCAGGAGAATTGCTTGAACCTGGGAGGCGGAGGTTGCAGTGAGCCAAGATGATGCCGCTGCACTCCAGCCTGGGCAACAGAGTGAGACTCTGTCTCAAAAAAAAAAAAAAAAAAAAGAGAATCTTATGAGTTAGGAACCACTGTTAATAGGATTTTAGATTACAGGCAAGTTTATTTTTGTTCTTGGCCTCAGTTACTACTTCATGGAGAAGGTAGTTTTAGAACTTAGACTTGAATGTTGAATAGAATTTCCATAGGTGTAGATGAGAAAGGAGACAGTGACAGTTAATATTTGTTGAATGAAAGGGTGAAACTCTCTGGAGAGGGTCAACAGTGAGAATAGTACTTTTGGAGTCAGAAAATTTGGATTTGTTCCTTGACTCTTTCTACTACTTCTTTTAGGGAAGCTTGAAAAAGCTACTCACTTCATACCCAAATCCAGGCATGTGATAGTGAAACAAGAATGACTTTAAAAGTGCTTTTGTAAACTGTAAAGGTGTTATAACAAAAGTGGTTATTTTTTCTTTAGTTATTACTTTTTTTAGCATCATGATGATATGATTTTTCTTTCAGAGAAATTGAACTTTTCTTTTTTATTGATTTATTTTAATTATTATTATTATTTTTTAAAGACAGGGTCTCACTCTGTCACCCAGACCAGAGTGCAATGGCATGATCTTGGTTCACCACAAGCTCTCCCTTCCAGGCCCAAGCAGTTCTCCTGCCTCAGCCTCTCAGGTAGCTGGGATTACAGGCATGCACCACTACCGCCTGGCTAGTTTTTGTATTTTTTTTTTTTTTTTTTTTTTTTTAGTAAAGACGAGAGTTCACCATTTTGGCTAGGCAGGTCTCGAACTCCTGACCTTAAATGATCCACCCACCTCAGCCTCCCAAAGTGCTGGGATTACAGGCATGAGCCACCACACCTGGCCGAACTTTTCTAACAGTAGCATTTTAGGACTTTGTTTCATTTTAAAGAGGTACGGTAGTTCCTCCTTATTTGTGGAGAGTTGTATCATTCCATTTTCATGCTGCTGATACAGACATACCGGAGACTAGGTCATTTATAAAGAAAAAGAGGTTTAATGGACTCACAGTTCCACGTGGCTGGTGAGGCCTCACAATCATGGTGGAAGGCAGAAGGCACATCTTACATGGCAGCAGACATGAGAAAAATGAGAGCCAAGGGAAAAGGGAAACCCCTTATAAAACCATCATATCTCGTGAGACTTACTACCACAAGAACCGTATGGGGGAAACTGCTCTCATGATTTACTTATCTCCCACCAGGTCTCTCCCAAAACACATGGGAATTATGGGAGCTACAATTCAAGATGAGATTTGGATGGGGGAACTCAGCCAAACCATATCAAGAGTATAGTCCAACACCCCCAGTGGAGACCTGAAACCACAGATAGTACTGAACTCTGTATATACTGTGTTTTTTCCTATACTCATATACTTATGATAAAGTTTAATTGATAAATTAGGCACTGTACTCTTGTGCTTTGGGGCCATTACTTGAACACAAGCACTGCAATACTGCATACTGCCATAATGTATGATAGTGCATCTGATAATGGAGGTGGCTACCAAGTAACTGTTGGGCAGGTAGCATATACTGTGTGGATATGGTGTACAAAGGGACGATTCATGTCCTGGATGGGACAGAGTAAGATTTCATCATGCCACTTAGAACAGTGCACAATTTAAAACTTATGAATTGTTTATTTTTGGAATTTTCCATTTTAATATTTTCTAACCACAGTTAACCATGGGTAACTGAAATTATAGGAAGCAATACTGTGGATAAAGAGGGGGCTACTGTATGAGGATTGGAGGAATGGTGTCTTACTTCATGCTTTTGGCTTACAAATGATATGTATATAAGACCCTGTATGAAAGTACCTCTTGATACTTTTATATTTAGAAAAATGCCTACTGGTACATTTTGGTTGCATTATTTTGCCATTGTTATTTATAATTAAATGAAAATTTTAAAGATTTGAGTAATTTTTACTAGTTTTTTAGTGGTATTTTATGTGACTTTTCTATCATATGTTACCAATAGTAATGGTTTAGTAAAGTATGATATTTAGCACAAAAAAGTCATAATTATATTTGGTTTTTATTTTTGTTTTAGCTGGAAAGTGAAATTTCAACCACAGCAGATGACTGCAGTTCAGAGGTAAGACTAAATTATATTGATTTCTAATATCATAAATGTATATTTATATTATTATTGAAATCATTGATTGTTGCTACTTGATTTCTTGTCACTCATGCTTCTATTTTATTTTTATAAATATAATGTTAAGTGACTAGAACCTGAGGATTATGTATTACTGACTTTTTTTTTTTTTTTTTTTTTTTCAGATTATTAGCTAAGGTCTTAAGTCTGGTTAAATAGCTTGGTCTCTGTTTTAGTTTCTGGAAAGTATTTGATATTGGGTTTCTTAGACATGTGACTGTTACAAGGCATCCATATTTAGCACAGTAAAAATATCAAAAATTTTTTGAGACTTTGAATAGGATATTTCATTTTGAGTAATGCTTTTTTATAAATGCTTGAATTCTAGTTAATCATATGAACTTGTTTATTGAAATTAATGTTTCAATAGTAGTTTTTACTTTAGGTGATAAAGGTATTGTCCACTTTAGGAAATACCCTCTTTGTGTGTTGGTAAAAGTATATGTCATTTTGTTATCTTTTTCTTATTCTTTTAGATGTGATTGTCATTTCTTTACTCCAGAATTTGAGGAGACTATAAACTATTCTGTACTCTGAATGGTTTAGCAACTCAGTGTATTCAGTAAGTCTCAATTTATTGTAGGTTTCTAATAGGAAAAAAAAACTCCATGTTCTTAAATGAACGTATTACTGTTTTAGATTGCTAATAGCAATAAAAACTGCTACTTTAGAAGTTAATGTGCTTAAAAGTTGGAATATACTTACTAGTAATCTGGCCAGGAAAATAATTAGCCAACATTAAATAAACACATTGGTGCCTGATTTAGGCTAAAGTTGCCTCTATGGGAAGTATCTTGATTTAAAATCACTGCTTAAAATTCAGAGTCTGCTTTTGTGACATTAAATTTGGGGCGCATACAGTTGGCCCTCCATATCCCTGGGTTCTGCATTTGAGGGTATGACCAACCACAGATAGAAAATATTCTGAAAAAATAAAAAATAACAGTACAACAATAGAAAATATATAACATTTAAAAATATAGTATAACAACTAAGTATATAGTAATCTTAGAGATGATTTAAAGTATATGGGCAGATGTCCACAGGTTGTATACAAATACTATGCCATTAAGGGTCTTAGGCATCCGTGATTTTAGTATCCTTAGGGGAGTTCCTAAAGCTAATTCACTTGAAGACACCAAGGGATTATTGCATTTGAAAACTTTTTTTTTCTTTATAATGCTCTAATTTTTATATCTTGTATTTCTTTTTTTTTTTTTTTTTTTTCACCAAGATGGAGTCTCACTCTGTTGCCCAGACTGGAGTGCAGTGGTGCAGTGTTGGCTCACTGAAACCTCTGCCTCCTGGATCTAAGCAATTCTCTGCCTCAGCTTCCCAAGCTGGGACTACAGGCATGTGCCACCACACCCGGCTAATTTTTGTATTTTTAGTAGAGACGGGGTTTCACCATCTTGGCCAGGCTGGTCTTGAACTCCTGACCTCATGATCTACCCACCTCTGCCTCCCGAAGTGCTGGGATTACAGGTGTAAGCCACCGCACCTGGCTATAGCTTGTATTTCTTGACTGAAAGTCATAAATGCTTTGGTGCTTAAACTGCCTGTATCTCTGGGGGCACCCCAGAGTTCCACGAAGTGCATTTTTCTCTTTACACTAAAGTGAATATTTTTTAATATGCTAGTGGCTGTAGGTCAGACCCTCCCATATATGCCCATGAAATTTGGTTACAATTTGTATAGCTGTTTTCTCACATTGAGATAATAGAGCAAATTTTAATTTAATTTTTTTGTCATTCTAAGTATTTTACGTACGTATGTATGTATGTATGTATGTATGTATGTATGTATGTATGATACTTTAAGTTCTAGGGTACCTGTGCACAATGTGCAGGTTTGTTACATAGGTATACATGTTCCATGCTGGTTTGCTGCACCCATCAACTCGTCATTTACATTAGGTATATCTCCTAATGCTATCCCTCCCCCAGCGCCCCACCCCTCGACAGGCCCCCATGTGTGATGTTCCCTGCCCTGTGTCCAAGTGTTCTCAATGTTCAATTCCCACCTATGAGTGAGAACTTGCAGTGTTTGGTTTTCTGTCATTGTGATAGTTTGCTCAGAATGATGGTTTCCAGCTTCATCCATGTCCCTGCAGAGGACATGAACTCATCCTTTTTTATGGCTGCATAGTATTCCATGATATGTATGTGCCACATTTTCTTTATCCAGTCTATCATTGATGGACATTTGGGTTGGTTCCAAGTCTTTGCTGTTGTGAATAGTGCCACGATAAACATACGTGTGCATATGTCTTTATAGTAGCATGATTTATAATACTTTGGGTATATACCCAGTAATGGGATCGCTGGGTCAGATGGTATTTCTAGTTCTAGATCCTTGAGGAATTGTCACACTGTCTTCCACAATGGTTGAACTAATTTACACTCCCAACAGTGTAAAAGCATTCCTATTTCTCCACATCCTCTCCAGCATCTGTTGTCTCCTGACTTTTTAATGATTGCCATTCTAACTGGTATGAGATGGTATCTCATTGTGGTTTTGATTTGCATTTCTCTGATGACCAGTGTTGATCATTTTTTCATGTGTCTGTTGGCTTCATAAATGTCTGCTTTTGAGAAGTGTCTGTTCATATCCTTTGCCTGTTTTTTGATGGGGTTGTTTGCTTTTTTTTTCTTTCTTTTATTATTATTATTATACTTTAAGTTCTAGGGTACATGTGCACAACATGCAGGTTTGCTACGTAGGTATACATGTGCCATGTTGGTTTGCTGCACCCATTAACTCGTCATTTCATTTGGTATACCTCCTAATGCTATCCCTCCTCCTGCCCGCCACCCCACGACAGGCCCCCATGTGTGATGTTCCCTGCCCTGTGTCCAAGTGTTCTCACTGTTCAGTTCCCACCTATGAGTGAGAACATGTGGTGTTTGGTTTTCTATCCTTGTGATAGTTTGCTCAGAATGATGGTTTCCAGCTTCATCCATGTCCCTGCAAAGGACATGAACTCATCCTTTTCTATGGCTGCATAGTATTCCATGGTGTATATGTGCCACATTTTGTTAATCCAGTCTATCATTGATGGACATTTGGGTTGGTTCCAAGTTTTTGCTATTGTGAATAGTGCCGCAATAAACATAGGTGTGCATGTGTCTTTATAGTAGCATGATTTATAATCCTTTGGGTATATACCCAGTAATGGGATCACTGGGTCAAATGGTATTTCTAGTTCTAGATCCTTGAGGAATTGCTTCTAAAATATCTACTAAAAATAACAAAAATTATCTGAACATGGTGGCGCAAGTATTTTTGTATTTTTGTTAGAGATAGGGTTTCACCAACTGTCTTCCACAATGGTTGAACTAGTTTACACTCCCACAAACAGTGTAAAACCGTTCTTATTTCTCCACATCCTCTCCAGCATCTGTTGTTTCCTGACTTTTAAATGATCGCCATTCTAACTTTTGTGAGATAGTATCTCATTGTGGTTTTCATTTGCATTTCTCTGATGACCAGTGATGATGAGCATTTTTTCATGTGTCTGTTGGCTGCATGAATGTCTTCTTTTGAGAAGTGTCTGTTCATATCATTTGCTCACTTTTTGTTGGGGTTTTTTTCTTGTAAATTTGTTTAAGTTCTTTATAGATTCTGGATATTAGCCCTTTGTCAGATAAGTAGATTGCAAAAATTTTCTCCCATTCTGTAGGTTGCCTTTTCACTCTGATGGTAGTTTCTTTTGCTGTGCAGAAGCTCTTTAGTTTAATTACATCCCATTTGTCTATTTTGGCTTTTGTTGCTATTGCTTTTGGTGTTTTAGTCATGAAGTCCTTGCCCATGCCTGACCTAAAGGTTATTGCCTAGGTTTTCTTCTAGGGTTTTTATGGTTTTATGTCTAACATTTAAGTCTTCAATCCATCTTGAATTAATTTTTGTATAAGGTGTAAGGAAGGAGTCCAGTTTCAGTTTTCTGCATATGGCTAGCCAGTTTTCCCAGCGCCATGTATTAAATAGGGAATCCTTTCGCCATTTCTTGTTTTTGTCAGGTTTGTCAAAGATCAAATGGTTGGAGATGTGTAGTGTTATTTCTGAGGCCTGTGTTCTGTTCCATTGGTCTATATCTCTGTTTTGGTACCAGTATCATGCTGTTTTGGTTACTGTAGCCTTGTTGTATAGTTTGAAGTCAGGTAGTGTGATGCCCCCAGCTTTGTTCCTTTTGCTTAGGATTGTCTTGGCAATGTGGGCTCTTTTTTGGTTCCATATGAACTTTAAAGTCGTTTTTTTCCAGTTCTGTGAAGAAAGTCATTGATAGCTTGATGGGGATGGCATTCGATCTATAAATTACCTTGGGCAGTGTGGCCATTTTCACAATATTGATTATTCCTATCCATGAGCATGGAATGCTTTTCCATTTGTTTGTGTCCTTTTTTATTTCGTTGAGCAGTGGTTTGTAGTTCTCCTTGAAGAGGTCCTTCACATCCCTTGTAAGTTGGATTCCTAGGTATTTTATTCTCTTTGTAGGAATTGTGAATGGGAATTCACTCATAATTTGGCTCTCTGTTTGTCTGTTAATGGTGTATAGGAATGCTTGTGATTTTTGCACATTGATTTTGTATCCTGAGACTTTGCTTAAGGAGATTTTGGGCTGAGACAATGGGTTTTCTAAATATACAATCATGTCATCTGCAAACAGGGACGATTTGACTTCCTCTTTTCCTAATTGAATACCCTTTATTTCTTTCTCTTGTCTGATTGCCCTGGCCAGAACTTCCAAGACTATGTTGAATAGGAGTGGTGACAGAGGGCATCCTTGTCTTGTGTCAGTTTTCAAAGGGAATGCTTCCAGTTTTTGCCCATTCAGTATGATATTGGCTGTGGGTTTGTCATAAATAGCTCTTATTATTTTGAGATACCTCCCATCAATACCTAGTTTATTGAGAGTTTTTAGCATGAAAGGCTGTGGAATTTTGTTAAAGGCCTTTTCTGCATCTATTGAGATAATCATGTGGTTTTTGTCTTTGGTTCTGTTTATGTGATGGATTATGTTTATTGATTTGTGTGTTTTGAACCAGCCTTGCAGCCTAGTGATGAAGCTGACTTGATCACGGTGGATAAGCTTTTTGATGTGCTGCTGTATTTGGTTTGCCAGTATTTTATTGAGGATTTTTGCATTCATGTTAATCAGGGATATTGGTCTAAAATTCTTTTTTGTTGTGTCTCTGCCAGGCTTTGGTATCAGGATGATGCTGGCCTCATTTAAGTTAGGGAGGATTCCCCCACCCCCTTTCTTTTTTCTGTGGCGGAGTCTCACTCTTTCGCCCAGGCTGGAGTGCAGTGGCATGATCTCAGCTCACTGCAACCCTCGCCTGCCGGGTTCACACAATTCTCCTACCTCAGCCTGCTGAGTACCTGGGACTACAGGCGCGTGCCACCATATCTGGCTAATTTTTCGTATTTTTATTAGAGATGGGGTTTCACCATACTGTTCAAGCTGGTCTCGAACTCCTGACCTCTTGATCTCCCCACCTCGGCCTCCTAAAGTACTGGGATTACAGGCATGAGCCACCTCGCCCAGCCAATTCCCCCTTTTTCTATTTATTGGAATAGTTTCAGGAGGAATGATACCAGCTCCTCTTTGTACCTCTGGTAGAATTTGGCTTTGAATCTGTCTGGTC
The DNA here is from genome assembly GCF_000001405.40 of Homo sapiens. Classification (NCBI taxonomy): domain Eukaryota; kingdom Metazoa; phylum Chordata; class Mammalia; order Primates; family Hominidae; genus Homo; species Homo sapiens. Next base: position 91,986,045 of record NC_000007.14, read on the forward strand.
CTGGACTTTTTTTGGTTGGTGGTCTATTAATTATTGCCTCAATTTCAGAGCCTGTTATTGGTCTATTCCGAGATTCTACCTGGTTTAGTCTTGGGAGGGTGTATGTGTCCAGGAATTCATCCATTTCCTCTAGATGAAAGAAATGGGACCTGCTGAGCCAGGCACGGGAGAGAATCTCCTGGTCTGCCAGTTTCTGAGACCATTGGAAAAGCGCAGTATTGGGCGGGAGTGTCCCGTTTTTCCAGGTACAGTCTGTCACAGCTTCTCTTGGCTAGGAAAGGGAAATCCTCCAACCCCTTACTCTTCCTGGGTGAGGCGATGCCCTGCCCTGCTTCGGCTCACCCTCCATGGGCTGCACCCACTGTCCGACCAGTCCCAGTGAGATGAACCAGGTACCTCAGTTGGAAATGCAGAAATCACCCGTCTTCTGTGTCGCTCACGCTGGGAGCTGCAGACCGGAGCTGTTCCTATTTGGCCTTCTTGGAACGGATCCTCACAAATTTTAATTTTAAATATTGATTTGAAAAGCTAAAGAGGTCAAAAGATGGTGATTTTCAGGTTTTCTGTAGGAAAATGTTAATTAATAGTATGGGAAATTCTTGTTATAATAAGACAGTCTTCAGCTAAATTTTTTAAATTAAAAAACTGGTGGAGATTATCAGGTTCCAAAAAATGTATTGAACCTATTTATCTGAGATGCCTAGTAAATATATGTTTTAAGGTAAGGTACAAATAGTATTTAAGTGTAAGTACTACCGATAAAACTTAGAACAGTATTTATCATACTTGTTGACCATAGCTCATGGTGAGAAATATATTTTACATACGTTTGTAATTTCATATATATACATATATAGTTACATATATTTATAGTTATATACATGAATAATTATATATGAATAAATATATACATATGCATACTTTTTTCCAAACAAGTTTTTGGAAAGATACTTATTCTTACAGTATGACATATCTTGTGATGATACAGTTTCTTGTTAATGTTGGTCAAAAAAACTAAATTGATGAGCTATCTTACCGTGTGGAATAAACAGTGATTTAGAAGATTACATTGAAAAAAGATAATTATGAGCCAGGCACGGTGGCTCATTCATGCCTGTAATCCCACACTTTGGGAGGCCAAAGTGGGCGGATCACCTGAGGTTAGGAGTTGGAGACCAGTTTGACCAACATGCTGAAACCCCATGTCTACTAAAAATAACAAAAATTACCTGAACATGGTGGCGTATGCCTGTAATCCCAGCTACTTGGGAGGCTGAGGCAGGAAAATTGTTTGAATCTGGGAGGTGGAGGTTACAGTGAGCCGAGATAGTGCCATTGCACTCCAGCCTGGGCAACAAGGGTGAAATTCTATCTCGAAAAAAAAAAAGAAGAAAAAAGATAATTATGAAATAATTTTTGACAGATTTGACCTGGTTTGAATTATAACCCTAGTAATATTTTGTGTGTTATGTATGGATTCACAACGGATTATACTTTGAGAAATTTATAGATTCACTATGTCTAGAGAAAACGTAGAAGTAAAGTTGATATTTGGTGAAATGTTTGATATGTGTCATCAAAATTGCTAAGATGGATACTAGTTGGATCTGTGATGCTCTAGGCTAGTTTTGAGGCTTGAATTCCTCCATTTAATGATATTAGACTGGCTTGACTCAACTAGAATTACAGGAGACTTCTAAGCCATATCCACCTATTCAGGAGGCAGAAAAATCATCAGTGGACCAAATTTATAACCCGAGAAATAAACTCATACTGTAATAGTTTTTATATTGGAACTTTTATGGAATTATCTCTCAATAACACACCTAAAAAATGAGATTTATTGGCCGGGCATAGTAGCTCACACCTGTAATCTCTGCACTTTGGGAGGCCAAGGTGGGAAGATCACTGGAGCTCAGGAGTTCGAGACCAGCCTTGGCTACATAGGGAGACATCATCTCTACAAATTAAAATAATAAAATAAAATTAGCAAGGCATAGTGGCGGGCACATGTAGTCCCAGCTACTTGGGAGGCTGAGGTTACATTTTTCAATGTAATCTTCTAAGTCACTGTTTATTCCACACGGTAAGATAGCTCATCAATTTAGTTTTTTTGACCAACATTAACAAGAAACAGTATCATCACAAGATATGTCATACTGTAAGAATAAGTATCTTTCCAAAAACTTGAGCCCAGGAGTATGATCACACCACTGGCACTCCAGCCTTGGTGACAGAGCAAGACCCCCTCTCAAAAAAAAAAAAAAAAAAAAAAAAAAAAGCTAGGTGATAGTGTGTGCCTGTACTTCCAGCTGCTCAAGAGGCTGAAGTAGGAGGATCCCATGCACCCAGGAGTTTGAGTTTGCAATGACCTAATGATCACACCACTGCACTCCAGCCTGTGTGACAGAGTGAGACCTTGTCTCAAAAAGAGAAAGAGAGAGAGAGATTTCTGGGCAGTATGTAACATTATAACTTCACTGCAATGCCATATTTGCAAAGTTTAATAATCTTGGCAGATCTAGATTGTATTTGAGTATTCTAAAATTTTGAAATCAAGTAGTTTTAATCATAGATCACATAATTATCTTGTATTTTACCTAAATATGACTATCATTTTTCTGGTAAATAGGGCAATAAGATGTAAGAAAAGAGCAGGGGGACTTTGGAGCCAGAAAGTCCTGTTTACATACTTCATCACCTTTGAACTGTATGAACCTGGGCACATCACTTAAACTCTGAAATACAGTTTGTTTTTTTATTATTATTATACTTTAAGTTCTAGGGTACATGTGCACAACATTCAGGTTTGTTACATAGGTACACATGTGCCATGTTGGTTTGTTGCATCCATCAACTAGTCATTTACATTAGGTGAAATACAGTTATTTAAACTATAAAATGGGGGACGATGATATCTACCTGATATATTTGCATACCTCACAAAGTAGTTCACAAAATAAGCTTGAGAATGTTTAATATGTGTTTGGCATACATTAGACGTTCAGCAAAGTGTGGTTTTTTAAATTGCTCATCACTAGAAATACACTTTTCTTTACACTACATTTATATGAAATGAGTGATGATGATTCCCTTAATAAATTGTTCTCAGAAGGATTTCAGGTTCTGATAATATTTGATTAGAACTTAATTTGTAAATTGTATTTATTTAGGTATATTGTGGGTTTAATGTTCTTGACTTCTGTGACTAGTACACTCATTGGGTTGGAAAATTGGTTCCATCTTAGAATTAGTCAAATAATATTATTCCAAGATCTCTTTTGTAGAAATATGTATCCTATTATGTACACTAGAGAAATCGGACTAAATGAAAAATACTCTTCTTACAAATTAAATTATATGCAGTCATCTTCAATCATTAATGAAGGGACGTTTCATGTCCAGAATACCATATTTACATGAATTGTTTTTGATACCCTTTGAGCAGGGTTATTTGGAGGAAGTTGGGAATACAGGCAATATAGAGTCAAGACAAGTAGATAAATATACTTTGCCATGTATAGAAAGATGAAATGATAGTAATAGGGTATTCACTCTTATTATAGATTTCATCTGATTATTGAATACTTTTTAACCAAGTGCTTATATGGTTTATGACATTTATTTTAACCTCGTTAATTACTTGACTGCAACTCCATAAGTCATTTAGGCACATTGAACTCTTATAATTTTCATGAACTTTTATGAGCCATCAGATTTTTATTTTTTATGAAAATATTCAATATTAATGTTTTTAATTTATATATTTCCAAATTAAGTACAAGAATAAGGTATTAATCATAAATAAGGATGAGTTGTTCTTTTATATTTCATCAACCTAATGTTCACCACAAGGATGAGTTTTTATGTGAAGGCCATTTTATAGTCACATAGTGAAAGTTACCTTTCCTCTGATTCTTTCTGAATAGCAATGTTGTTATGATGTGATACCTCTATAAAACATTTTAAAATTTAAAATGTACCTCACTTGTACTTTCCCAGATCTTTAAGTTATCTGTACAGATAGAGTAAATTTTTCTGTGAATGCAGAAAGAATACATTAACATAGTCTGTAGGTTAAATAACTTCAACAAATGCCACAATAAAAAAGGACATTGAGAGAAGTTGAGCTTTTTTCAGTTGAAGGAGTCTGTTAATCTAATCTTCATGTTTCAAGTCATTTATTTACTTTCATATGAAGGTTTACTTAGTGTTAGAAGACTAATGTTAGAAGAGGAGATAAATACTCTACCCTTTAGTTATCAATAAAATAATTATCTAAATTTAAAAACAGAATAATTTATTGTTAACTATTAATGATCCTGATATTCTGTTAAGTGTTCCTGTTCTAACTTTGGAATATAGTGTGTTTTAGTTTAGTTCTGGTGAATAATCTTTTATAGCCAATTTGTATGATGTTAAACTTTTCAGATTTATTAATATTGATAAGTTTTACATTTATTATAACATAAATATGTTTTGAAACAGTCATGTATTAATGGTATTTTAAGAATTCAATACATATGAGTTCAAGTATAACATTTGCTTATCTGAATTAGAGAAAAATTAAACAGCAGTGGCTAAATAAAGTACTAGATGAAACTATAAACATAATTATTATAAAATGGTAACTGATAACTGATTCATGTAATACTGACAGTTATTACAAACTGATAACTGATAACTGATTCATGTAATACTGACATAATCACTCCTTAAAGGAATATTCATTGCTTTGTATCATATTTGAAGAAGCAGTAGTCCCCCATCCCTGTTTTTACTTTCTGTAGTCAACCATTATCTGAAAATATTAAATGGAAAATTCCAGAAATAAACAATTCATAAGTTTTAAATTGTGCCTTGTTCTGGTAGCATGGTGAAATCTTGCTCCATCCCATTCATCCCACCCAAGATGTGGATCATCCCTTTGAACATACAGTGGATCTACACCATATACTCTGTCCATCTCATGTTCATTTAGTAGCTGTCTACCTTATCAGATCAAAAAACCATAGTGTATATAGGGTTCAATACTATTTATGATTTCAGGCATCTACTGGGAGTCTTGGAACATATCCCCTGTGGATTAAGGAAGACTACTGTATTCATAAACATCCATTTCGTTACACTGATAGGCTACAGTAAAATATTTTAGAGGACACATCAGAATGCTTCATTTCAGGATCAAGAAAAGCTAATTGCAATTTAGAAGTATTTAATTTGAAAGTTATTGCAAATGTCTTGATATTAATCTTTTAATTAAAAAAATTTTTTAGAGACATGGTTCTCAGTATGTTGCCCACAGTGGAGTGTGGTGGCAATTAATAGGTGTGCCAGTTGTGCACTATATCCTCAAACTCCTGGGCTCAAGCAGTCCTCCTGCCTCAGCCTCCCTTGTAGCTGGAAACCAGCCAAATGGGAAGAACTCTTTTTTTTTTTTTTTTTGAGACAGAGTCTTGCTCTGTCGCCCAGGCTGTAGTGCAGTGGCTCGATCTCAGCTCACTGCAAGTTCCGCCTCCTGGGTTCACGCCATTCTCCTGCCTCAGCCTCCCAAGTAGCTGGGACTACAGGCACCCGCCACCACACCCGGCTAATTTTTTGTATTTTTAGTAGAGACGGGGTTTCACCGTGTTAGCCAGGATGGTCTCGATCTCCTGAGCTCATGATCTGCCCGCCTCAGCCTCCCAAAGTGCTGGGATTACAGGCGTGAGCCACCACACCCGACCTAAATTGTTTTACTTGAAAATGAATAGGGCTTAATAAATAATTATTTGAACCATTTTAAGGAAGCCTTTCATAGAAGAGATTTTATTGAGGTTTATACTTCTGAAGAGCAAACAGAAACTGCACTTAGAACTTTAATTCACTTAAGTGAAAATGTATATATGTGTCTTTTGCATTGTAAGCACTCAGATTTGTGAGGAATGATTGGCATTTGAAATGGTCATTATGTCTCTTAGATATTTTAAATTAATCTCTGTATCTGTTTTCGCCAATGATGCATTTTCCCTAGGAATAAAAGACATACACGTGAATACAGTTAACAGAAATATTGTTAGCTAAATAAAATTATGTCTAAGATCATAATATATCAGGAAATTGTTTTTATACAGGTAAATGGTTGCAGTTTTGTGATGAGAACAGGAAAGCCTACAAATTTATTAAGGGTACAGTATTTAAAACTACTTGTGATACTAATGTTGGATACTATTTAAAATCATCTGGCTTACTAACAAAACTTTTTCCTGCATGTACTTCTTTCTGTGTGTGATTTCAAATTAATTTTAATGTTTACTAAAACAAAGTTATCTACCATTTATTATAAAACTCAATTGTAGGCCAGGCGTGGTGGCTTACGTCTGTAATCCCAGCACTTTGGGAGGCCGAGGCAGGTGGATCACCTGAGATAAGGAGTTCGAGACCAGCCTGACCAACAAGGTGAAACCGCATCTCTACTATAAGTACAAAAATTAGCCGGGCATGGTGGCAGCCGCCTGTAGTCCCAGCTACTTGGGAGGCTGAGACAAGAGAATTGCTTGAACCCGGGAGGCGGAGGTTGCAGTGAGCTGAGATTGCGCCACTGCACTCCAACCTGGGTGACAGAGCAAGACTCTGTCAAAAAAAAAAAAAAAAAAAAAAAACTCAATTGTAACAGAATTTGCGGATAACCTGTTTATGTTCTTGAGGTAAATATGTTAACGAAGTAGGTTGCCATACCATAATCTTCCAGGTGGTGAGTGATGTTTTAAAGTGGACCTTGCTATGGATTTCAGTATTTGAATCTCTCTCCCTAAGGAATATTGCTAATACTGAATTCTTTAAAATCTTGGATTGATTTAGGAAGAAGAATTTGGTGTTGATGATTCTTATTCTGAACAAGGAGCACAAGACAGTCCGACTCATCTAGAGATGATGGAAAGTGAGTTGGCTGGGAAGCAGCATGAGATTGAAGAGCTAAACAGAGAGCTGGAAGAAATGAGGGTTACCTATGGGACTGAAGGACTGCAGCAGGTATGTTTATTTTCTGTGGCTTTTGATTTGCTACTCACAAAAACAAAAACAGGAAATGTGAATAATAGTAGTCTTTAAAGATGGGGTTTTTAAAATTTTTTTTTAACTTTTTTCTTTTCTTTTCTTCTTCTTCTTCTTCTTTTTTTTTTTCCATACAGGGTCTTGCTCTGTTGCCCAGGCTGGAGTGTAGTGGTGCAATCTCGGCCCACTGCATCCTCTGCTTCCTGGGCTCAAGCGATCCTCCCACCTCAGCCTTGTGAGTAACTGGGACTACAGGCATGCACTACCACACCCAGCTAATTTTTTGTAGAGACAGGGTGTCACCTCAGATTCCTGGACTCTCCTTGGCCTCCCAAAGTGCTAGGATTACAGGCGTGAGCTACTGTGCCTGGCCTAAAGAAGGGGGTTTTAAAATGGTAACTTAGTGGGACACAGTGGCATGCACCTGTAGTTCTAGTTATTCAGGAGGCTGAGGTGGGAGGATCACTTGAGCCCACGAGTTCAAGTCCAGCCTGGGCAACATTGGGAGTCCCTGTCTCTTAAAAAATCAAACAGAAAAGTAAATGATAATATCACTCATAATTTTTGTCTTTATACATTGCATAAACAACCCTGTTTAAAAGTAGGATTTCATTAACAGGGTTAATATAACACAGACTCTTTTTTAACTTTATGATAGCTAGCCTGAAATCACTTTAATAAGACAGATGTTTTTGTAATCAGCCTGAGAGAAAATTATGGTGCAAACCACATCAAAATATTATAACTTAAGTCCATTAAGAATGTCAGCAAGTTGGGCATGGTGGCTTATGCCTGTAATCCCAGCACTTCAAGAGGCTGAGGCAAGAGGATAGCTTGAGTCTGGTAGTTTGAGACTGGCAGGGTGAAAATAGCAAGACCCCGCTTCTACAAAACATTTAAAAATTAGCCAGGCATAGTGGTGTGTGCCTGTAGTCCTAGTTACTTGGGAGGCTGAGACAGGAAGATCACTGCAGCCCAGGAGATTGAGGCTGTAGTGAGCCAAAATCACACCGCTGCACTCTAGCCTGTACAACAGAGCGAGACCCTGTCTCAAAAAAAGAACAGAAAAACGATGTCAGTGGGTCCTTGTAAGTAACCTCTTGTGGTTAGACTAACATCTGTGGTTAGACTGCCATAACTGTCTATGGCAGTCAGTTATGAAAACAAGATGAAGTAGGACATTGATGAGGATGACAAAAATACATATCAGTTTCATCCTCTTCAGAAACAAGTTGGAATTAAACATGTCTAGGGTGGTGTTGCCTGGGAACAGATTAGGGGCACCCCTAAATATAAAGGCACTTGTCCTTCTATAAGTAAATATATGGATAAGCCAGATCAATTTTTTCCTTAGTTCAGATAAATTTTTTGAAGTTGATTTGGAAGCACCAATTTCTGTAAGTTAATAGTTTTCAAATGTGGAAAATACTGATTACAAAGTGTAAGAATTATGCCAATGTGTTTTGAATTCTTATTTTGAAAAAGTTACCTGTAATAATAGTCAATTAAAAAAAATAAATCTAGCACTTACTATTTTCTTTCAGTTACAAGAATTTGAAGCTGCCATTAAACAAAGAGATGGCATTATAACCCAGCTCACTGCTAATTTACAACAAGCAAGAAGAGAAAAGGATGAGACAATGAGAGAATTTTTAGAGTTGACAGAACAGAGTCAAAAATTACAGATTCAATTTCAGCAAGTAAGTATTACTAATGCAACAAAATTCATTATTTTTTTAGTAATGAATTTTAAAAATTCACTTTCAAGAACAAATCTAAATTTGTTAAAAAAGCCATTTCGTATTATATCATGTATGAAAAATTAGTGAATATGTGTTGCTATATTAACCAGGAATTTAATTCATACTTCTTAAATGGTTCTCTACTAATATTTTCTTTTCATTTCCTCCCTGTCTCTATTTTGAAATCTTACAAATTGTGTAAGGTTGATTGAGGGTATTTCTGCAGAAATTAACCTGTAGTCACATCCTACCTTTGCCAATTCTGGTATGGTTTATTTTAGTTAGGTTCTAAATGATAACAAAACTAAATATATTCCATTTTCCTTTAATTAGAGCCACAGGAATCTAACTGCATTAATCAGAATTTCTGATGGCAAGTAGCAAAACAATTTGAAATAGTTTAAGCAAAAGGGAGGTACTTAGTGTAAGGATTCAGGCTGTTTCCAGAACCCAAGGGCAGAAATACAACCAGGCCTCTGAAAGGGATTGGAACTACAAACTGGAAAGCCATAGGGAATTCGGGAAGTACTGTCTTTGATGCCCCACTTTTCTTCGTATATCTGCCTCAGTCTCAGGAGACCTAGGTTCTCTGCTGTATCATGGAAAAGATAAGTTTATTGGCTCGGCTTGGGTATACCTATCTAGTCAGCCAAGGTAGCATGTTTGCTAGGGTCTCAAGCCTGCAGAGTTCCCAGAGAGCTATTGCAGGGACACCCCAAAGGTGTCTGTTCCCTAATACAGTCACTTCAGAATTTAACGTTTTGAGGTTTCTTTCTATTTTCAGTTACAGGCTAGTGAAACTCTGAGAAACAGCACTCATAGTAGCACAGCTGCAGACTTACTACAAGCCAAACAACAGATCCTCACTCATCAACAGCAGCTTGAAGAACAAGACCACTTATTAGAAGATTATCAGAAAAAGAAAGAAGACTTCACAATGCAAATTAGTTTCTTGCAAGAGAAAATTAAAGTATATGAAATGGTATGTTTATTTTAAGGAAGTCAGCTAACTTGTAGAAGCTTTAGAGTTTCAAGTTTTTTATGCAAGTGGTTTTTTTTTGTTAGGCACATGAATCACAAAATTTCATAATTAAGCTCTTTGTGTAATTTATTTCAAAAGCAAATGGGAATCTCAGTAATGTAGTTTTTAAGATAATAGTCATTACTGAGTTCCCTAAAAGTGATCAGCCTATGTTAAACTGAATTAGCAGGAAAATACAAATTTATAGCTATAGTTTTTTTTGTCATTTATAATTATTTCCACTTATTTTAGCCATGGTTGTGAAATTCAGAAAATATTTTCACAACAGAGAGAAATTTTATGGATTTTAATGAGAAAAAAATTGAATGTAGTCAGTTATCTTTATTTACATAAGTTATGTTCCATAAACTTAAGTGTTTCTGGGAACACTTATTTAGCAAATAAGTTCTCTGGTGGGGGATTGTTGGGAGGAATATGTGTCCGTGTATGGGTGCGTATATTTTACATATATGTGTATCACATTGATTATAATCTTAAATCATAAAACTACTCATCCTGGAAGATTCTTTTTCTTTATTTTTTAAAAGGGAAATCAAGGTTCAGAAGTGACTTGCCTGAGGCCACCCCACTAACAGGTGTCAGACTGGGATTCAGATCCTGTCAGTTGCCCCAGAGCTGGAGCTTCCTGTACTACACTGCACTACCTCGGGTCCTCTCCATCCCTCTGGTCCTCTCTATAAGGGATGAACAAGGCAGTGTGGTCACCTTGTTTGACCTCAGCTAGAAGTGTATGTCCAGCAACTCAAATTTTTTGTCGCTCTGTGCACACCTACAAATGACTAAAAGCACCATGAGCATTGATTTGGGGGTTACAAATAAATTTTAGCAAGAACTCACAAATATGGAATCTACAAAGAATGAGGATGGATTGTACATGCAATATAATACTTTTTATAAACTTAGGAGGTTCTTCTGCAAGAGGTTGAGAAATTACCAAGACAAGAATATTGCTTGGATGATAATAATAATAGTAGTAGTAATTAGCATTTATTAAGTGCTTACTGTGTAACAGGCAGTATTCAAAGCATCTTATATTAACTCATTGAATCATCACCATAGGCCTGTGCAATAGAAGTACAATTATCACTCCTATTTTCTAAGTGAGGACACCAACACAAAGCAAGATGAGGTAAATTGCTCAGGTATACACAGGTAGTAAGTTGATAGAGCCAGATTTCAAATCTAAGTTGTCTGACTCCAGAGACTGCTTTTAAATAATAGGGAATGTACAAATTGAAGACAATGAAATTATGAAAAATACATGCTTTACCACTAAGGTAATTTAAAAATTATTAGGTAAATATTTACAGAACACCTATTTTTGTAGCAGGCCCTTGCAAGAAATACAGTGAGGCTTAAAATGTGCCCTTTTCTTCACTGGAACTCAGATGAGTAGGAGAGCTGTGGCATGTACAAAGGACACCACAAAACAGGGATAAGTGTGGGCAAAAAGTGCTTTGAAAGTTCTGAATAGGTCTGGCTTCATAAGAGAAGAGATTCAGGGTAAGCTTTAGTGGAAGAGTTTCCATTTGAGGTAAGTTTATAAATTGGGACAACTTTTTAATTGTATTTTGTTTCCCCAACAATTGGCCTAATGCCTGGAACATAGTAGCTACTCAATACTCACTTTGTAAACAAGTGGGTAAATTAAGGATCTCAACTGATAGAAATGGGGAGGACTTTTTAGATAGAGTGTGGAGTAGGCATAAAGACTCAGGATGAAACATGTTAAAAATCAGTAAGGAGCAAAAAATGGTGTAACTTGTCTAGAAACAGTAATCTTTGAAAGTTAATCTTTCCAGGAGGTAAGAGTGGGAGGATAATCTAGGACTAGGTGAGAAGAGCCTGGAGATTGGATTGTATTATATTTACTCTGTGGGCAGTGTAAATTGAGATTATTTAAAATTCAAGTAATTCATTTTGTAGGGGGAATAACCTTTGTTATTTGAATATAACAAGAATACTTTTATCAATCTGTTTTTCACTATATACATTTTTTTAAATTTTTATTCTTAAGAAAATGAATCCCCCCAAGTAATAATTCTATCGGCAGCTGAGATATTAGGGTCAGCTAAGGCATTGGGGTCACAAATGAAATGGTCTTGGTTCCCTAGACCAGTGGTCCCCAACCTTTTTGGCACCAGGGCCAGTTTCGTGGAAGACACTTTTTCCACAGACATGAGGGAGGAATGGTTTTGGGATGACATCAGGCATTAGTTAGATTCACATAAGGAGCTTGCAGCCTAGATCCTTCACATGCACAGTTCACAATAAGGTTCGAGCTCCTAGAAGAATCTAGTGCCGCAGCAGATCTCACAGAGATCTCGCTGGTAATGCTTGCTTACCTCCTGCTGTGTGGCCCCATCTCTAACAGGCCCCAACCGGTACCGGGTCTGCAACCTGGAGGTTGGGGACCCCTTCCCTACACAACTGTGTTGATGATCAAAAGCTCATTCTCATTGTCCTAATCCTCCAAACTTCCCATTGGTGCCGTAGCATAGTATTTCCCCCCATCTCAGGTGTATTTCCAAAAGATAGTGTATTCAACCACAGGGCTCTTTTTTTTTTTTTTTTTTTTTTTTTTTTTTTTTTTTTAGAATTCAGAGTAAGTGGTTTAAAACCATGTACTTTGAAATAAGTGATACTAAGAAAAATAAACCATAAATTTGTGTTGTTTAACGGTTGAAAGAAGAATTATTGTTGGTTGTTATTATATCAGGTGTTGGACAATTTTGAATTAAATGATTAAATGATACTGTTTTATGAAGGCCCCACTCCCCTATATAAATCAGGAAACAGAAAAGTTAAATTTTGTAACATTAACATTTTTCAAACTTAGTTACTTATTTAACAGTTTAACTGGAATTGACCACCATGAACTGATTTTACTTTCTCATAGATTCCAAATGTGTTACAGATTTCTTTCTAGTATGTAAATATATTACACTCGTATATATTAATAGTACAGTAAGAATAAAATGCTTTAATAGGTGATGTTTTATTTTAGCATATTCTGTGAGATAGAGGAAATAATAATATTTATATTGTATGGATGAAAACACTGGGATTAAAGGAGATTAAACTGATTTATTAATATCCTATTGTAGTGCAGAGTTTGAAGTAAGAAGGCTCAGGACTTGGTAATAACATGGTAATATTGGGTGGGATATGTGATACCAAGGCACAAGCTGATAGAATTTTGCCCAAGAGGCTGCATAGGATAACATTCATTGCCTTGGTTAATTTATATAGTACAGAATCTGGCCTTCGACTTGTAGGTTCAGAAGTCTGATTTTTTTTTCCCCTGTCAACTGAGACGAGCTACCTCAGAAGTGAACTCAGATTTTTCAAAGTTAACGAGGCTAATTTTTTTTGTTTGTTTTGAGACAGAGTCTCGCTCTGTCTCCCAGGCTGGAGTGCAATGGTGAGATCTCAGCTCACTGCAACCTCTGCCCTCTGGGTTCATGTGATTCTCCTGCCTCAGCCTCCTGAGTAGCTGGGATCACGGGCGCCCAGCCCCACGCCCAGCTAGTTTTTTTATTTTTAGTAGAGACAGGGTTTCACCATGAGGCTAATGTTTAAAGCTTGAATAAGATTATTAATTTACAATGAGAAATCATTATCACAGAGACCTAAATATTTCAAGTTCATTGGATTTTATATTATTTCCATGGGCAAATGAATTTTAAAAGCCACATAATAATTAGAAAGTTATTTAGTGACCATGAGATTAAAAGGTTTTAGAGGAATCAGATGTTCAGGGGCATTAGGCTGAGATAACCTGATCTATCTATCTCACAGTAGGAATGGTCATGCCTATAGATGGGAATTCTTAAATGCTGTTTGCTGCAACCCCTGACATTTCTTTCTACATTTGGTAATGTTTTTTCTAGAGCAACCAAAATTCTCAAAGGCTGTACTTGAATGGGCACTGCCAACATTTCCCTCTGAGGCTTTTCTTTTTCTCAGCCTTGACATTTCTTCTTTAGTTATGTTCATTCATTCATTCATTCATTCATTCAAGGCACCTTTAAGTCCTGTTTGCCTGGGACTCCTGTCTCTTTAAAATGATTTTACTTACCTACTTATGTCCTGATCCATTCTGTAGATTTCATGTATTTATTTGTTTTTGAGACTATAGCCCTCTATTACTTACAGAGGCAAGTAAGTTACTGAAGCAAAACTTTGACCTAGGGCCTCTGCTTGACTTTGTCATGCTGAAGTAATCACCATAACAGATATGCCTTGGCCTGTGTCTGGGCGTAGCCCTATCTCCATTCCAAAATAGAATCCCAAATAAGAACTGGGGGAGAGTATCTGCTTTGCTTTGAAAATTCTGTTTAAACCAAAAGTCCTAGGACCAAGTTGTTATGCCATAAATGGTATAGTTGTCTTAGATGTCACTTGAGGTTCAGCCTTTTAAGCATTGCATATCTCTAAATTTCTGACTGACTTAAGAGCCCAGGACTGAAGTTAAGACAGACCGTTAGGAGTCTGTTTTTGTTGTTTTTCTTTTTCCATAGCCCTTGCCCATGACACACATTGAAGTCACCAGAATACATGTGAGGAACTTTTATTTATTTTTATCTTTCTGAATGTGTCTAGAGTATATGCAGTACTTTAGCTATAGAGAATACTAAATATTTAGAATGTTGATCAGTTAATAAGAAAAATGAAAATGTAACAGTTTGGAGACATCTAAAATCAGACTGGGTTTTTAAACTAAAAATTTTAATCACAGAAATGTTAAGAGAAATTTCTTCTAAGAAGGCCAAAACTACTGTAGTGTTTGCTCACAAGTAGTGTTGGTTACACGAGTTCTAAGTGTCATTATTGTGGAAAAAATTGAGGGGCAGGACCAACATTTACTTTTTGTAGAATTTTTTAAAAGAGAAACTTCTGTCAGTCTTTTGGTAATGAGATGAAGCAGTATAATTTGCCAGAAGCTAAAAATGCCATTCTTACATTTTCATTTTTTTTCCTAAAGGAACAAGATAAAAAAGTAGAAAACTCAAATAAAGAAGAAATACAGGAAAAGGAGACAATCATTGAAGAATTAAACACAAAAATAATAGAAGAAGAAAAGAAAACTCTTGAGCTAAAGGATAAATTAACAACTGCTGATAAATTACTAGGAGAATTACAAGAACAGATTGTGCAAAAGAACCAAGAAATAAAAAACATGAAATTAGAGCTGACTAATTCTAAGCAAAAAGAAAGACAGTCTTCTGAAGAAATAAAACAGTTAATGGGGACAGTCGAAGAACTTCAGAAGAGAAATCATAAAGACAGCCAGTTCGAAACTGATATAGTACAACGAATGGAACAAGAAACACAAAGAAAGTTAGAACAACTCCGGGCAGAGCTGGATGAGATGTATGGGCAGCAGATAGTGCAAATGAAACAAGAATTAATAAGACAACACATGGCACAGATGGAGGAAATGAAAACACGGCATAAGGGAGAAATGGAGAATGCTTTAAGGTCATATTCAAATATTACAGTTAATGAAGATCAGATAAAGTTAATGAATGTGGCAATAAATGAACTGAATATAAAATTGCAAGATACTAACTCTCAAAAGGAAAAACTCAAGGAAGAACTAGGACTAATTTTAGAAGAAAAGTGTGCTCTACAGAGACAGCTTGAAGACCTTGTTGAAGAATTGAGCTTTTCAAGGGAACAGATTCAGAGAGCTAGACAGACAATAGCTGAACAAGAAAGTAAACTTAATGAAGCACATAAGTCCCTTAGTACAGTGGAAGATTTGAAAGCTGAGATTGTTTCTGCATCTGAATCCAGAAAGGAACTAGAATTAAAACATGAAGCAGAAGTTACAAATTACAAGATAAAACTTGAAATGTTAGAAAAAGAAAAGAATGCTGTGTTAGACAGAATGGCTGAATCACAAGAAGCTGAATTAGAGAGGCTGAGAACACAGCTTCTATTTAGTCACGAAGAAGAGCTTTCCAAACTGAAGGAAGATTTAGAAATTGAACATCGAATAAATATTGAAAAACTTAAAGATAATTTAGGCATTCACTATAAACAGCAGATAGATGGTTTACAGAATGAAATGAGTCAAAAGATAGAAACCATGCAGTTTGAAAAGGACAATTTGATAACTAAGCAGAATCAATTAATTTTGGAAATTTCAAAGCTAAAAGATTTACAGCAGTCTCTTGTAAATTCAAAGTCAGAAGAAATGACTCT
This sequence comes from Homo sapiens, assembly GCF_000001405.40. Lineage (NCBI taxonomy): Eukaryota > Metazoa > Chordata > Mammalia > Primates > Hominidae > Homo > Homo sapiens. The sequence goes on from NC_000007.14 coordinate 92,002,074, forward strand.
TCAAATCAATGAACTTCAAAAAGAAATTGAAATACTCAGACAAGAAGAAAAAGAAAAGGGTACACTTGAACAAGAAGTTCAAGAATTACAACTTAAAACAGAATTGTTAGAAAAACAGATGAAGGAAAAAGAGAATGATCTTCAAGAAAAATTTGCACAACTTGAAGCAGAGAATAGCATTCTTAAAGATGAAAAGAAAACCCTTGAAGACATGTTGAAAATACATACTCCTGTTAGCCAAGAAGAAAGATTGATTTTCTTAGACTCCATTAAGTCCAAATCCAAAGACTCTGTGTGGGAAAAAGAAATAGAAATACTTATAGAGGAAAATGAGGACCTCAAACAACAATGTATTCAGCTAAATGAAGAGATTGAAAAGCAAAGGAACACTTTTTCATTTGCTGAAAAAAACTTTGAAGTTAACTATCAAGAGTTACAAGAGGAGTATGCTTGCCTTCTCAAAGTAAAAGATGATTTAGAAGACAGTAAAAATAAACAGGAATTAGAGTATAAAAGTAAACTTAAAGCACTTAATGAAGAGCTTCATTTGCAAAGAATAAATCCAACTACAGTGAAAATGAAAAGTTCTGTCTTTGATGAAGACAAAACTTTTGTAGCAGAAACATTGGAAATGGGTGAGGTTGTTGAAAAGGATACAACAGAACTCATGGAAAAACTTGAGGTAACCAAGCGAGAGAAATTAGAGCTGTCACAGAGACTGTCTGATCTTTCTGAACAATTGAAACAGAAACATGGTGAGATTAGTTTTCTAAATGAAGAAGTTAAATCTTTAAAGCAAGAGAAAGAACAAGTTTCATTGAGATGTAGAGAGCTAGAAATCATTATTAACCACAACAGGGCAGAAAATGTACAGTCATGTGATACTCAAGTAAGCTCTTTATTAGATGGAGTTGTGACCATGACAAGCAGGGGTGCTGAAGGATCAGTTTCTAAAGTAAATAAAAGTTTTGGTGAAGAATCAAAAATAATGGTGGAAGATAAAGTTTCTTTTGAAAATATGACTGTTGGAGAAGAAAGTAAGCAAGAACAGTTGATTTTGGATCACTTACCATCTGTAACAAAGGAATCATCACTTAGAGCAACTCAACCAAGTGAAAATGATAAACTTCAGAAAGAACTCAATGTACTTAAATCAGAACAGGTATGTTTACTTCTTCATATATGGTAAAGCACAATGAAAAAAATGTACATTTCACACTAAGGTTTCACCTTCATAGAACATAAGTTCATATCCTTACAAGAGAATGAAAATGAACCCTCTGATGTAATTTTAACTTGAGCCTATCATTTATTTATCATTTAAGTACTTTTTTTTTTAAACCATTGTTGCCTTTCTTTCAGTTAATCTATCTTGTATATTCTGCTCAGGAAATAAAACACTAATGGATTCAGATTTTCTTTGGAAAGACAAGAGTTTGTATAACTTTATGGAGAATCTCAGCATTAGAAAAGTTATTAATTTCATTTTGTAATTTTTGTTATAATCTCAAAGATTGGTTTCAGCGTTTTTATTTCATAGTGATGTTTTCAAGTCTCTACAACTGAAAATGAACTCCTAAGCTTTTTAATAGTCTCTATAGTTGTTAGGTGGTTATGAAATTATATTTTCCTGGGAGAAAAAAAAACCTTTGATTTAAGTCCTAGAGTTTTTTCAGAGTCTTTATTATACCTGAAGGGGAAAAAACAGTATTAACTCTAAATATAGTTAAAGAATTATATGTATATAATAATAGATCACTCCTGATAATTTATATTTGCCAGATACTGATATTAAAATAACAGGAAAATTCTGCTATCTACAATGTAATGGTGCTAACTAAAGTTTTATGTGTTTCTTCATTTTTCTAACATATTTATTGACTCTCTTGGCAAGTACGAATATAGTGGCCAACAAGAGAGAGGTTTCTGGTCTCAAAGAGCATATATTTTAGTGAGGGAGGCAGATGATAAATGAAACAAGTAGGATAGTGAGAAATAGTGATAAATTCTCTGAAGAAATAAAACAGGATAATGTGATAGGGAATGATGGAATTATTTCTGAGGGCTCTGTTCTGTTCCATTGGTCTATATCTCTGTTTTGGTACCAGTACCATGCTGTTTTGGTTACTGTAGCCTTGTAGTATAGTTTGAAGTCAGGTAGCGTGATGCCTCCAGCTTTGTTCTCTTGGCTTAGGATTGACTTGGCAATGTGGGCTCTTTTTTGGTTCCTTATGAACTTTAAAGTAGTTTTTTCCAATTCTGTGAAGAAAGTCATTTCTGTGAAGAAAGTCATTCCTGATGGGAATGGCATTGAATCTATAAATTACCTTGGGCAGTATGGCCATTTTCACAATATTGATTCTTCCTATCCATGAGCATGGAATGTTCTTCCATTTGTTTGTATCCTCTTTTATTTCGTTGAGCAGTCGTTTGTAGTTCTCCTTGAAGAGGCCCTTCATATCCCTTGTAAGTTGGATTCCTAGGTATTTTATTCTCATTGAAGCAATTGTGAATGGGAGTTCACTCATGATTTGGCTCTCTGTTCGTCTGTTGTTGGTGTATAAGAATGCTTGTGATTTTTGCACATTGATTTTGTATCCTGAGACTTTGCTGAAGTTGCTTATCAGCTTAAGGAGATTTTGGGCTGAGACGATGGGGTTTTCTAGATATACAATCACGTCATCTGCAAACAGGGACAATTTGACTTCCTCTTTTCCTAATTGAATACCCTTTATTTCTTTCTCCTGCCTGATTTCCCTGGCCAGAACTTCCAACACTATGTTGAATAGGAGTGGTGAGAGAGGGCATCCCTGTCTTGTGCCAGTTTTCAAAGGGAATGCTTCCGGTTTTTGTCCATTCAGTATGATATTGGCTGTGGGTTTGTCATAAATAGCTCTTACTATTTTGAGATATGCCCCATCAGTACCTAATTTATTGAGAGTTTTTAGCATGAAGTGCTGTTGAATTTTGTCCAAGGCCTTTTCTGCATCTATTGAGATAATCATGTGGTTTTTGTCTTTGGTTCTGTTTATATGCTGGATTACACTTACTGATTTGCGTATGTTGAACCAGCCTTGCATCCCAGGGATGAAGCCCACTTGATCATGGTGGATGAGCTTTCTGATGTGCTGCTGCATTTGGTTTGCCAGTATTTTATTGAGGATTTTTGCATCGATGTTCATCAGGATATTGGGAATGTTGGAGAGGGTAGTAACAACATTAAATATGGTGGTCAGGAAACATCTCTAGGAGGAATTGACATTTGAGCTGAAATCTGAATGACATTGAAATTAGAGCAATTGTAAAGACACGGGTAAGTTTAAAGAACAGAATGAAGGCTTGTGTAGTTGAGTTTGAGAGAGCGGGAGAGTGGAAGAAGAGTTTGAAGGAGGAAGAGACCAGACCTTGGAGAATCTTGCAGACTTTGGAAGCCATTGGAAAGTTTTCTCTTTTTATTCCTAAATATATCATATTTATGATCTTATATCAAATGTCGAGATATTTTATATTTATGATTTATATCAAATGTAGAGATATTTTATATATTTACTTGCCTAAATAGAGTCAAGAAATTCGAATTGCTTAACGATTTTTTTGTTTGTTTGTTTTTGAGACCGAGTCTCACTCTGTCACCCGGGCTGGAGTGCAGTGGCGTGATCTCAGCTCACTACAACCTCCGCCTCCCGGGTTCAATCAATTCTCCTGCCTCAGCCTCCTGAGTAGCTGGGATTACAGGCATGCACCACCACCACGCCTGGGTAATTTTTGTATTTTTAGTAGAGACAAGGTTTCACCATGTTGGCCAGTTTGGTCTCAAACTCCTGACCTTAGGTGATCCAACAGCCTCGGCCTCCCAAAGTGCTGGGATTACAGGCGTGAGCCACCATGCCTGGCCAAATTGCTTAACTGTTAATGTTCTGTTAAATGTCTGGAATTGTTTTCAAAACCAAAATGTATGGCAGTTACTTGTGAAAATGTCACACATCTTTTAAAATTTTTTAGGAAGCATTTTTGGGAGAAGACCTGAATTTGACCCTCAGATGGTCAAATTTTCTTATTAGGAATTCTAATTTTCTTTTTCTTTTTCTTTTTTTTTTGAGACAGGCTCTCACTGCCGTCCAGGCTAGAGTCTCATGGCGCAATCACAGCATCCTGCAGCCTTGACCTCCTGGACTCAGGTGATCCTCTCACCTCAGCCTCCTGAGTAGCTAGTATTACAGGCATGCACCACACACCCAGCTAGGTTTTTGTATTTTTTGTAGAGACAGGGATTTGCCATGTTGCCCAGGCTGGTCTCAAACTTCTGGGCTTAAATGATCTTCTTGCCTTGGCCTCCTGAAATGCTGGGATTACAGGCATGAGTCTTTGTCACCAGCCAGAATTCTATTTTCTGTACTAAAGAGATACTAAAAAGATACTTTTGATGGCATTCAGATTCCCTCTATTTGACATTGACTACATAAAGTAAAGCCTGTAAACTTCCTGCCCGTTCATCATTACCAAGACAAACCTTTATTGATGGGAAGGGAAGTTCACAGAAGAAATCGAGCAGTGACTTACACAATAGTAACACCTAAGAGCAGCCTAAATATGCTTGAAATAATGTGGATGCCACACAGATATCTCTAATACACTTAGGTAGTTTGGGCAGAAGGAGAAAAATAAAAACATCATAGAAGTCTTTTCAGTGTTGGGATGCAAGGAAGAAGGAAGAGTGGCAGGAATTTTTTAGATACTGATTAATTATTGATGCTGGGAGAGGTCATAGATTGAAGTGTATGTGTTTAAAATTGAAGATGATTATTAGAATCAAAAGAGATACCGGAGCTTAGAAACTACAGGAGGAACCACTAGAATATCAGCTCCTTGAGAACAGGGACCCAGTCTCCTGTATCTCTAATGCCTAGAATAATGTCTGACACATGATAGGCAGTTAATAATTTTTTTAAATGAATGAATGAATTCATGAATAAAAGGGGGGGAATAAATAAAGCCCACTTACCAAGAACCAACAGTGAAATAGCACAGGCCTTCATGTTAGAGTCAGGAAGAAGATCAGAATAGCTTTTGTCACTTGCTTTTCTATTGTGTAGGTCCTAACCATTGCAAAGACAAAAAGATATATGGTATGAATGGAGAAAAAGATACTTAATTGTCATAATTCCCATGTATAATTAAATTAAAAATTAAGCATGAGAACTGAAATTCTTTTTTTTTTTTTTTTTTTTTTTTTTTTTGAGACAGAGTCTCACTCTGTCACCCAGGCTAGAGTGGATCTCAGCTCACTACAAACTCAGCCTATCAAGTAGGTGGGATTACAGGTGGCCTCCGCCATGCCTGGCAAATTTTTGTATTTTTAGTAGAGATGGGGTTTCACCATGTTGGCCAGGCTGGTCTTGAACTCCTGACCTCAAGTGATTTATATCTTTAATGTAAAATAAATATGAATAAAACAATGTAAATAAAATTATAACACTTTAATGAAGGATAGGAGGCTTGAATAAATGAAAAGTCTCATTTCTGAGTGGGAAAATTTGAATATCGTAAAAACCCAGGTTATCTCTAGATTAATCTGTAATCCTTATGTAGTTCCATTCCAACTCACAATGAAAAGTTACTGAAGTTCAACTTAGTAATTGGTTTATAGTTTATCTGGAGAAGAAATGCACAAGAAGAGTCAATAATATTTTTGAAAAACGCAGAATAGTAATTGGTGTATAGTTTATCTGGAAGAAGAAATGCACAAGAACAGTCAAGAATATTTTTGAAAAATGCAGAATGCATTTAACATGATGTGTTGAACAATGTTTAGCCTTAAATATATTGATTTTATAAATATTGAAAACAAGTTAAGCTGTTAGTTCTAGAGGCTAGAATATCAGAGCATGTAGACTTAAGAAAAGTAAAAAGAAGGAAATAATAAAGTTAAGAACAAAATAAGCAAAGTTAGAATAACCAAAACAGGAGGAAAAGTTTTCAAGGATTTTGAAAGTTTATTATTTGAAAACACTAGTGGCTGGCCGTGGTGGCTCACACCTGTAATCCCAGCACTTTGGGAGGCCGAGGTGGACAGATCACAAGGTCAGGAGTTCAAGATTGACCTGATCAACATGGTGAAACCCCGTCTCTACCAAAAATAAAAAATTAGCCGGGCATGGGGGCGCGTGCCTGTAATCCTAGCTACTCAGGAGGCTGAGGCAGGAGAATTGATTGAACCCGGGAGGCAGAGGTTGCAGTGAGCCGAGATCGCGCCACTGCACTCCAGCCTAGGCGACAGAAAAAAAGAAAAGAAAAGAAAACACTAAAAGTATTAGACTTTCAAGAATATGGGCCAGCGGGCGTGGTGGCTCATGCCTGTAATCCCAGCACTTTGGTAGGCCGAGGTGGGTGGATCACGAGGCCAGGAGATCGAGACCATCCTGGCTAACACAGTGAAACCCCATCTCTACTAAAAATACAAAAAATCAGCTAGGCATGGTGGCATGCGCCTGTAATTCCAGCTACTCATGGGGGCTGAGGCAGGAGAATCCCTTGAACCCAGGAGGTGGAGAATGCAGTGAGCCAAGATCGCATCACTGCACTCCAGCCTGGGTGACAAAGTGAGACTCTATCTCAAAAAACAAAGAATATGGGCCAGGCGCGGTGGCTCACACCTGTAATCCCAGCACTTTGGGAGGCCGAGGCAGGCAGATCACGAGGTCAGGAGATCAAGACCATCCTGGCCAACATGGTGAAACCCTGTCTCTACTAAAAATATGAAAAATTAGCTGGGCATGGTAGCGTGCACCTGTAGTCTCAGCTACTCTGGAGGCTGAGGCAGGAGAATAGCTTGAACCCTGGAGGTGGAGTTTGCAGTGAGCTGAAATCACACCACTGCACTCCAGCCTGGCAACAGAGCGAGACTCCATTTAAAAAAAAAAAAAAAAAGAAAATGATCGGGAAAAAAAGACATAAACCAAATGAGGCTTGATGCAGTTGCTCACACCTATAATCCCAGTGCTTCGGATGGCTGAGACAGGAGGAGTGCTTGAGCCCAGGAGTTCAAGACCAACCTGGGCAATATAGCAAGATGCCTGTCTCCACAAAAAATTAAAAAATCAGCCAGATGTCTGCAGTGAGCTATGATTGCACCATTGTACTTCAGCCTGGGTGACAGAGTGAGACCCTGTCTCTAAAACAAACTAACAAAATCAAATGAATGAAAATCAAAACCTACGTATAGATACCAAAGAGATTCATAAAAGTCATAAAAGAATACTATAAATAAACATCCATCAACAAATTTGAAAATAGACATAAACTGATGGTTTTCTGGAAGAATATAAACTACCAGAATCAACTCAAATAGAAATATAAAACCTGAATAAGCCAATAACAATTAAAGAATTTGAAATCATAGAGATTTTCCCTCTCTCCTCTCCTCCAACCAGAAATATTAGACTGAGACCATTTCACAAATGGGTCTTACCAACTCTCAACGAATATATAATTGCTTAATAAAATAGGATTAAAGGGAGAGAACTAGGGGGAAGAAAAGAAGGAAAGAAGAAAGGTAAGCTAGACAAAAGAAAAACCCAGTTATCTAATGAGACTGGTACAATATTGATACGAAGACCTGATAAGAACACTACAAACAAATAAAATTATAGATGAATCTTACTTATGAGTGGCTGTAGAAATCTTAAATAAAATATTAGCAAATTATTCTAAGAATGGAAGAATAGTTCAACATCTGAAAAATCCATTAATGTAAACTTCACATTCATAGATAGCAGGAAAAAAAATCCATATGATAAATTTTATTTTTTATTTTGTTTTGTTTTTGAGATGAGGTCTTGCTCTGTCACCCAGGCTGGAGTGCAGTCAGACAATCACATTTCACTATGGCTGCAACCTCCCAGGCTCAAGTGATCCTCCCAATTCAGCCTCCCAAGTAGCTGGGACCACAACAGGCACATAGCACCATGCCTAGCTAAGATTTTTTAAAACATTTTTTTACAGACAGGAGGATCTCGCTGTGTTGCCCAGGCTGGTCTTAAATGTAGGGGATTGGTCAGGGTGGTGGGAGATAAAGATAAAGTTATAGGAAATAGACACAAACCTTCTTGGGAGGCCGGGAGGTTTGCATAGCTTCAGTGAAAGATTTGGTTGAAGGCAGCTGAATTCTCTTAAAAGCTTAGGGCTTAGCTACATAGGAATATAAGGGAGTTTATCTAAAGAGCTTGTTTACTCATGTGGTCCTAAGACCAACCTTTGATCATTCGCAGGACTGCTCTCTGGGGAGGGTGACCAGATAATTACCCACAAGTGTGTTGACTCAAAGCCTTTGTCATTAAATCTATGCTGAATAAATGCCCGCAGGGCCAGCTAGTCAGGGCGTGCACTACTGCAATTCTTTTTTGTGAGCGGCCCAGCCCCCTAGCCACTCTTTCACTGAATACTGGTGTCTGAGTACGTTATTCATCTGTTATGCAGCCTGACTCTGCAGGTCAAACCCTGGCACTTAAACTCCTGGGCTCAAGCAGTTATTCCACATTGGCTTCCCAAAGTGCTGGGATTACAGGAGTGAGCCATCATGCCTGGCCTTATTTTATTTTTTTAGAGACAAGTTTTTACTCTTGCCAGGCTGGAGTACAGTGGCATGATTATAGCTCACTGCAACCTTGAACTCCTGGACTCAGGCAATCTCCTCATCTCAGCCTCCTAAGTAGCTGGGACTACAGGCACATATTACCACTCCTGGCTAATTTATTATTATTTTTTTAGAGATGGGGTCTTTCTGTTGCCCAGGCTGGTCTTGAATTCCTAGACTCAAGCAATACTCCTACCTGAACCTCCTGAGCAGCTGGGATTATAAGTACAAGTTACTGTGTCCAGCCCATATAGTCATTTTAATACATATTGGAAAAGAATCCATAAAAAACTAATAACTCATAATTTTTTTTCAATGGAGAAAATCCAGAATAGAAGGGAAATTTCTTAACCGCAGTAATTGTTTTCATTAAAACATTTAGCAGATAACATTTCTAATAGTGAAATTTAGAAGCATTCCCATTAATATCAAGTATAGAATAAAATGTGATAGAAGCATTCCCATTAAAATCCAGTATAGAATCAAGTATAGGATACCCACTTTCAACATCACTATTTCAACATTGCTTTGTAGTTCCTAGCCAATGCAATTTGACAAGAATAAGAAATGAGATAAAGAATATGAAAACTTATTTATGAATAACAAAATAAACCCTACATAAGATGCTTTGAACTTTTGTCAAGAAAATTATAAAACACTGAAGCATGTAAAGACCTCACTATATGCCAATATGTACCGTATTCATAGTGGAAAGATGTAAAGAAAAATGTCAGTTCTCTCCAAATTAATCTCAGTATTCAGTGTACTTCCAGTCATAATTACAAGGAAATTTTTCATGGATCTTGAAAAACTGATTGTAAAATTGATATAGACAAGTAAATACTCAAGAATAATCAAGAGAACCCTAGAAAAATGTATTGCATCTGACAGCAAGATTTACTACAAAATCATAATAGACAGTATGGTTTGATGCTAGGATGGACAATTAGGTCAGTGGAGCGTAATGGAAAGCCCAGAAACACATTGAGATCCTTGTGAAATTTTAATATATAGGAAAGAGACCCTACAAATCAACATTTATTTAATAATACTGAGTGAGCCTCTACTGCATTCTATGCACTGTTTTAGTCCCTGGTGACATAACAGTGAATAAAAGCAAGTAGTAGGCAGGGTGCGGTGGCTCATACCTGTAATCCCAGCACTTTGGGAGGATTGCATGAGCCCAGGAGTTTCAGGCCAGCCTGGGCAACAGAGTGAGACCCCATCTTTACCTAAAAATAAAAAGTTAGCTGGGCATGGTGGCATGCACCAGTAGTCCTAACTACTTGGGAAGCTGAGGTGGGAGGATCGCTTGAACCCAGGAGGTCAAGGCTGCAGCGAGCCATGATTGCACCACTGTACTCCAGCCTGGGTGACAGAGTGAGTATTTGTTAATTTGGGTTGTGAGTACATAAATGTTTATTACTTCATTATTTCCATGTCTGTACGTTTAAAATCTTTTAGAACAAAAAATCAAAGATGAGTCATGCTAGCTATACCAAATATCACAATTTAGTATAAAACTGAGGTAATGAAAACATTGTGCTACTTTCCTTGAAAAAGAAAGGTAGATCAATGCAACAGCACGAAGATAGAAAAAAAATTAGACTTCAGTTCTCATGAATTTTTAAACTCTTGTAGTCAGTATATGCAAAAAAAAGAAGTTAAATTATTTGATTTGTCATTTAAGAATATTATAATGTTTACATATGTTTACTTTAAGAATGATTTAAGGCTACAGATGGAAGCCCAACGCATTTGCCTCTCTCTGGTTTATTCAACTCATGTGGATCAGGTTCGTGAATATATGGAAAATGAAAAAGATAAAGCTCTTTGCAGTCTTAAAGAAGAGCTTATTTTTGCTCAAGAGGAAAAGATCAAGGAACTTCAGAAAATACACCAGTTAGAACTACAGACTATGAAAACACAAGAAACAGGTAAAATGGTTTCTGACTTATAAGTACCATGATCCAAATAAGTATTGGATAGAGCCCACCATTCTATAATTTTTTCCTTGTCATAGAACCCACAGAGGAAGGTGATTTGTTTACCAGTTGTTGATATAATCACTAGACATTCATTTAAGTGCTTGAGAAAGCTAAAATCATTTTCCCATAGGAAGTCACAATCCATTGCGAAAGCATATATAAAATAAACAATTTCTCCAACAGAAGAATGAATAGAAAGAATGGGAGGAGAAAGGAGAAACATCTAGTACTTCCTGGCAGGATGAGTAGGGTGAGGTGGTAGACAGTGGTGGGGTTGGAATTTTTTTTTTTTTTTTTTTTTTTTTTTTTTTTTTTTGAGACGGAGTCTCGCTCTGTCGCCCAGGCTGGAGTGCAGTGGCGGGATCTCGGCTCACTGCAAGCTCCACCTCCCGGGTTCACGCCATTCTCCTGCCTCAGCCTCCCAAGTAGCTGGGACTACAGGCGCCCGCCACTACGCCCGGCTAATTTTTTGTATTTTTAGTAGAGACGGGGTTTCACCGTTTTAGCCGGGATGGTCTCGATCTCCTGACCTCGTGATCCGCCCGCCTCGGCCTCCCAAAGTGCTGGGATTACAGGCGTGAGCCACCGCGCCCGGCCGGGGTTGGAATTTTAAGGCAGGCTCTGGAGTCTTTAGAATTGAGGTGTAAGGGTACACCCATTTTGGAAAATTGAGAGTTCAAGGTGTGTGAGAAAGTAGTTGGGGTTATAGCTGGAGAGATTGGCAACAGTTTGATTAGAAAAAGTTTTATTCTGAAAGAAGCATATATAAGCCTTATGCTGTTGGTGATAAGACCTACTGCAGGATTTTAAGTAGAGTAACACAATATGGTTTTTATTTTATGATGACACCACTGCGGTGAGTTGGGGGAGGTAAGAGTAGTGATTAGAACACCAGTTAAGCAACTAAAGCTGTCCTTTCCATAAACAGTAAGTATTAACTAAATGTTAATGAGGATGGAAAAGAAGTTTGCATTCAAAAGTAGAAATTTGAGAGTGGCTTAAATAACAGTACCAAACTTTTAAATTTCAGGAGTGCTTTGGGTTTGAATTTAATAAGATTTTAAGCATGTGATATTTTTAATGATGTCCTCTTCAAACAGGCTAGTGTTTTTCAAACTAGAGGCTAATGAATAGGTCCATTAATGGGTGGTGAAGTCAGTTTAGTGAGTAATGATCAACATTTTTAAAAAAAAAAACAAAGTAGAACAGAAGACATTGGAGTACATGGCACTACAGTAGAAGAATAAATATTGATTTCTGAGATTTTTATTTCAGTTTTACATAGATGTATGTAATAGGTTATGATATATGATGCATTTTTTTGTGTTGGGTTGTAGTAAAAAGAAGTCACTGCTTTGTACCATTTTGTGGATAGAAATGGAAAATCTCACAAAGTTTCTGAGACAATGTTGAGCAATGGAAAATAACTCAAAGAAATAAAGAATTTAAAATGATTCTTATTGCAGGGGAGCTTCCAGTTGAAACATAAGTTAAATATGATCATAGTTCTTAAGTATGTAAATTGAATTTCTTAATCCATTATCTGTTCTATTAGGTGATGAAGGAAAGCCTTTACATCTGCTCATTGGAAAACTTCAAAAGGCAGTGTCTGAAGAATGTTCTTATTTTTTACAGGTAAAATGTTTAAAAGTACTTTTATGGCCAGATGTGGTGGCTGACACTTATAATCCCAGCACTTTGGGAGGCTGAGGTGGTCAGATCACTTGAGTTCGAGACCAGCCTGGCCAACGTGGTGAAACCCCGTCTCTACCAAAAAATACAAAAATCAGTCCGGCATTGTGGTGTGTGCCTATAGTCCCAGCTACTTGGGAGACTGAGGCATTGGAATTGCTTGGGCATGGGAGGCAGAGGTTGCAGTGAGTGGAGATCATGCTACTGCACTCCAGCCTGGGTAACAGAGTGGGACTCTGTCTCAAAAAAATAATAATAAATTTTAAAAAATAAATAAAAGGTACTTTTACACAAGGAGTGCTAAATTGTAAGTTGCTACTAATTTAATGATCACCCAGCCTAGTTTTCTTCACTACCTTCAGAACTGTGCCTAGAAAGTATTCCTGAGTTTTTAACTTAAAATGAGCATTAAAAATTTTCCTGATAATCGGTTTGAAACAAAAGAAATTCAGGTAAATTATCTCGCCTGTAGAACAGACACTAATTGTTGATGTTGCCATAGATGAGTTATAAGGACAAGATGGAGACATCCTGGGAGACGGTGTAGAGTGAGCCAAAACACTAAGATGGCACCCATCTTTCTGGGTCCCAGTTTCTTTGTCTGTAAATTGGGTGATTGTTTAAGGTTTCTAAAATCAACTCTAATGTGAGAAAACTGCATCTTAGGGGCTATGCTGAAAATTTAATAAACTTAATTATTAATTGACAGTATAGTTTAAGCAAATCTCAAGAAATCTGAAGAAATAGCAATAAACAATTTGATTTTTAAGTCTAGAAGTTGGTGGTGGTAATTTTTTAGTTATATGAGGAACAAAGGTAAAAGTTATTTGAGAGCTTATCAAATGATAATGGGACATGTATTGTTTTAAATGATGATAGAAGTGTCTGTTGCTCAGGAGAAGAACCGGAACAACGCGTCAAATATTTTCAATTTTTGTGTGTGCATATAAACTACATAAAACTATTCTCATGTGTTAGGAATTTTTTTTTTTTTTTTTTGAGACAGTCTTGCTCTGTCGCCCAGGCTGGAGTGCAGTGGCACAATCTCGGTTCACTGTGACCTCTGCCTCCTAGGTTCAAGCTATTCTTGTACCTCACCTCCCGAGTAGCTGGGATGACAGATGCACACCACCACGCCCAGCTAATTTTTGTATTTTTAGTAGAGATGGGGTTTTGCCATGTTGGCCAGGCTGGTCTTGAACTCCTGACCTCAGGTGATCCACCTTCCTCGACCTCCCAAAGTGCTGGGATTACAGGCATGAGCCACCACGCCTGGCCTCTTGTGTTATGAATGTTAAGTATATGAATGTTACTCTTTTGCTTGATATGATTTCTTTAGAATTTATAGATTTCTTTCTGATCAGCATTTCTGAACGTCCATCCTTGTCCTGTGATGTTTTTTCAAAGGTATTTGAGATTACAGAGATAACATCAGAAATAGGATCCAAGCTAGGAAGTGGTTGATTAAAGTATAAGATAAATTTTATTATTATAAGGAAGCAGAAAAAATTATAGTTTTGTGCAATGAAGTTTATTATCTTCCTGATATAAGAAGATTTCATGCCAGAGAGATAGATTTAGACTTGTTTCTTTTGCAGATTGATAAGGGTATGGAGAGAATGTTTTCTTAATTATTTTTGTGTGCCATTTTGACCGCCTTGCATCTAGGAGAATTATGTTTAATCTTTAGAAGCAGAAATCAAAATTTAAATTCCTTAAAATACACAATTTTGTTGTTAACAGACTTTATGCAGTGTCCTTGGTGAATATTATACTCCTGCTTTAAAATGTGAAGTAAATGCAGAAGACAAAGAGAATTCTGGTGATTACATTTCTGAAAATGAAGATCCAGAATTACAAGATTATAGATATGAAGTTCAAGGTAATAAAAGCTTACCATACTATTAAACAGTATTTAATCCTCTTAAATTAATTGATGACAGATTTTTACTTTTGATTATGATTTAATCACCCAGCCAAGTTGTTTTTCATCTTAACATTTTATCCTCCTTTCAGATTCATGAAATCTCATATTTAATACACATTTTAAATTTTTATAATGCGATAATGGTGATATGAATATAATTGGAGCTGTCCACTATTGTCTGTCCTCTGTCTCTCTACTCCTATCTTTTTCCTTATCCTAATTCTTTTAACTTTTTATACCATAGATCCAAATTTTTAAAGTTATTGTATTTATTGAATAAGTTCATATCAATGGTTTTTGCTTTAAAATGAGTAAGATAAACATTAAGAAATAAAAAATATATTAGTATCTTTCTTAATATAGATCTGCTATAAGTTTGTTTTAACAAATAGTAACATCACCACTTTTTTGATGTTCTTTCACAGAGAAAATGTTTCCTAGCCCTGTCCATTTGTATAATGAACAAAATGTATATAAATTAATGACTACCAAAAGAAATTAACATATTTTAATATGAAATTTTCAAGTTATCTTTGTAGCAGGCATTTCACATGAATGAGATTTCAATTTTCAGTTACTAAATATCTGAGGTTTACTTCTAGCAGGCAATTTTTTTAAGTTATAAATAGGTGAATAATATTTATTGAAAGATGCAGACTTTTACTGTGAAGTGAAATTATTGTAATTGTTTGTTTACCATCCAGACTTTCAAGAAAATATGCACACTCTTCTCAACAAAGTAACAGAAGAATACAACAAACTCTTGGTACTTCAAACACGACTAAGCAAGGTCTGTGAGATGGAAAATATATTGTAATATTTGCATTTATTGTATTGTCTGCTTTTTTGTAAGCTGCTTTTATCAACCAAGAATTTCTAAAGTAAGAGAACATGAAAAAGGAGATTGGGAAAAGTGACATATATTTGTAGTAGATAATTTATATTGGTAAGCTGAAAGAATTTCTGCAAGTCGAATAATAACCCCTTTAGAGAGTTTTTAGAATTATGATAAGTTAAAATATATATATCAACTTGTAAACTGTGTGAAACAATTGCATTTAATTTTACATATAATGTAAAATTAAAGCAGTGGGCCTTCTGTTTTAGAGAAAACTGGTAATGAGTTTAGTTGCTTAGCATATAGCTAATTAGTTTCACACAGCATTATACATGTCAATTTTATTTTCAAGCAATTTTTTAAAAGTCTGTAGAAAACTAGGTAAGATAGTATACATGGCACAGTGTAATTTATTAACTCTTATCAGTAAAACAACTTAAGGCACATATTGGCAAGGATAAGTGTAATTCTCATGTAGAAGGAAATCCAGAAAGATGTCTGTGTCTATTTATTTGGGGTGCTTTTTGATGTTCAGTTAATATTAAAATGTTTAGGCAGATTTGAAAGATTTAATTGATAGTGAAAGTTATAATGTTGATGATTTATGTTTTGGCTGAAATTCTTCCTCTCCATCTCTCTCCCCTTCTTTCTTTCCCTCCTGTTTCTTCTTGCCTACTCTGTTTCTGTGCAATTAAGTACAACCTTATCTAGCCTTTCCAAAAATCTATAAACCTACTCCAGTAGATTTATATGAGTAGAATCTCTTTTGGTTTCATCTCTTATTTTCTTGTTCATTATGGATTTATGCCTTTTAAATATTCTTTATCATTTTAATTGAGTAATGGAAAGGGAGGAGGTTTATGTCAGTAATCACAAATGTAAATGCCTACATTAACTTAGCTAATAAAATAAATGAAGAAGGCCAAGTGAAACCTGGAGAAAACATGCCTCATCCAAAAGGAGCGGCGGCTGCCCAGCTTGTGCATCGTGTTGCCATTAAGTAGGAATCAGGGCCCAGTGTTGCTAGTACTTTTAATCTATTAATTTTATATGATTTTTTTTTCTTTTAAAAATATTAGGAAGTATAAACCAGGCATGGTGGTACATGCCTGTCGTCCCAGCTACTTGAGAAGCTGAGGTGGGAGGATCACTTGAACCTAGGAGTTTGAGGCTGCATGAGCTATGATTGTGCCACTGTACTCCTGCCTGGGCAACAGAGCTCAAGACCTCATTTCTAAAAATATAACACACACACACACACACACACACACACACACACACACACACACACAGAGAAATATTCAAAACTAAATGTTCTGTTTTAAGGTTGGGAAACAGAAAGCAGCCAGACAACAACAAAAACTGTTTTGTCCCCAAAAGAGCACTTTTATAGACTGGATTTAAAGTTCAAGCCTTCACTTTGTAACCTCAGATATAAACACATGCTCAGTGTACTATCTTGAACTAGTTTTCTTTTTACTTTATTATTTCTCGACTGTAGTATTTGCTGCTTTCTGATAACATTTTCTTCCCTTAGCTTCTGTAGCTTTTCAAGCCTCCATTTTGGACTTTACCTACCCTGTTTATATTACCAGGGATCTTTATTTGATCCTCGTAATCTGAATGCTTTTTTCATCTACTTTCATTGCTTCTAGATCTCTATGTTTAGGTCAGTCCTTCTGAGCTGCAGAGTCATATATCTCATCAGATATCTCTACTCAAAAATCTTTTAGGTATATCTCAATCAGCATATTGAAATTTGAATTTATTAACTACTGCTGCTTAAACCAGCTTCTCCTCTCATATCAGTTTCAAAGGAACAACATTCAACCAGAAACTTGGGGATTGTCTTAGATAGTCTTCTCTTTTCACTCCTGGTCTTCTACCATACTGAAATATACACTGAAGGGAGTACAAAGAATATGAAAGAAAAATTTATACTTTGTTCTCATTCAGTTATACAGTCAACAATTTTTATTTTTATTTTACTTTCCTTTTTTTTTTTCTCCAAGACAGAGTCTTACTCTGTTGCCCAGGCTGGAGTACAGTGGCGTGATCTCGGCTCACTGCAACCTCTGCCTCCCAGGTTCAAGCGATTCTCCTGCCTCAGCCTCCTGAGTAGCTGGGATTACAGGCACACTCCACCACACCCGGCTAATTTTTGTATTCTTAATAGAGAAGGGCTTTCACCATGTTGACCAGGCTGGTCTCGAACTCTTGACCTTGTGATCCGCCCACCTTGGCCTCCCTAAGTGCTGGGATTACAGGCATGAGCCACCACACCCGACCTACTTATTTATTTATTTATTTATTTATTCCTTAGATCTGAGGACAGACTGGTCAGCCAATATTTATTATTTGCTAATTAAATGCCAGGTTGTTCTGTGTACTGAGAATAAAGTAATGAAGTCACTAGACTGAAGAAATGTGTAAATTAATGGGATTTATGAACTAGTTTAAGGAATGTCATATACA
Organism: Homo sapiens; assembly: GCF_000001405.40. Taxonomy (NCBI): domain Eukaryota; kingdom Metazoa; phylum Chordata; class Mammalia; order Primates; family Hominidae; genus Homo; species Homo sapiens. The sequence goes on from NC_000007.14 coordinate 92,019,626, forward strand.
TATATACTATTTTACATATATATATATAATATATACATATGCATATATAAAATAGTTTTCCTTGGCAACATTTTAGTAGGTGTTTAGAAGAGAAATGTAAGGCCGGGCATGGTGGCTCATACCTGCAATCCCAGCACTTTAGTTGGCCAAGGTGGGCCGATCACCTGAGGTCAGGATTTGGAGACCAGCCTGGCCAACATGGTGAAACCCCATCTCTACTAAAAAAAAATACAAAAAAATTAGCTGGGTGTGGTGACACGGGCCTATAATCCCAGCTACTCTGGAGGCTGATGCAAGAGAATTGCTTGAACCCAGAAGGTGGAGGTTGCAGTGAGCCAAGATTGCACCACTGCACTCCAGCCTGGGCAACAGAGTGAGACTCCATCTCAAAAAAAAAAATAGAAAAGAAATGTAGATAAATACGTTTACTTAACAGGTAGATGAATATAGCAAACAGGTAGATGTCTTTTCTGCACAAGGGGTAATAAGAGGATATATATTTGAATGCAGTAAATTAGCTGCAATTACAGAGGCATTTCAGAGTTACTTTGGGATCAGGATCAGGACTGCAATACATCACTGTGTAACCTTTTGGCTTCATCTTCTAATATTCCTCCTCATTTCAGCCATACTGAAATACTTAGTTTCCCAAATGCACCCTGATCTTTGGCACCCTGGGCTTCTTTGCATGCTGCCCTTTCTGCATAATACTGCCCATCCCCTCCCAGCCTTTTTGGTTTGTTCCTGCTTGTTCCAGTTGGTTCAAATGTTTACTCCCTCTGTGTCATCTTCTTTACCTGTCTTTCTAGGCTTAGGCATTTCTTCCTCTGTTCCCTTAGCAACAGTACAGGCCTTGCTTATCGCGTTTCTCTTTTTTCGTTACTTTAAATACTTGATTACCCTTCTGTCCTTCTTCCATGTTCCTGTAGCTCCTTATACACATTTGCATTTGTATCACATTACTTTTCATGTTATATAATTGTTTACCATTCTGCCTCTTTCACTATTATTCTAAACCCTTCAGAATAAGAGAATCTTCTGTTTATTTTTATTTCCTTCTCTTAACACAGTGTTAGCATACAGTAAAGGCTTAATAAATGTTTGCTGAATGAGTTAGAAAGGTTGGACTGGAAACTTAATAATTTACCTGATGATCTTTATTTTCCCTGGGAACTAAGAGGCAAGATCCTCTGTTGAAATTACTCATGGGGTAGGAATTGGGTAGAGGATGTATAAGAGTAGTGAACAGTTAAAACAGCCTTCTTAGCAAATAGCTGTTTTTTCTTTTGCTCAGCTGCTTCTACAGTATCCTTTGTTCATCTGGTCTTGCAAGTCCATAGTCTTTCCCCTTGCTTTTAAAGTCTTCTGTTATTTGGATCTATCTTATTTAACTAGCTTTATTTCCCCCTCCGTATCCAAATTAAACCCTCCTCAAGAAGATCATTGTCAATTATGGCATACGTCATTCTTTCACAAATACTCTTACTCTTTCTTCCTTATAGCCTTCCCAAATCATTACCAGAAATATATGAGCCTAAATCAAAACTGACTTCCATAATTACTCAGATCCACATCAGTCTTCTGTATCATTGTTGTTATAGTCAAATTTTATAGTTTAGCCGTTCTCTAATTGTTTATTTTCCCATCTGATTGATGAATTCTGTGCAGGCAGATATATTGTTATTTTTTAAACGGATTTTATATTTTTACTCTTGTCACAGTGCTGGTCACATTGATTATTAAGTATTTGATGAATAAATAAATTAGTACACACAGGTATCTGACATATTGCTGCTTAGTTTTATGTATTTATTTATTTACTTATTTTTTTGAGGCAGAGTCTTGCTCTGTCTCCCAGGCTAGAGTGCAATGGCTCAATCTTGGCTCACTGCAACTTCCCCTTCCCAGGTTCAAGAAATTCACCCGCCTCAGCCCCTCAAGTAACTGGGATTACAGGTGTGTGCCACCACACCTGGCTAATTTTTGTATTTTTAGTAGAGATGGGGTTTCACTATGTTGGCCAGGCTGATCCTGAACTCCTGACCTTAGGTGATCCAGCCATCTCAGCCTCCCACAGTGCTAGGATTACAGGCTTGCTGCTTTTTAATAGTTAAGGAAATAAGCTGAGATTTATCTATTTTCATTATTTTCTTTTCTTTTTGTTTACTGTACAGAGCACCATACCATTTGTCAGTTACCTGGTTGTACATAGGATATATCTAGAGATAAACAAGCTGTATTAATCAAGTATTGCTAATATAAAATTTATTATGTATGAATTGAAATTTCAAAGACCAAGGTATACTATAAATATTGTTATCAGCTTTCTACCAAAATTCTCAGAAGCACTTGTTTTTGTAGTAAAATGAACTTCCTTTCAGATATCAAAGAACATTACTAATATAATTTCAGTGCTATGAAAGGTATGGAATATTAATTACTGTTACAGAAGAGAACAGGGAATAACTTAGAAGGGAAAATGCTTGTATTAGAGTGCCACAATTTTGGGTGGTTTTAAAAAAGCATCTTAAATGCAGAGTTGCTTTAATACAGCTTTCTAATTGCTGGATTATGTATTTATGTTACTGCTTTTATTCTGTGGTTTTCAATAGATCTGGGGACAGCAGACAGATGGTATGAAACTTGAATTTGGAGAAGAAAACCTTCCAAAAGAGGAAACAGAGTTTTTATCAATCCATTCTCAGATGACCAATTTGGAAGACATTGGTAAATTTTGATCATATACCACAATGTGGTGTTTTTATAGCAAATATTGAGTAATTTGCTTTTTTACTTTAAAATGTGAGCTAACGTAGTGACCTTTGGCATTTCACTGTAGCCTCTCTGATCTCAATTTTTTCATCCTTAAAATGAAAGATTTGGACTACTTTCTATTTGGTCCTTTCCCCCTTCTTATGTTCTGTGATTCTGAATTGTTTTAAATTTTAAAGATATAAAATTTTGGATTTAGGAGTACTACAGCATGAGGATCAAAAAGATGATCTTGAATTGTACTATTTATGTTTTCTTGTTTTCATCAGAATGAGTTTAAATTGAAACCAGAGTTATTACCACTAAAAACATACTTTTTCAAAAAAGAATTAATATTTTCTGTACACAGTGATTGTGCTATTTCACTAAGAAACTTATATTGAAATGTGCATTTTTTGTCTCTTTATATAACATAGATGTCAATCATAAAAGCAAGTTATCTTCTCTGCAAGATCTTGAAAAAACTAAACTTGAAGAACAAGTTCAAGAATTAGAAAGCCTCATATCCTCTTTGCAGCAACAGTTGAAAGAAACTGAACAAAACTATGAGGCAGAGATCCACTGTTTACAGAAGAGGCTTCAAGCTGTTAGTGAGTCCACGGTTCCGCCAAGGTATTCATCTGCTTATAGCTTCATTCAACAGTATTTGTAGCTTTGTAACAATTATAGTATCATCCAGAATGGTTATTTAAAAAAGTAACTTAAGCAAAGTTGCTGGAAAGAGATAGGATGTAGCATTTTTTAGAAAGAAGAGCAAGAGATCATTCTATATCTTTGAAATGCCTGAAAAAAATGTTGATGTAAACCAAAGACATTATAGGAATTTTACTTAAATTTTTACATTATAAAGATGTTGGTTGTTGTTAATCTGCTTAATTAAATCGGCAGTGTGCACATATTTGCAGTTTATTCTGTACCTAGTCTTTGCTACTTTGATATGGTGAATACTTAAGGAATATAAGGTAGGATCATTCCAGTCATGGCAGGGTTTCCTCCACTTTGTTGTCTCATGTTCAAATTCACCACGTCCAAAGTAGAACTCTGGCTCTTCTCAAAATTTGCTCCTTCTGCAGCTATATCCATCTGTCGTTACTCCTCTTTCTCTTATACCTCTCTTCTAGTCTATCAAGACGTCCTATTTTCTCCACCTTCAAAAATATATCCAAACTGTACCACTCCTTAAAACCTTGCTGGTCTCTGCCATCCTTTTGTCTCAACTGGATTACCCTAACTCCCCCCTAAAGTCTGTTCTCAACACAGTTAAAGCAGGTGCCAGAATCTTGCTTTTAAAATTTAAAATAGATTGTATCATTCCAAAGCTCTTCTGTCCTACATGATGAGTACCCATTACTTTTCTGATTTTTAATCTCCTACTGACTTGTCTGTCACTGTCTTCTGACCCCAAGATACTGGTGACAGCATCTTGGGGTCCTTAAACAAGCATTATCAGTATGCTTCTGCTTTAGGGACTTCTCATTGGCTGTTCCTTCTACCTAGAATGGTCTTCCTCCAGATACATGCCTGGCCAACACCCTCACCTTCTTTGGATCATTACTCAAGTGTCATGTTCTCGTGAGGCTTTTCTTAACCATTCTGTGTAAATTAAAATTGTCTCCTAGAATGCTGATTCCTATTTCTCTACTTTATTTTTTCTATATTACTTAATATTGTCTATTTATATGTATGTATACATTATGCACATTTTATATAATATATATCATATATATAACTAGGCTGGTCGTGGTGGCTCATGCCTGTAATTCCAGCATTTTGGGAAGCTGAGGCAGGCAGATTACCTGAGGTTAGGAGTTCGAGACCAGCCTGGCCAATATGGCAAACCTCCATCTCTACTAAAAATATAAAAATTAGCCGGGCATGGTGGCATGCACCTGTAATCCCAGCTACTCAGGAGGCTGAGGCACGAGAATCACTTGAACATAGGAAGCGGAGGTTGCAGTGAGCTGAATTTGCACCACTGCACTCCAGCCTGGATGACAGAGCAAGACTCTGCCTAAAAAATATATATATATTATGTGTGTGTGTATATATATATATATTATATATATAACCAAATATGTGTAAATTTGGAGGGGGTAGATTCATTTTTATTTTGTTTATTGTTCGTCTCTGGTGAAAGACTTTAAGCTTTATAAGGGTGGGGCTCTTTTTCCATTTAGGTCAGTGATATATCACAAACACCTAAGATAATTCCCTGCACATAATAGGTACTCAATAAATTATTTGTTTAATGAATGAACAGTTTATAATTTAGTTGGGAAGTATGCTATAGTATATAACTAGCTCTATAAAACCCTCAGAGATTTCTTCTAACTGTGGCTGGCTCTGCTATTGTAGCGCGGATGTCTTCCTAGACACTTGCTAGTAAAACCTCAACACAGTTTTTTTGTATAGTGGACGAAATACTGAATGTCTGCTTGTTTGGAACTAGTCGTTACTCTTTTTTATTTGAAACCTACATATGGGCTTTGGAATTATTTGCTTTAGCCTTATAAAGCTTCCATTTTCTTTGAGATTGGTGGTTTCTAAACATGACCATACATCAGAAATAGTGGAGGTTTTTGAACTTTAATATAATTTTTTTAATTACTTACAATGAAAGATCACTGAATTATAATTTGGAGAGTCATACTCAATAGCTTTGAGATGGAACTTGGAAATTTGTGTTTTTAACAATATAATTCAGAGGCACGGAACCCATAGATTGACATTTGGAAACCACTGCTTTCTGATATGAAACAAAATAGGTAATTAGGAAGAACTTTCTAATAAACAGTATTTCAAGCAGTCTTCCTTTAATTAGTGATGCTTTCTGTCCAAAGCATGAAGAAAAGAGAGGCTTCTGGAAACATAGGCTTACATTGTTATTCCTGCATTTGGGCTTCTGCAAGCTCACCACCCTCTCTCAGAGTTTCTATAATACTCCATGGAAATGTGTTGACAAGGCCTTTGAATGAAAATCATTCGTTTGCTCCCTGCACCCCTACCAAAAAGAGTTTTACTCACCACCGTCCTCATTCTTACTAATAGTAATGAGTCAAAATTATTTTGTGTAAATAGCATCACATATTTTGGACATGACTGTAACACATTTTGAATAGAGTATACTGTTCCCTGTGGGTAGACTTGAAATAGTTAAGAAAAATAATTGAATCATTCTTTTAACAAATATTTGGTGATTTCATACTAGAAACCTCTAAGAGAAACACTAAGGTTGGAAAGATCATGGGTTTTAGTCAGACGGATCTGCATTTGACCCTGATTTGACCTTTTACTGGCTATATGATCTTGGACAGATTATTTAAACATTTCTAAATAGTAATAGGGATAATAATAATTACCCTTAAGATTGTGAGGATTAAATGAAACAGTAACTGAGAAGAGCCTTAGCTAGATACCCTGGAGGTAGAATTAGATGTTTATGTAAAGTGGCTGTTTCCTTCCAGGGACTTCAGTGTAATCACTGAAATAATAATTACTTGCAAAATAATTTTTCGAAGGTAATGGTTGGGGAATATAACATAGTGATATAACTAAAATGCTGGAATTTAAACCCATGTCTTTGTGGCGTTTTTCACTGCACATCTGTAATACTGCCTATTAGAGTAATAACAGCAAAATGGAAATGAAGGATGAATATTTAGACATTGCAATGGAAGGAATGTTGGAAACAAAGCAGAGGGGAAAAAACAAAGATAACTCTGTGTTGCTTGAGCCTAGGGAATATGGAAAATGAAGGTACATCATATAAATAGGAAAATCAACAGGGGTTGCAGATAGTAGGAGCTTAATTGCAAGAGGGGAACAATGAATTAAGTTTACGCCAGACTGTTTTTTTCAGTTTGGAGTAATAAACACTTTCAAATACTGTAAAGCTTAAAGAATGAAGTCGCTCTCCCTCTCCCTCTCCCTCTCCCTCTCTTCTCTCTTCTCTCTCTTTCCACGGTCTCCCTCTGTTGCCGAGGCTGGACTGTACTGCCGTGATCTCGGCTCGCTGCAACCTCCCTGCCTCGGGCTCCCGTGATTCTCCTGCCTCGGCCTGCCTAGTGCCTGGGATTGCAGTCACGCGCCGCCACGCCTGACTGGTTTTTGTGTTTTTGGTGGAGATGGGGTTTCGCCATGTTGGCTGGGCTGGTCTCCAGCTCCTGACCTCGAGTGATCTGCCCGCCTCGGCCTCCCGAGGTGCTGGGATTGCAGACGGAGTCTCGCTCACTCAGTGCTCAATGTTGCCCAGGCTGGAGTGCGTGGCGTGATCTCAGCTCGCTACAACCTCCACCTCCCAGCCGCCTGCCTTGGCCTCCCAAAGTGCTGAGATTACAGCCTCTGCCCGGCCACCACCCCGTCTAGGAAGTGAGGAGCATCTCTGCCTGGCCGCCCATCATCTGGGATGTGAGGAGCCCCTCTGCCCGGCCGCCCCGTCTGGGAAGTGAGGAGTGCCTCTGCCCGGCCGCCACGCCGTCTAGGAAGTGAGGAGCATCTCTGCCTGGCCGCCCATCGTCTGGGATGTGGGGAGCGCCTCTGCCCGGCCGCCCTGTCTGGGATGTGGGGAGCGCCTCTGCCCGGCCGCCCATTGTCTGGGATGTGGGGAGCGCCTCTGCCCGGCTGCCCTGTCTGGGATGTGAGGAGCGTCTCTGCCCGGCCGCCCCGTCTGGGAGGTGAGGAGCTTCTCTGCCCGGCTGCCACCCCATCTAGGAAGTGAGGAGCATCTCTGCCTGGCCGCCCCATCTAGGAAGTGAGGAGCGCCTCTGCCCAGCTGCCCCGTCTGGGAAGTGAGGAGTGCCTCTGCCCGGCTGCCGCGTCTGGGAGGTGAGCGCCTCTGCCCGGCTGCCCATCGTCTGGGAAGTGAGGAGCACTTCTGCCCAGCCGCCCCGTCTGGGATGTGAGGAGCACCTCTGCCCGGCCGCCACCCCGTCTAGGAAGTGAGGAGCGCCTCTGCCCGGCCGCCTCGTCTGGGATGTGAGGAGCGCCTCTGCCCGGCCGCCCTGTCTGGAAAGTGAGGAGCGCCTCTGCCCGGCCGCCCTGTCTGGGAAGTGAGGAGAGCCTCTGCCCGGCCGCCCATCGTCTGGGAGGTGAGGAGCCCCTCTGCCCAGCCGCCCTTCGTCTGGGAGGTGAGGAACGCCTCTGCCCGGCTGCACCGTCTGGGAGGTGAGGAGCACCTCTGCCCGGCTGCCCCGTCTGGGAAGTGAGGAGCGCCTCTGCCTGGCCGCCCCGTCTGGGATGTGAGGAGCGCCTCTGCCTGGCCGCCCCGTCTGGGATGTGAGGAGCGCCTCTGCCTGGCCGCCCCGTCTGGGATGTGAGGAGCGCCTCTGCCTGGCCGCTGTGCAATCTTCCAAGTGTGAAGTGACAGCCTTTCTGCAGGTGTACCCAACAGCTCCGAAGAGACAGCAACCATTGAGAACAGGCCATAATGACGATGGCGGTTTTGTTGAAAAGAAAAGGGGGAAATATGGGGAAAAGAAAGAGAGATCAGATTGTTACTGTGTCTGTGTAGAAAGAAGTAGACATAGGAGACTCCATTTTGTTCTGTACTAAGAAAAATTCTTCTGCCTTGGGATGCTGTTAATCTATAACCTTACCCCCAACCCCGTGCTCTCTGAAACATGTGCTGTGTCAACTCAGGGTTAAATGGATTAAGGGTGGTGCAAGATGTGCTTTGTTAAACAGATGCTTGAAGACAGCATGCTCGTTAAGAGTCATCACCACTCCCTAATCTCAAGTACCCAGGGACACAAACACTGCGGAAGGCCGCAGGGTCCTCTGCCTAGGAAAACCAGAGACCTTTGTTCACGTGTTTATCTGCTGACCTTCTCTCCACTATTATCCTATGACCCTGCCACATCCCCCTCTCTGAGAAACACCCAAGAATGATCAATAAATACTAAAAAAAAAAAAAAAAAAAAAAAAAAAAGAATGAAGTCATTGTGGACTAAGTAGTACTTTTTGGAGTTTAGATCATAATGACCGGATAGATAATCAGGAGGATTTTCTAGGCTGTGAAAGTAAGATCCAGGACATAAAGCCAAGGATCAGAGCAGTATATACAAGGGACAATGAGGAAAACAGAGACAAAATAGTAATAAAGAAAAAGCAGGAAAGGGCAGAGAAGAAAGACAAGGGAATGAGTTTTTAGAAGCATGGGATGGTCATAGAACATGAGAAGGCAGTTCACAGCAGGAAAAACCTAAACGGCCAATAACATTTGAAAGAAAATGTCTTCTCAAAAATAAAGACATACATGTTCTAGCAAAGTTTTACAATTGTTATAACCCCCGATTGCTGAAGTTTTAAGAAAATACTTAAATGATACTATTATGAGAATAAAATTAATAAAACTTTTTGGAATATGACCCTGTATTAAAACATTAAATATTAAGCTTAACAATTACTTATAAGATTTTATTATGTAGAAACATCCATGGAAGTGTGCCAAGATATGTTTGTGGAGATCTGTATTATAGCATTGTTTGTAACAGTGAACAGTTGGAAGTAATCAAATGGCCATCATTAGGGGTTTAGTTATATAAGTTATGAAATGGGATGATGACAACTTTGGCCAATTTTGGACAGAATTTAGGGTAGAAAAGAATAGGAGAAAGAAGGTTATGTGGACAAGAGGAAGGTCAAACTAAGAAAGCAGCATAGTTACACATGAAAATGGGTATGGAAAATTATATTTGCCAGAAATGAAAATTATAATTTGCTCCTTTTTTTTTTCCCATGGATCCTAAATGCTGATCTTACCTTAGTTTTTATGACCTAAGTTAAGCGTTTTAAGAAAAAAAAAATTTTTAATCATGTAAAAACTACACAATACAGATGTGAATACCAAAAGATAAAACAAAAAAGTCCGAAAGTGAATATTTGTAAATTAAGATTCTTCTCTTTACCACCACTGCTCCTGACTGAGTTCCACTAGAGGTAAACATTGTTACTTTCGATGTGTATACATAGGAAGATAATCAAACTTTTTGTATCCAAATATACATATGTATGTTAAAAGAAGTTTCTCATAAAAGTGAGATTTTACAAACTTTTTTAAAGTCATTAATATATCTTAGATAACTTTAAAAAAAATGTTAGTACTGGCCAAGCACAGTGGCTCATGCCTGTAATCCCAGCACATTTGGAGGCTGAGGCGGGAGGATCACTTGAGGCCAGGAGTTTGAGATCAACCTATGTAACGTAGTGAGACCCCATCTTTCCAAAAAAACAGTCGGTACTTATGGTTCCATATCATACATTTGTAGTGTAAAATGACATAAAATTCAGTTGATCACCTGGTAAAATACTGTTATTCAATTGTGTTCTTTTAAGTGGAAATATTAGTCAAAAATATGATTTAACTTGCAATACCTATAACCCTAGACTCATTTTTGTCTCCCATGCCCCAGTACACATTTTATGTGTGGTGTAGATTTTGCATGAACACTAAAGCACATATACAACTCTAATTCTTTAACCTTTTTTATTTATATTCAGCTTACCTGTTGATTCGGTGGTAATTACAGAATCTGATGCACAGAGAACAATGTACCCTGGAAGTTGTGTGAAAAAGAATATTGATGGTACAATAGAGGTATTATATTTTTAATTTTTATCTTTTAACTGTTATATACACTGATTTTTCTATCATTTTTATGTCTGGTTTACTATCTAATAAATAGTTGCTGAGAAGTAAGCATAATAAATATGAGGATAATGCCTTATATAGAAAACTCAGAATACACATGTAAAGAAATTTAATCTATTTTTATAGCATAGGTAACACACAGAGGAAGTTAAGTTTGGGGGTTATATTTCCCTTAAATATGTTATAGTTTAAGATTTATCTTGTTTTTTGTAACATGTGGGCTATGTACAAATTAGTTTCAGTGCCCTGGTCAACAAAGCTTTGTCTTCCCAGCATGGGAAGTTGGACAAGGCCATCTCTAGAAAAGTGTTTAGGGGCCAGGTGTGATGGCTCATGCCTGTAATCCCAGCACTTCAGAAGGCCGAGGTGTGTGGATCACGAGGTCAGGAGATCAAGACCAGCCTGGCTAACATGGTGAAACCCCATCTCTACTAAAAATACAAAAAATTAGCTGAGCGTGGTGGCACTCGCCTGTAGTCCCAGCTGCTCAGGAGGCTGAGGCAGGAGAGTCGCTTGAACCTGGGAGGCAGAGGTTGCAGTGAGCTGCGATTGCACCACTGCACTCCAGCCTGGGCGACAGAACAAGACTGTCGCCAAAAAAAAAAAAAAAAAGGGTTTAGGAATCCCCAGAATCCAAGACAATAGGGCTGGGATAATAGAATTAGGCCTATTCCAATAAGGTCCGTATGGTATATAAAAAAGTTCCACATCTTTTAAAGTGCATGCCATCTAACTAAACCACCCCCTGCCTCTGCTCAACATTGTATTATTCTAAATTTCTCACACCTGCAACTTTCTCAAACTGGCAACTGCCAAACCCTGGTCTTCACTCAGTAGATTTTTAGCTCTTAAGTCTTAGAAAAAAGTAAGATCATCGTTCTTCCTCGCTCAGTATACAGAGGAAAGATGTTAGACACATCCTTGATTCTGCTATACTCATCCCATGTCATGATGATTGGTAAATAAAGAAATACTTTCATACTGAGAACATATTTATGTTTTTTAAAAGTTTATGGTTTTTTCTATTGATAAAAGTAATTTGTATTTGTAGAAAGTTAGATAGTATTAATAAATACCAAGAAGAAAACAAAATTTGCTTGTAAGTTTATGAGCAAAGATAGCCACTGTTTAACATTTTACTTAAAAGGAAATCTGTACACACATATATATTTTATTAGTTATATTTAAGTATCCTTTTCCCACTCTAGAACTGTATGTTGGCATTTATAAATATGTAAACATATTTCTCTTTGCATCTTTAAGTTCACGGTAGTGAGTATAATTATTTGGTAGAATTATTTACTAGAATTATTTTTAATTGAGAGAATTAAAATTTATTTTTTGCTGAAAGTATGTAGAACTTTTCTAAAAATACTGATACTTTGGGGAGATTTTGAGGTAGAAGTTTAAAAATAAGTGGTGTATAATTAATGTAAATAAATGTCATATTTTGCTTTTAAATGTAGTTTTCTGGTGAATTTGGAGTGAAAGAGGAAACAAATATCGTTAAGTTGCTTGAAAAACAATACCAAGAACAATTAGAAGAAGAAGTAGCTAAGGTAGGCTTATAGCTTATCTGGAAGATTATCTTGGTTTATATTCCCTTTGAGCCTTCAAAAAGAACATAGATTTTATCGATGGTATGTACTTTATAAGTTTCATATATAGTTCATCTTTAAGTGATTGGATAATATCAATTATAGTTGCCTTTAAACAAAATATCTTGTGAATTTTTATTTGAGAAGAGCATTGTTCTTGATGTAGACTAGTAATTAGAAGCTTTTCAGAATGCCAAAACAAGTCTATGTATTTGTTGCCTTGTGAAGAAGTTTGGTCTTCCTTAAAAGTTGGGAAGAAGATAGGAAAAGAAAGAGAAAGTGGTTGGTCCTCTGTATATATTATCTGTATCTATTTCCAATCAGAGAAGTTTTGTTAGGTAATGACTACAGATACTAAGGGAGGATTATCACTGAGTATTAATTAGCTCCTGGCTAAGTGAAGGAGTTTATCAATGTGAGTTTTGCTCATCTCTGTATGCTTATCCACTGTGTCCAGAGTCATTCTTTAATATTAGCCATATACCCTAGTGTAACATTATGGTTCCATTTGTTTTGTCTTTGTATTCCTTTTCAAAACGTGTATACCTGATTGGCTTTTAATATTGGAACTGGCCGGGTGCAGTGGCTCACGCCTGTAATCCCACCGCTTTGGGAGGCCGAGGCGGGCAGGTCACCTGAGGTCAGGAGTTTGAGACCAGCTTGACCAACGTGGAGAAACCCTGGCTCTACTAAAAATACAAAATTAGCCGGGCGTGGTGACGCATGTCTGTAATCCCAGCTGTTCAGGAGGCTGAGGCAGGAGAATTGCTTGAACCCGGGAGGCAGAGGTTGTGGTGAGCTGAGATCGCACCATTGTACTCCAGCTTGGCCAACAAAAGCGAAACTCCGTCTCAAAAAAAAAAAAAAAAAGATATATGTATATATGAACTATTGAATTATGAGTTTGCTTTTTTTGTATAATATTTCAGCTGTCTTAATATAACAATCCCAATGGAATATGTGCATTTTAAAGGGTTAGGATTGATTGGTAGGATATAAAGGAAATATATAAGGAATTAGGAAAAACATAAATTCGATGAGGAAGTCAAGACCTAAGGAAATATCTGGGCCATAAGGACTTATTCACTTATGCCTAAAGTGAAAAGTGAAACACTATCATTTTTTTTTTATAGCTTTCAATGTCTAGTTCTTGGAGGAATGCAAATTTTCTCTTGCATGTAGCTCTTACACAAATTTATCAAATGGAATGGTGTATCAGGGTATAGTAATTAACATGAGGTTTGGTATTGGATATACCATCCTTTAAATTCTTGTTCTTTTGGTTTACTAGATTTGTGACCTTAGGAAAGTTACTTAACTTGTGAATCTCAGCGTTTTATATGTTGAAAGAGGAAATTGGCTTAGTAGCAATTTTTATAAGGATTCAATGAGCTAATGCATATAGAACACTTAGCAAATGAGTTGATACATAGTAAAGACTCATAAATACTATTTTAAAAGTAGTCATTACTGTGATAATGGTGGTAACATGATGATGTTTTATAAAGCATTACTCACTCAAGCTGATAGCAGAGCACCAAAGTACTGGTCAGTGATGTAACAGACCTGCACGTTGTGCACATGTACCCTAAAACTTAAAGTATTTAAAAAAAAAAGACTCTTCTAAATGCAGCCAAGATACTGTGGTCCAAGAGATTATGTTTGATGGCCCAGCTTGGTCCTAGAATAATATAGATTGTTGATATTAGTCACCAGTACCGATGGGATTATGCTGTACTCTGTACCCCTCAGATATGATAGAAGAAGACTGAGAGCCATTTTTCTTTTCTTTTCTTTTCTTTTTTTTTTTTTTTTTTTTTGAGACAGGGTCTGGCTCTGTCGCCCAGGCTGGAGTACAGTGGCGCAATCTCTGCTCACCGCAACCTCCAACTCCTGGGCTCAAGCCATCCTCCCACCTGAGCCTCCCAAGTAGCTGGTACTACAGGTGTGCACCACCACCCCAGCTAATTTTTTTGTAGAGACAGGGTTTTGCCATGTTGGCCAGGCTGGTCTTGAACTCCTGATCTCAAGCAATCTACTCACCTTGGCCTACCAAAGTGCTGGAATAGCAGGCGTGAGCCACCATGCCTGGCTGAGAATCATTTTTCTAAAAGCACAAGGCTATATAGAAGAAGCCCAATAGTAGTGATTTCCAGTATATATCATATTAGAGTCCTCCTGTGATTTGAGCACATACTACTGAAAGTAGACATTCATTTACATTTCACTGTTAAGCAATGTTCTGGGTGCTGAAGTATAACAGAGAATAAAAGAGGATGAAATCTTTGTTTCCATAGACCTTACATTCCAGTTGGTACAGATAGACAACATACAGATGATGATAAGTACTATGAAGAAAAAAAGCAGGACTAGGAAAATCCATGGGGAGTGAGATGGTGTTATTTTATATAGGGTTGTCATGGAAGGCCTGACTTATGAAGTGACATTAGAGGAAAATCCTAAAGGAAGTGAGGGAGTGAATCAGGAAGATATCAGGTTGAGGACCTTTTAAAGAAATATGAAAGGGAAAGTCAAGAGAGCAAGAGAAAAAGAAAGGTCAAAAATTACTCTAACAGGTGTCTTTAAGACACGGTCAGGAGACTTGACTAGAGTTTGTGGAGGCTGCTTGCCCAGCTGCTACCTCTGGTGAGTTGGAGGACAATTCAGTTTAATCCTGCAACTCCCATATTCATGGTGAAATATTGTGAAATCCTGGCACAGATTTGTCTTTTCTGCAGATGTAACTGGATACAGGAGGAAGAAATCAGGGAAAGACAGCAAGGGCTCACACTTCCGGTGAATTTATATAGGTAGAGTTGTATTGTAGTGTATATATCTATATATATATATATATATTTTTTTTTTTTTTTTTTTTTGAGATGGAGTTTCACTCTTGTCGCCAGGCTGGAGTGCAGTGGCACAATCTCAGCTCACTGCAACCTCTGCCTCTGGATTCAAGTGATTCTCCTGCCTCAGCCTCTCAAGTAGCTGGGATTGCAGGCACGCACCACCACACCCAGCTAATTTTTGTGGGTTTTTTTTTTTAGTAGAGATGGGGTTTCATCATGTTGGCTGTAACTCCTGACCTCAAGTGATCCACCCACCTCGGCCTCCCAAAGTACTGGGATTACAGGTGTTAGCCACCATGCCCTGCCTGTAGTATTCTTTTATCATTTAATGTCTGTGGCATCTGTAGTGTTATCCCTATTTCTCACCTTTTTGTCAGATTGGCTAGAGGTTTATTGATTGTATTGATAATATTAAGGATTCAGCTTTTTGTTTCATTGTTGTTTTTATTGTTTTTGTTTTTATTTTCAATTGCTACCCATATCTTTTTGATATCCTTTTTCTGCGTGCTTTGGACTTAATTTGCTCTTCTTCTGCTTTTCTAAAAGGAATTTCTTTTCTAATGTATGCATTTAATGCTATACTCGAAAGCATAGCGTTACAGCTTTAAACATTATAGCTTGTAAGTATAGCAATGCTTCCTCGTAAGCAATGTTTAAAGCTGCATTCTGCAAATTTTCATTCAATCCAAATATATTATTTCCCCCGTGACTTCCTCTTTGATTCATGGGTTATTTAGAAATGTACTGATTTCCACATTTTTATGATTTTCAGATAGCTTCCCATGGTTAACTTAATTAATTTTTAAGTTTCTTTGTGGTCTGGCAAAATACCTCATATAATTTCAGTTCTTTTAAATTTGATGCCCAAAATATGGTCTTTTCTGGGTGAAAGCTCCATGTGTACTTGAAAAGAGTATGTGTTTTGCTGTTATTTAAATTTCAGATTTCCCTCTGGTGCCATTTTTCTTTAGCCTAAAAACCTTCCTTTAGCATTTCTTTTAGAACAGGTATGCTGACAATGAGTTCAACATACAACGAATTTTATGTTGTCTAATTTTGAATTGTATATTAAATGTTTTGTGTTTTGTATGCTCTGGATGTCATTATAATTCTTTGAAGAATGTGAATTTTTTAAAAAAATAGGCAGTCCACCCAGTTAGGTTCAGACTAAAAATCCTGTTTCTTCTTTCCCATACAAATCACCTAAGTTTTGACTTCCCTCTGCAGTCTCCTAGCCATTGTTTACTCTTCAGAATTCTTTAGTTGTTTTGTATTGTGCTCAGAGTTTTTAGGTAATCAGTGGGAGAAGCAGGCTGTAGTGGGCTTATTTTATGTTGCCTGGAAGCACAGTCTTTGTGTTTTCTTATTCCACAATTCAGATGCAATTATTGCCTTATAGCATCAGTATTTCAATTTACCCACATTTTTTTTTTAAAAAGGATGTTTACGCTCTAATCCTTTTTGCATCTTAGGCCATCCTTTTAGAATCTTATTTCTTTTTGAAGAAAATTCTTTAGAAGTTTTTTTTTTTTTAACTGATTATCTATTGGGAGTAAACTATGTTTTTTAGTTGTCTTTATTTTATGTCTTTATTGTGTTTTTATCCATAAAAGTTTGTTTTGTTTACTGTTTGAACCTGGTTAGCAGTTATTTTTATGCCAGAACTTTGAAGGTAACATTCCAGTGTTTTCTGATTTCTTGTTTCTGTCGACAAGGTCCTTGTCACTTTGTTGTTCCCTCGTAGGTAATACGTCTTTTTTCTTTAGCAACATTTAAGATCTTCTTTTTGATTTTGGTGTTCTCTTTTCTCCTTTTTTTTTAATTTTTTTTATTTTAAGAGATGGGTCTGTCAGCCAGGCTGGAGTGCAGTGGTGTGATCATAGCTCACTGTAGCCTTGCACTCCTGAGCTCACACAATCCTCTCACCTCAGTCCCTGGAGTAGCTCACCACACCCAGCTACAAATGTTTTTGTAGAGATGAGGTATTTGTTTTTATTATAATTCATTGATCATCTTGAATCTTGGCAGTGGTATCTTCTGTAAATATTCTCAGCCATTATCTCGTGAAATAGTTCCTTTCCATTGTTCTCTATTATATCCTCCTGGAACTCTAATTAGATGTTGGTTGACCATTCTCTATCCTTCATATCTCTGTTCTTCTCTTTCATATTTTTAATCCTTTTGTTCCATGTTACATTCTTAATATATTCAGTATGAAGAGACAGAGGCAGATCAGGTTCAAGACAGGAAATTAAAGCAAAACTCAGTCATAAGGTTTTGATCACTAGTTACAGAAGGTTAAAAATATGTTTTGTTAAGTTGTATTCTATGGTTAATTATTTTTAATTATCTTTGTCTTTTGACATTTTGCCGTAATGGGTATATGTTCCAGATGACATCGTTGTTACCAAACCCTGGTTCTTTCTGAGCTAGCATAGGCACCCAGAGGTCCAATTTGGTAGGTGAGATATGGTACCAGGATTATCTGGGAAGAAACAGAATGGCATATAATGTTTAAGGTGCTTGAGCTCTGTATAGACACATTTTGATTCAAATTTCTGCCGTAATATTTATTAAATATGTGACCTTTGATGTGGTTCCTAATGTTGCAGCACTTGAATTTTCTCTGCATTGGCTACTGGTATTATAATTATTCCTCAAGTCAGTTTTAGCATTATACTTCTAGACAGATTCATTTAGTTGTGGAATAGTATAATGTTACCTTTTAGAAAGTGAGCTTAGGCAAGATTATAGGATTTTGAACCCCAGCTTCAATGATTTATTTGCTTTGTGTTTTTGAGTCAAATTACTCCAAAGGAGGCTAGCACAGGAACCAGGTGGGAATCAGGACCCCAGATAGGTGAATCACATTCAGGACAGGAAATTAAAACTAAAGTTCAGTTATATGACCTGGACCAGCAAGGAAAATAATGCTGCAGATCAGTAAATACAAATATTTCTAATCCCAGGCATACTTTATTCTGGGTTTATTACAGCCAGCCTTCTTTCATTATAAATTATCTATGGAAAAAGGACTTAAAGTTATTGATACGGTTGGTTCTCAAAGGTGTAGGGACTTGTCAGAGCCAAAACTGCTAGTCAGAATTCCTAAGTACCTGTGCTGGGGTGGGATGGGAGGCTAGAATAAGCAGGGATTCAGGATCATAGTTGTAGTGAAAGGTCAAATTGGATTATAATGAAATGTCTACTCATATTTACCAGTCATACAAACTAAGTGTTCCGCTTCTGGGAATTTGTTTTGAGGAAATAAGAAAAGATATGCACAATTATATAATTACAAATATTTCATCACACTGGTGTTTAAAATAGTAAAAGACTGGAATCACTCTAAATGTCCAATATAGAGAATTGATTTAATAAACTTATACTACATCTATGTAATATGAAACTTTGAACCCATTGGAAATTACATAGAAATGTATTTCTATTTCTTAACTTGAAGAGGTATTTACTATAGTTAAGCTACAAAAACTGGTTACAGTATTAGAATATGATCACGTTTTTATAGGAAAATTATATCTGTATCTATTCATATCTATCTCTGCAAAGAAGAATAAGAAGATTTGGGAAAGTATTCACTAAAATGTTTACATTGATTTTTCTTGGAAGAGAGAAATATAAGGGCTTTTATTTTCTAATTTTTACTGAACATTTATGTCTGTTATAATAAGAAAACATTTTACTTTTTATTTAAAGTGGCAGGCAGTAAAATAAATACTTTGACATTAGATTTATTGTAAAAAGAGAATCCATCTCGGTATTACTTTATTATAGGATTTCTTTTTGTTTAGAACCGTGAGGCCATGCTTTTTTCTGTTTATACAATTTTGAGTACTAATTTACTTTTTAAATTCCTGCTGATATTTCTAAATCTAATCCTTTATTGTTTGCTTTTATTTCTTTAGGTTATTGTGTCAATGAGTATAGCATTTGCTCAACAAACTGAACTGTCTAGAATATCTGGGGGAAAAGAAAATACTGCATCATCAAAGCAAGCACATGCTGTGTGTCAGCAAGAACAACATTATTTTAATGAAATGAAATTATCACAGGATCAAATTGGTTTTCAGACTTTTGAGACAGTGGATGTGAAATTTAAAGAAGAATTTAAACCACTTAGTAAAGAGTTAGGAGAACATGGAAAGGAAATTTTATTATCAAATAGTGATCCCCATGATATACCAGAATCAAAGGACTGTGTGCTGACTATTTCAGAAGAAATGTTCTCCAAAGATAAAACATTTATAGTTAGACAGTCTGTAAGTATGCCTCCTTGAATATAAAAAACTTATTTAAAAATTGTGAATTCTTTCACTTTAAAAATATTAGCAATAGTGCTGCTTAATGTTTGGAGGAGGAAAAT
Organism: Homo sapiens; assembly: GCF_000001405.40. Classification (NCBI taxonomy): domain Eukaryota; kingdom Metazoa; phylum Chordata; class Mammalia; order Primates; family Hominidae; genus Homo; species Homo sapiens. The sequence continues at coordinate 92,038,877 of NC_000007.14, forward strand.
ATCAAATTCAGTCTTATGACTCACGTTGTTTTGTTTTGTTTTGTTTTTGAGGCTGAGTCTCACTCTGTCGCCAGGGTGGAGTGCAGTGGCATGATCTCGGCTCACTGCAACCTCCATCTCCCAGGTTCAGGCGATTCTCCTGCCTCAGCCTCCTGAGTAACTGGGACTCCATGCGCGTGCCACCACATCCAGCTAATTTTTGTATTTTTAGTAGAGACAGGATTTTACCATGTTGGACAGGATGGTCTCGATCTCTTGACCTTGTGATCTACCCTCCTCAGCCTCCCAAAGTGCTGGGATTACAGGCATGAGCCACCGTGCCCAGCCAGTTCACACTGTTAATGTGTTTTATTAATTGTAAGATATATGGATAAGTGACTTAATATTAGTATCAAATAAAACAAGTCTGGTTCATAGTATTCTTGTTTATCTTAAAGATGTTGTACCTGGTAAAATCCCATTGTAAGTTGTACGTACATTAATTCTGTTTCAACCAATTCAAGATTAATTATACTACAATTTGGTAATATCTGTGAATAAAAGATTTGCTTAATTAAATATAACAACATTAGAAGGAAATAGCTACCTATTTAGGAAGACTAAAAGATTTTACTATCTATATCCTAATTCTTGATTTATGTACTTATTTATTAATAGAAGATCCATTCTGTGTCTGTACCTCAACTGTTCACTGCCTTTAACAGAAAGTAATAAATCCTACTTCTTTTAACATTATCTGAATTAAAATTTTTTATTAATATTCAGGATAGGTTATGTTTTGTTCAGACTAATATTCAAGTAAAATTGCCAACTCCAGGCCGAGTGTGGTGGCTCATGCCTGTAATCCCAGCACTTTGGGAGGCCGAGGCAGGTGGATCACTTGAGGTCAGGAGTTCGAGACCAGCTTAGCCAACATGGTAAAACCCCCTCTCTACTAAAAATACAAAAATTAGCTGGGCATGGCAGTACATGCCTGTAATCCCAGCTACTTGGGAGGCTGAGGCAGAGGAATCACTTGAACTGGGGAGATGAAGGTTGCAGTGAGCCAAGGTGGTGCCACTGCACTCCAGCCTGGGTGACACCAAGACTCCCTCTCAAAAATAAATAAAATAAAATTGCCAACTCTTTATGGAATGCAAAACTTGTTAGGTGTTCTTCAAGACCTCTTTAATTTACCAGCAACTGTTCAAAGCAAAATTATTTGTATAAGTAACATTCCTCCAGGAAATGATGTACTCGTAGAACATATTAAGGAGTTGACTTCTTATGAGTGTGAGACTCTGGAATGTAAAGCTTTTATCTTCAAATAAAATGTATTGAAAATTATTTTTTATCAGTAGTTCTCTGTAGTACTGTGATAACCACTGTGTAAATTAAATGGGTAGTTTCTCATGTTTCATACATTTAATTTTAAAATATAAATATTCCATGGATATTATTTTCCCTTCATAAAATGTCAAGAGGAATAATGGCATTATAGCTTCGTTAAGAGTAGAAGGAATCTTAAGTATCTTAGTTCTTTTTTTTCTATTAGAATTAGATTAAGTCTAAACTAATTGATAAATAGCTGTTTTGCTTTTGGAAAATAATGATAAAGTAGCTTTATGTTGTTTTAGAGTTGTAATTAAGAAAAACACCATTTTAAAAATTATGTTTTTGTTTAATAATAAAATATCACATGCTTTATGGGATAAGGAATAGAATTGCTTTCGTATTTGTTTACAATATTAATGCTGACAGATTTTTACAAAATGTGTTATGGTTGAATTGTTTTTTTTTTTTTTTTTACTATTAAAGATTCATGATGAGATTTCAGTGTCAAGCATGGATGCTTCTAGACAACTAATGTTGAATGAAGAACAGTTGGAAGATATGAGACAGGAACTTGTACGACAATACCAAGAACATCAACAGGCAACGGAATTGTTAAGGCAAGCACATATGCGGCAAATGGAGAGACAGCGAGAAGACCAGGAACAGCTACAAGAAGAGATTAAGAGACTTAATAGACAATTAGCCCAGGTAAGGGTCTTGTAGTCCCCTTTCTCTCCCCAGTTATTTTTTTTTCCAAACACCAACTTGAACCAGATCCCCAATTAAAACAACAGTATTTTTTATGTAGCCATAATTTTTTTTTTTTTTTGCCGAAATCTGAATAAACTACATATATTTAGCATCAGGAACACACTCTATACTAAGACAGCAGCTTTAGATCTTGTTAGGGACACCTATCTCAACCTTGGAGTGGGCATTGTCTTTCTGTCATTTTATTTAACTCCTTTTTCAAGCACTGGAAAAGTGGCTACACGGTTTTGTTTTTTTCTTTTAAATCATTCCATTAGCCATATATAGCAAACTCACTTTGACATTTTGGAAATAACATTGTGCTGAGGTGCTCCATTATGCAGTTACTATCATTCAGTTTTACTATCTTCATTTATAGTTTTGTGAGTCCACCAATTAGCATCTCGAAGGTTTACCTTTATCTGTCTTTAATCCATCTTTTTAATCATGAATGGAAATCGGAAGTAGTATGCTTCTGAAACTCTTTCCAGGGAAACATCTCTTCTTGATTTGAGAAATGCAAATTTATTTAACATTCTTATCCCTTTCTTGACTAAATTTAAATACTTCTTGGTATTTGGGAGCTGGATTCTTGTCAACTGCTGTATAAAATATACTCACAAAACCATTGCAGAAAAGCAAGAAATATTTATGTAGAAGTTCTTATGAAAACTTATTGAATTTAATTTTGAAAACTGAAGCTAAGAGAGATAATAAATATCTAGAGATAACTATTAACAGTATTCTTTCAAACATAAAATAATAAGATAATTGGGAGCTGAGCATAAAACATTATTTGGAAAAATTAACTTTGCTTTTCTTCATTGCATTTTGTGAATTCAAACTTCTTAATTTTCAATGCAAAATTGACAAAAATTAATTGAACTGCACAAATTCCTGAATATATAGACTTAATTGGCTTTTAAAAAATATTTTAAATTTTGCATTGATCTTTGTATATACTTTTAACCCCTTACGATGGAATATGAATCATAAGTAGAACCAGGGCCTGTTGGTCCCGGGGGTTAAAAGAAATCTGCTTAATATTTCTACCCTTTTTCTCTATCACAAACAGTATTCTTTCATGACCTTTTTTCTTATTTAGAGATCCTCCATAGATAATGAAAACCTGGTTTCAGAGAGAGAGAGGGTGCTTTTAGAGGAGCTGGAAGCACTAAAGCAGCTGTCTTTAGCTGGAAGAGAGAAGCTGTGTTGTGAGCTGCGCAACAGCAGTACGCAAACACAGGTAGTATGGACTTTGCCCCACCTAGGAGCAATGGATCACCAATTCAGTAGGATTTGTTTGTCTTTGTTGTTGGTATGAGATGTATTCTTTTATAGGTACTGAGCTTAACATATTTGTGACTGCATGTGTGTAAGGTAGGTGGAGTCAAAATGCCTTACATTTCATTTAAGGTAATTTGAATCTGACATTCTGTTAACAGCAAGTATTGTTTCACCAAAGAGAACCTAACAAACTTTATTGTTGCACTACAGCATGGATAATTTGAACCCATTAAAATTTTTTATTTGTGTACGAGAATGTTTTATCCTCTTTTGATAACACTAATCTCGAGTGTAGTTAAATATTATACCAACCAGTATCAATTTTGTGCACAGAGGTTTCTATTTTATCTCATACCAATATAGAAGAATGACATGCTGTTTCCAAGTTGACAGGTTTTCTTTCTGTCTTCTCCTCTCTTCCTTTACACAAACTTAAACAGAATGGAAATGAAAACCAAGGAGAAGTTGAAGAACAAACATTTAAAGAAAAGGAATTAGACAGAAAACCTGAAGATGTGCCTCCTGAGATTTTGTCTAATGAAAGGTATACAAAATGTGTACTTTTTCAGTGCAAAGTAAATTAAAATGGTTGTTTCAATGTAATAGACTTTGTCCTTATTTTTATCTTGTACATTGATACTTTGTCTTAAAAATCATCATACCATCTGTGTATGAAACATGTCCATGTATGTGTAGTATGTAAAGGATTTTCAGTTTTTCATCATTAAATAGATAACATTTTAAAAAAATCTTTTCTATATAAATTTTGATTGGATATTAATCACATACTTAACTGTTAATCACCTGATGTTAGCAAAACTTTTCCTTACTTTGATTTTGTAGAGGTTAATATAAAAATGTGAAATATTAAGTGAGAATAGTTATCCTACATTAGTATTAAAGACTTTAAGCACAATATTTTAAACTTTGTTTTGTTCAAATGAAAATAATTTCTTTAATTTTAAATTAAAACTAATATTTACTTCTTAATTTCCTCCTTTTCCAATTTCTGTGACTGTCAACCCTCTTGTGTCCTCCTAACCTCCTTCCTCAGCTTGCATGGAGGAATTTGGCCCCTAAGATTTTGGCTTCCCCATTGGATCATCAGTATGGAACGCAGTCAGTATGGAACTCAAACAAGAAAGACAGTGTATGAAAATTAGAGTTACCACGGCAATATAAAATAAACACTTTGTTTATTTTATATTATTTATCTCTAATTGGTAAATTTTGAAAACTATGCAGTATTTAATTTCTAGGAATTTTTATAGTAAGTGCCAATAAAATGAGTATTTTTTTTTAACCACCATATTAATTTTAATCATTTCTCTTAAGTAGAAATATTTTCACATTATTCTAGTTCTGGGGTTTGGGGCTTAAACAAAACCTCAGAACAAGTTAAGGAAATAAAACCCTTGGCTTCCTACTAAATTAGTTTAGTTTTATTTTTAGTATTCTTGATTATATAAGCAGAGAACTTGATCTAGGTGCAAAAATAGAACCGTCTCTTTCACTTGACAAATACTAACGGAAAACTTCTCCATTTATTATCTTGTCTTAAAATAGATATGTCATGTGCCTGTGAAACAGGTATCCTTTAGCCTGATTTTTGGCAAGCTCCTACAGTGTGAAGCTAAAAGATAAAACTGTCTTAAGGCAGAAGACCTTTACCATGAAAATCTTTTATTTTGTCTGCATGTATAAAGTGTGCCTTTGTTGAACTGAGTTGCTAGGACAAGAGAGTTGTTTAGTTTTTAAGAAAATTAATCAGGCAGTCTTCTGAATCACCATTTATGGAAGTAGCTTTCTTTGCATGGTAGAATGTTCATGTTAAGCAAAAAAGAGAGTGTACAAAAACACTTTGTTCGGGATGATCTCATTTTTGTTTTTAAAATACGTATATATTTATAAGAGAGGCAGGAGGAAAAGTCTAGAAATACAGGCATTAAAATTGTAATAGTGATTGCTGAGGTTTTTTGGTGAGTGGTTAGCAGTATTTTCCAAATTTTTTAAAATAAGGATTACTTTTTAAAAAGAGAGACACACCAAATTCATTCTAGTTGAAAACAGGTTTCTTCTGCCGACTTAAATGAGTGTGGTGAGTGTAACTTGAGAAATTTCTGTCCCTGGAGCAGATGTAATAAAAACGGCCTATGATACTCTCTGTGGTGTTGACAGATAGTGAAATTTCATTACAGACCTTTTTAAAAACACATCGCTGCCTAACTATTACTTTTTGTAATTTAAACATTCAGCTCATTACCATTAACTTGTACAAATACTACCACATAATTTTTTCTGGTGTGATTTTAAAATTATGTTTCAAAATATGTTTTTATGTTTAACATATAGAAAGATTTAAATGTGCAAAATACATATGTATAACCATGGGCAGCAAGCTCAATAACTTGCATATGCTTTGGCACTACCATACTTTTTAAAACTTAAATTTTGTCTCCCAAGATTTTCTCTTAACCTAGTTACTGGCTTAAGACTTTAGTTATTTTTTTCAAGTCAATTAAATACCGTACATTTTAAAAAATGGTATGATTAAGCTAATTGGCCAAAATTTTTCAGACAAAAACAAATCATTTTATAATATAGTTACAAATAAAAAACAAGAAGCACTTTATTGTAGATGCTATTGGGTATTTTAATAAAAAGGATCATCTGTTATTTTTCAAATCAAATATTTTGCAGTGTACTTTTTAGTGGACATAAGCAAAGTGTTTGCTTCAAAAATATTAAACATTTTAATCAGTGCTTCTTTATCTATACAGGTATGCACTCCAGAAAGCTAATAATAGACTTTTGAAGATCCTCTTAGAAGTTGTAAAGACAACAGCAGCTGTTGAAGAAACAATTGGTCGCCATGTCCTTGGGATTCTAGATAGATCTAGTAAAAGCCAGTCATCTGCCAGCCTAATTTGGAGGTCAGAAGCAGAGGCATCTGTAAAGTCATGTGTCCATGAGGAACATACAAGAGGTACTAGTTTTCTGTGTTGTGGAAACAATCATTTCAACAAATCTGCTGAGTTCAAGGCATTTTGCCATGTGTTGAAAATATAGAAGAGAAAATAAGTATTTTCCAGCAAATGGACCTTCAAACAGAAATACATTAGAGCAACTCTTTTCAAACACCATTATTGTATAGCATTTGCAAGTGGGTATCATAGAGTTGTCATTATATTTACCCAGGGTTGCCACAGTGCCTACATAAACCAGAATGCTGTTACATTTCTCCACCGATAAAAGAAAATTTATATATCAGCACTTAGTACTCTTACCAGTATCTGTGAGGTATGGATGACATCCTGAAACCATCCTATAGATTAAGGAAAGATTAGAAATAAAGACTTTTTAGGAACCCAGCACCAGCTTCATGTACCTGTTGAAATGGTTAGAAGAAAGTCTTGATAAGAAACCCAAGATTTGGTGTTACCTTTGGACTGTCCTTTGCTAGATTCTTTCTTCCTTTTGAAAAAGTGAGTTGAAATATTACACAATGTGTATGGATCCAGAGATTAGGTCCTGATATGCCAGAGCTGTCTTCGTAACTCTGTCTTCCTTCAGCTGTGTGGATTCAGCTCTTCTTTCCGTTTCTTTTTTTTTTTTTTTTTTTTTGAGACAGAGTCTTGCTCTGTCGCCCAGGCTGGAGTGCAGTGGCGCAGTCTGGGCTCACTGCAACCTCTGTCTCCCGGGTTCAAGCAATTCTCCTGCCTCAGCCTCTCAACTAGCTGGGACTACAGGTGCATGCCACCATGCCCAGCTAATTTTTGTATTTTTAGTAGAGACAGGATTTTACCCTGTTAGCCAGGCTGGTCTTGAATTCCTGACCTCAGGTGATCTCCCTGGTTTGGCCTCCCAAAGTGCTAGGATTACAGGCGTGAGCCACCATGCCCGGCCTCTTCTTTCTATTTCTTCCCATCACATTGCTGAACTCCATTGTCTCTTGTTTTTTCAATTTCTTTTTCCTTGTAGGAGAGGGAAATGAGGAAATCAAAAGAGGGGAAAAGTTTTGTGAGATGGAGAAACATAGGATGTGGACTCCTGGCTCACAAGATCAAGCCCACAGTTCACTACCATTCCACACTCAAGCACTTCTCCCATAGAGGCAGACCTAAAATGCCAGTTTTTGTAATTTTTGAGAGAATTCTGTTTGTTAAATTTCATGTGGAGAAATGAAAAGAAATTATCCCATTTATGGAAGGTTTGCCTAATTATAAGTTGGCCAGTAGTGTGTTTCTAGGTACAGAGAAAAGCTTGATTTGGAATTGCAAATAAAACTGATTTTTAAACACCTTAGCTGAGTTCAAAGATAGTTTTAAAAATTGTTTTTAGTAAATTAAGAGCTGAAATAATACTGAATTTTAAACCTTGCTTTCAAATTCACTCTTTTCAAACTTGGTGGAAGGATTTTTCAAATTAACTTCACTCTTGGTTAAGCTCTCAGTCACGGCTATTTTATTTCTGCATATGGATCTTTATAGAGAAGAATTAGGTAACATTTTCTTGGTCTGATAAAAGTGTTTATCAAATTATGCTTTTTAAAAAACAATTATTTCACAAGCTTGTTTCACTTAACCATTTAGGGAGGGATTTTGCTGTTCTGCTGGTAAGACCTAGACCAGGTTGACTGCCATATTCAGAAGAGACTCTGAGAATGTTCTGTGCATTACAGATGTATTTTGTGCTTTTGTTGTTGTTGTTAGCAGTTCTCTTAGATACTTCTCAACATGGCTGCCAAAGTATTCAGCAGACAACATACCTTGAAAGACAGTGAACTTACTTCCAGAGCACTGTCTCCATAAAAGGGAATAAATGGATAATTTAACTCAAGCACAGAGGATTATATTTATGTTCATTTTCCATGAGAAAGCAGACCTAAAAAGACTTCTGATCCACTAGCCTATTTTCTTGCATAAGTGTATCTAAATCTTCCAACACACATGAAATATGTATATCCTATTTTAAGATACAGTAATGGTTTTCTTTCCTTTTTTTTTTCCTTTTGAGTCTCGCTCTGTCACCTAGGCTGGAGAGCAGTGGCGCAATCTCTGCTTACTGCAACCTCCACCTCCTGGGTTCAAGCCATTCTCCTGCTGCAGCCTCCCAAGTAGCTGGGATTACAGGTGCCTGCCACCATGCCTGGCTAATATTTTTGTATTTTTAGTAGAGACAGGGTTTCACTATGTTAGCCAGGCTGGTTTCGAACTCCTGACCTCAAGTGATCCACCAACCTCGGCCTCCCAAAGTGCTAGAATTACAGGCGTGAGCCACTGCGACTGACCATAGTTTTCAATTATAAGCAATTTTATGAGTTTAATTCTGCAGACATTTACTGAGCTATTTCTCTATGCTCTCAGCTTTACAGCAATTCATAGTCTAATGAAGAAGTCATTGCTATTCTGATTCAAAGCAAAATAGAGTCATAATATTTAATATTTTGCCTAAAACCACTACGTATATTTGAATCAACTAAAACCTTTAAAATTTTAGTTATTTAACTGTTGACCGATTCTGAAAGAATAATATTGAGATAAGAGAAAAAGCTAAATCCACAGTTAAGAAATATAGTGTATAGAATATTGTAGCAGAGATAATTTTGCTAGGATTAGTATCATTGGTTACATTTACTTTCCATTTAGTTAACTCCATCTTACTGTTTTTATGTTTAGCAGCAGTGTGATCATCTTACTAATAAAATTGGAGCAACCACTAATATTACTGGGGGACAGTTAATGGATCCATCTTGCATCTTTAAGGATATATTGAGTTAATAGAATTTATAATTTAAAATTTTTAATTTTTATATAAACCTGAAAGAAAATACTGGCTTTAAAATATTAACACTGTGTTCCATATGTAAGAATTTTTTCTGACATTCCTTCATAAATATAATGGGAGCATTATTTTTAAAAATGAAAAACTTTTGACAGTTTTATGTTTTTTAGTATAACAAAAAAATTAAACCAGTCTAATTGCGAAGCAACTTTTGCTTTTCAGTTTTCATATATGACTTTTTGTTGTAACACTTCTGATGTGTTTTCAGCCTTCAGGTCTGAACTTGTTTCGATTTTAAACATGTATGGACTTGTTAACACTCAAAAAGTAAAGAATAAAGTTGCTAATATTTGCTTCCTCATAAGAGTAACCTAGTTTATGAAATTGAAGGGAAATTTTGAGCTAACATAAAATCACTTAAACCTGAATGAATATTAGATCAGTTCATAAAAATGAATTCCCCAGGTTGTGTTGAAAAAAAAATTTCCTTTAGGTCTTCACTGTGATGATTCAGTGGTTTTATGCTCACCTCTCCCATAGGAGGCCAGGGATGGAATCTTGTCTGCTGCTGCCTCCTTTTGGAGAAATGCTGTCTTATAGAAGGAATGCTAGGGGCTGAGAGTCATGGCTCATGCCTGTAATCCCAACACTTTGGGAGGCCAAGGCGGGCAGATCACCTGAAGTCAGGAGTTCAAGACCAGCCTGGCCAACATGGTGAAACCCCGTCTCTACTAAAAATATGAAAATTAGCCAGGTGTGGCGGCACATACCTGTAATCCCAGCTATTCGTGAGGCTGAAGCAAGAGAATGCTTGAACCCAGGAGGTGGAGGTTGCAGTGAGCCGAGATCACACCACTGCACTAATCAGAAGGCCTTGTTTTCTTTTTTTCTAGTTCATTGTGATATTGGGCAAACCTCTTAAGTCTCCCAGGGCTTCAGTACAGTTTTCTCAACTGTCAGATCCAGGGTCAGACTAAAGCCTAGTGGTTTCCATTGGAGCCATTAGAGATTCAGAGAGCCTTTGGGGCAGAGAAGGCTTTATCACATTGCCTATCCCACTTAAACCTGAGGAGTTTATCGTTACCTGTCAGGGAATGAACATGATATAATCCATAAAGTTAATAACTAAAGGACTTGAATAACCATCATTTACTATGTTTTAAGACATAAATCCAAGAGGTTCACCAATTTGAAATGATTCTATTTACCAAACTGGATGTTCTAAGATTATTATTGGCATCTTGTGAAGTTCCCCTGCTAATCTATATTATCCTCTGAATTTTTCCCTCCAAGACTGGTTATTAAAAATAAAGTTTAGGGCCAGGCACAGTGGCTCACACCTGTAATCGCAGCACTTTGGGAGGCTGAGGTGGGTGGATCACACGGTCAGGAGATCGAGACCGTCCTGGCTAACATGGTGAAACCCCATCTCTACTAAAAATACAAAAAATTAGCCAGGCGTGGTGGTGGGCGCCTGTAGTCCCAGCTACTTGGGAGGCTAAGGCAAGAGAATGACGTGAACCCCGGAGGCGGAGCTTTCAGTGAGCGGAGATCCAGCTACTGCACTCCAGCCTGGGCGACAGAGTGAGACTCCATCTCAAAAAAAATAATAATAATAAAATAAATAAATAAATAAAGTTTAAGCTTGATGTCTTTCTCATATTTCTATTTTATAGGATTTTTTTAAATTTGGTTTTTTCTTGGAACATATTCAGATTATTTCAGATTGTTTATACTTTCAAAATGTTATTAAGAAAATACCTTAAGCTAGGTGACGTCTTTGCCTTTTCTAGGTACTTTAATGTCTATTTTTAAAAATTAGCCATTTGGCTTAAAAAAGCCAGAGGCCTTTTATAAGTCACTTTCACGCACCCTCTTTATTTTGTGCTTGAGATTTGCTCCCATCTAATACACCATACCTTCAATCTTTTCCTCATGTTGATTCCTTCTCTATAGCCCAAAACATTAGACTGTCTTCATACTGCCTTAAAAATTTAAGAAGTGTTGAATTTTCTCACCTTTGTTCCCTGCTCAAGGTAAATTTCAGCAAACTTTTTTTTTTTTTTTTTTTGAGACGGAGTTTTGCTCTATCGCCCAGGCGGGAGTGCAGTAGTGCAATCTTGGCTCACTGCAACCTCCACCTCCTGGATTCCAGTGATCCTCCTGCCTCAGCCTCCCAAGTAGCTGGAACTACAGGCACGTGCCACCATGGCCAGCTAATTTTTGTATTTTTGTAATTTTTTTTTTTGTATTTTTGTATTTTTTAGTAGAGATGGAGTTTCACCATATTAGCCAGGCTGGTCTTGAACTCCTGACCTCGTGATCCACCTGCCTCGGCCTCCCAAAGTGCTGGGATTACAGGCATGAGCCACCGTGCCCAGCTGATTTGACAACTGGGAGGTCAGTGTTGTCCTCTGAGAGAGCAGCTTTGGTACTGCAGGAATAGAAATCAAGGCTGGTAAACACAGGAGTCTCCATAGCATCTTCCCAGTCGTTGTCTTGTTTGTCTTTCTAGACAAATAACATTACTAAAGTGTCTTGAAGCCGTCTCTTTTTGTCTGTTGGAACATCTCTCTCCTGCCTCTCTCTGATATTTTTTAACACAGGTTCTTTTGTTAGATTATGATATACAGAGACTTCAACTTTGTCTTCCTTCTCTCACTGAGTATTACTCCTAGGACAAATGTATCTACTTCCAAGGTTTCAACTCTCACCTTTCTACAAATGACTCCTAAGTCATTGCAGACCCAAAATTCCAACAGTTGACTCATCTTCACAAATCCCATTAACACTTCAGACTAATCATTTTTCATCCCTACTCTGTATACTTTTTCCTGATTTTTTAGTATTTTTCTTAATGATTTCTCTGTCACCTAAGAATCATCTAAGCTGGAAGCCCAGAGTCATCTTACGCATATCTTCTTTCCTTGTCTTCTTCTACATTGTCTTCTCCAACCTGTGCTTTCTCAATTTTTTCTCCTTTAACTTACCTCTGCATTGCTACAATTTGCTTCCTGATGCACATATTTGATATTATCTTCTTATTCAAAATATGATTTACTCTTTCCATTTGTTTATAGCAAAACCCCTAAGGTTCCTATAAAATTTAAGACCATTTACAACTTGAATCCAGCTTACTTTCCAGCTACCTTCTTTTAGCTCTCTCACCTACCTCACCACTATTTCTCCATGTCCCTTTGCCCTAAAAAGCCTAGAGTTCCCATCGTATCACACTGTTCCCTTTGCGTCACATTTCTGTACCCATGAGAAAGAAAATGTTACTAGAATGCATTTAATTTCTCACATAAAGATGCTGTAAATTCCAAGATTATCTTGCACTTCTAAATGTTTTCAAGGCATTCAATTTTGAGCACATGGAGTAATATAAATAAGTACCAGTGTAGCTGATGTGTTTTTTACTTTGGAGAATAAGGATACAAAGTGAAAGTTGTATTTACTGTTACCTTAAGAATTAGATAAACCTGTATATAATGGGAAACATTTAAAATCATGCCTTAAAATGCAATTTTGGGCTCTACAGCCAGTGACTTACAAAGAGGACATGCTTAGTGAATATTGAATTGTGCTGAATTCAGGTCTTGCGTCTGAAGCTGTATCTGATGTCATTACTACATAGATTAAGAAAATGTGGCACCAGCTACTTTAGCAAGACAAGTTCTAATAAGTAGCTCTTATTTTGAGTGAATGTGTCAAACTGAATGCTTATTCCAAGCACTTGGTACATGAAGATTTCCTCTGCTTTAATTGGTTAACTTTGTACAGTTACTGATAACAAATATGTACTACATGTAATAAAAGAATAGGTAATGCCTCTTCAGGAAACTTCACTGTTGAGTTGTAACATCTGCCACAAAGGAGTATTTAATGGCAGTGGTGAATAGCCTATGCTTTTATTATAGCTTAGAGAAAATACTTGGAAAGCTTATCTTCTACCCATGCAAACTCATTTTTTTTTAACATAAGAAATAAGAATAGTGTGGGTAATGTGGATAACAATGTCCAAAGTTAAATTAGACCTGCTCATCAGTCTAATCTTATCCCAGTATTCCTCTTAAAACAGTAGCAAGCAACAAAATGATCTCAGTTCCTTTTACTGTGTAGCCAAAGCAGATGATATTGCCCAGTGTTGGATCAAAAGTTAGTCATCACCAGATAAATTCAAGCACTTATTTCTATCCTGTACTCCCAATGTAGGCTCAAAAGTCAGTCTGCTCCCGAAAAATCCAAGCACTTATTTCTATCCCTCTGTACAATTTGAAATGGCCTACTCCACAATGCCTTTCTTTTCTTGTGATTGTTTATGTGTTTCCTCATTACATTGTAAAGTCGTCAAGGGTTGGAGCCAGATCTTGTCACCTATATGTCCCTATTACTTAGCAAACTCCACATAGTGGACATGTAGTAAATTTCTGTTGAAAGGTATCTTAGAAGTTTTTATCAAAGAAAAAAATACTGAATTACCCACATGATCAATTTCTGCAAATTCCTATTAGCATAACATTTCTCATTCTTTTGCTTGGTTATTGAATAATATTATATCCTATATTTGCATATTTTATTTGTTTGGTTGCAATATTGTTTTAAAAGACCTTACAATTTCCATGATTTCCAGTTTAGTTTGATGTTGTTTTATAACTTTAAAAAATTATGATTATTATAATTAATTTATGCCTTTAAAACACTGTTATTCTAGTTACAGATGAATCCATTCCCTCTTATTCTGGAAGTGATATGCCAAGAAATGACATTAACATGTGGTCAAAAGTAACTGAGGAAGGAACAGAGCTGTCACAACGACTTGTGAGGAGTGGTTTTGCTGGAACTGAAATAGACCCTGAAAATGAAGAACTTATGCTGAACATTAGCTCTCGACTACAAGCAGCAGTTGAAAAACTCCTAGAAGCCATAAGTGAAACTAGCAGTCAGGTAACCTCCTTATATTGCTAATATGTACTGAGTTTGAAGTACAATATACTATCCCACTCTCTCGACTGAGCTAATTTTGATATTTTCATGGATAGCTGTTTGGCATTTTCAAAGCTTGAATGCATATGCATCTTAATTATCCCTTTGGTTGTATGAAAGTTGTATAGTATAAATGATTCTATACTGAATTCCTACATGATCCTGCTTTTGTTTTGTTTTGGTTTTTGCTTATTTCAGGTATATTAGTATTTAATTTTTGTGATTTGTACTTTCATATATGAAAACAACTGTTAATACTTTTTGTTTCTTAACCGCTATTAAGTACTTTTGACCTGGATCTCAGCCAGTGTTAATGCTGTTGCTACTACTTGATACCATTGTAAATTATAAGCAGTTTAGTTAATGCAACATAGTATTTGTCTTTTGATAAGCAACGTGAAAAATGTTAAATAAATCAGAAGTGGTCAGTGGTTCCAATAGGCTACTTGTTCTTAACAGGCTACTAGAGAGAAACTTCTCCAAAATTTGTTAATGCTGCCAACAGTCAAGCATGTGGGCTCCTCCTGAAACATTCATTTCCCCAGGCCAAGACCACAGCTCATAGCAGCTGTCTGCTTATGTGACCAGGTAGTGAAGTATAGTAGGAGTCTGACCATGGCATTTTCCAGATTTTTCCCAATTTGTTGAATACTAACTCCACGCTGTGTTATTTAGCTTCTTCTGTATTGTGGTAATTTAAATATCACTGAATGGATCACAAAAGCTTTGTGTAGAGCAGTAACCCTATGGCAGAGACTTCTCAAAGTGCAGCCCCTAACCAGCAATATCAGCATCACCTGGTGATGTGTTCAATATATAAATTCTTAGGCCCCACCCCAGACCTACTGAAACTGAGGGCCCAGCAACCTGTGTTTTTAATAAGTCCTTTATATGATTCTGATTCACACTAAAGTTTGAGAACCACTAATCTGTGGATTATTAGTACAATGTTCACATTGTTCTCTGGCTTAATTTTGAAGCACTCTACTAACATCTTTTATATAAAATGTTAAACTAGTTGTTGGCATTAGGTATAAAAAGTTATAAAAATGAAGTATTTCTTAAGTGAATAATATTTTTCAGCATTGGGAGTAGGCGTTTTTAAAAACTTTCTTTTAAATGAATTTCAGCTCAGTTTTTAATCTTCCATGGATAGATGTTTAAAGCCATTGATTTCTTCAGAATAGTCTCATTGATTAATAACTAAAATTATCTTGAACCTGATGAATATTTTTAACAGATTGACACAGAATAATGTGTAATATCTTTGTGAAATAACTTATATTCCACTTTCCTCTTCAATGTGTCATTATTTGGTTCTACTTTATAATAGTATACTTCCCTTTAACCTTCATTTTTTTTTTCACGTATTATAACAAAATGTAAAACAGCTGGGAGGCATGCTGTAATATCTTTGCGTTTTCAGTGAAAGAGAAATTCAGGAAAATAGCTTTGTACAGGATACTCTGAGACCAGAGAAGAGAGCAACATCTGACATGTTAGAGTGTGGTGGGGACCAAGTAAAGTTTACTTGGGAGTTGATGCTTAAGATGTTTAAGATGAGTTATTCACTGGCAAAATTTTTGAATATCAGGGCACTGGACAAGTATCTGCCTTATAGGCTGATTGGGTGATTTCATAACCTGTATTATAGGAGTTATTTACTTTAGATATTTGATTTGAGGGGTAACTTGCCCAGTGGTATGTCCAAGTCCATATTATAGTACATTTATTACAACGGTTTTACCTCTCTTTTGCTTGGACAGGCTACCATACAATCAGGCCTATATTCACTTTATTGTTAGGTTCCTACTGGTTGGGGTAGCTTTCATGATAGTATGAAAAAGAATGCTTAAGAGACTGTCATAAGGCCCTTAGAGAGGTAATCTCTTTAACACAATCCTTATTCAGTAGTCTCTTTGTGGTTCTGCAGAAATGTTATCTTTGAGAGTGTGGTTTCACAGATTCTAAACTCCTGGATCAGGTAGAAATCAAAACCATTCTCTTCTTTGGGAGTAGTTTTTCAGCAATTAAAGTTTTCCAGAATCCAGAAGTATTATTTAGAGCCATAGGAGGTTATTTACCAAGAGATTCTGCTAGGCCTTGGAATAAATTAATGAATATGTAATTTATTCCCATGGAATTATTTTTACTGTAAGAAATTTTTACGGGCTTCCTAATACTTGTTTTTAAGAATTACAGCATCAAAGCTACATGCTTCTATATTTTCTCAAAAAAAGGAATCTGAGGATGAAGCAGTAGTATAAGTTAAGATTTTGTTTTGTCATTGTTGTGTTTGAAACATAACTGCAATCAAAATACTGAAACACATTTTGCCTTCAAGTATTGTCCCCAGTATGCTTAGCATTGGTCTAGGCTCCGTCAGGGTAATGTTTGCAGGTTATAGGCCCTCTGTGAAATAACTTCAAGAAATAGATGAACAAATCAAAGTCCAAAAGAGAGCAACAAAAGTGTTTTACAGTTTGAAGAAATAATTTATGAAGAAAGGTAGTTAAATGGTTTGACATTATTTGATTTAAGTAAAGCTATTTTGTTTAGGAAACAACTCTATGCTGCAAATTAATAGCCTTCAAATATACATTAAAATCTTGATTATCTGAAACCTGGCGATAATAAGCTAGTCTGGATAATTAAAAGTGTGTTCTTCTAAGTCATTTTATTATAACTATTTTTGATTGCAAGAAGTTTTATGTGCTTTCTAAAATAGAGGGGGAAGCAAGATAGAATATAATTTGAATTATTCTAATTCAGTCACCTTTCTGAACATCAATTAATATATCATCAGTTAATATTACTGTTGTTACAAGGGCTGTATGCCACTATCCTGAATCATCTTTATTTAATACTGCTCTTTTGAGTCTTTTTTGCCCTAATTTTACTTTATTTTCTTTGTGTAAGCTTCTTACCTTGACCTGTGTTCCTAATATAACTACTTACCTACAGATTTTTGTTTTACATGGATGGAAGCAAGTTTTACATGCTTCCAAAAATGGGTGAAACAATAGACAATAATTTCAGTTATTTTAATTCATGGTCATCTTTCTGAACATGAATTAATATTTAATATAATACTCCATCAGTTAATATACTGTTATGAGGGCTGTTTGCCCTATTCTGAATCATCTTTATCTGTTACTTTTTTGAGTCCATTTTTCTCAGTAATTTTTCTCTCTTATCTTTGTAGTTAGTTCTTATCCTGACCGAAATGTTAACTGTTTATAAAGGGTTGTTTCTTACTTACAGATTTTGTTTTTGCTTCAAATAAGAGAAACTAGATATCAGATTATCAAAACAAACTGTAGTTTGCAGAGGGAGCAGGGAAAGAGTGTTTTAAGAGGTATTTGATAGGCTAAGCATGGGTCCCCACAGTTCATAAAGCTGAGCATCTGGGATATTGACAACTTCTATCTGCCAAAGCCCCACTAAAGTCACATTTAGCTGCAGCAGTGATAAGATTAGGCCTCTATCTTGTATAGGTGTTTATTAGGGTTTCTTATGCAACCCTCCAGTTAATCTGTGAACGTGCTTTGTTAAGACACCTTCACAGACTAACTGGAGGGTTGCATAAGAAACCCTAATAAACAAAAAATTTTTATTGCCTAGTCCAGACTTGTAAGAGGCAACTGCCCCTCCACAGCTACAAGCCATCTCCCTGTAGATTCTGGCTTTCTATAGAAAATGTCATTTTCTCTGCCCTAATTATTAGTCTACCTACTGTGAAATGGTTTGAGTACTGGTTTAAACAACTTTATAGTGTGAGTAGCTGTAGAATGGATTTGTGTTGGTATTACCTACCTTCTTTAGCATGGGTTTTTCCATTTAAATAAAGGCTTTGTGGATTTAGGATATTTAGTTACTGGAAAGAATAATACCAAAATGAGGGTTTTTTCCTTTCTTTAAAACAACTTTCATTATTGAAAATCTTTTAATATTAAAAAGTAAGTTGTTTATCTTCTAAAATTCTGAGTGGCTTATTTATTCACTATTGCCCAGGTTTCTGGAGCTACCCAGAAGGCTATTCTATATAACTTGGGCTTTTAAAGTTTAGTCAGGGTTCATAAGATACCTTAAGTGGTATAGTTTTCAACTGTTACATACAGTGTAGCTTTAAAAAGAATTTTTTCCTTAGCATGTACTCTGTAAACAATATGAAAATAGGTTATAACTGAAATGTCTATAGTTTTAGTGGCTGCTTGAAAGATGAGTAATATTTCTAAGGAAATAGCAAAAGTAAGTTTTAATTTTCCAGAAATAACTTTGATTATTTTATATACTTGAATAACTTATTACTAATGTGGACTCAAGCATAATTAATTTCACATTTTTAAATTAAAGCAATTTTTTAATGGAACGGAAAAACACCAGCTTATCTTACAAACATTATAAACTTGTCTAAATGCCCTTTCAAAGCCCTGACGTGGAACTTGGATCCTGTCTGGCAGGCTTTTTTGTGGGCATATTAATTCACATTCCACCTGTCAGTGTACCTATAGGTAAAGACATTAAACCACACCCTCTGTTCTGACCTTTTCCTCAGGGGACACTGACTAGAATCCTTTGGCTCAGCATGAGAGGCTATTTGAATAGCTCAGTTCAGAAGAGCTTTTCCTTTTGAATAGAGTGAAGCAGCAAGAGCAAGAGAAATAATGTTACAACTGCATTTCTCAAGACTGCTGCTATGGAGATTTCAAACTTGACCTTCCCTGCCAGGTTCTGCTTTGAAGGCTTACTTATTACTACAGACATCGCTGATATTAAAAGCAGTTTTATTGCTCGTCTAATTAGATGTTTATATTTTTATTCTTCTCTTCAAGGACTTAATTATGCTAGTTTAAAAGGTGTTTTTGTTTGCTTGCTTTTATTTTTGTTTTTTGATTTTTTTTGGTTTTTGTTTTGGTTTGGGTTTTTTTGAGGGGGCATCAAGATTGATAGAGACCTAAGTTTTTTTAGATTTGTAGTTTTTTTCCTGGACTTTCCCCTTCCTTTTATTGTGCAGTTGTATGAATTAATTTTATAACATTTATTTGATAGTGCTAAAAAAGAAACTTTTTATACTGCTATGGTAGATCTTGATAAACTAAAAAGAACTTTTTAATGTATTAGAAAATTGATAAAGCAAATTAGGAATCTCGGCAGCTGTATCTTCTGGGATGGATTCTTATAGCACCTATTTGGCAACTGTCAAAGTCAGTGGCTCGTGGTTAGAAGAGCAAGATGAAGACATTTATGAGGTTGAATCTCGCGTGCCTTTACCACATCCTTTTCCTCTTTGTGAACATTTGGATGAAAATAACTCAGTAATTGTTAATACTTCTATTTTCCATTTTATTCATAAAAGAAACGGGCATATATTAAAGCTTATTTCTAAAATTTCACTGCCTACCCCTCCTTATTCAGTAAGTATAAAAAATATTCATTTAGTTAAACACTATAATGAGAAATTAAATTTTGAGTGTCTATATTAAGGCTAAATGGGATAGAACCTTGTTTGATGCGTTACTACTCATTCATTCTAGATGTATTTAAGGGCTAAATTTGGTCTGAGTTCCAACTTGGCTATGTTTACAATTACAGAAAGCAGAATGAGATAATATTACATTTCTCCAATGCCAGGCAGTTTGTTTAAAAAGATCCCGCTTTTCCTTAAGATTCTTGCTTTTGTATGTTTATCATGCCAATCCTGAATAAGAATGGAATAATTATTATATTTGAGAGACTCGGTATTATGATACTTATAAGACAGCTAAGTGAATTGTCATTGAGCAATTAGGAAATGTTTACAATCATATGTTATATTGGCTGTTCCAGTCCAGGAAAAAAGGAAGCTTGGGTTCTAATTTTAATATTCTTAACAACCTAAGAAACTTACTTTTTGTTTTTAATATGCCTCGTAATCTTGTGGAACAAGACCCTTTTCTGCTTTTTATATGAAATATATTTTATAAACATTGTTAAGGATAAGTGTTTAGCATAAAGAGGCTTGAATATTTAGTATTTCAGGTTCACTACAGGTTATTCAGTATAACTAAAAGTTATTCAGCGCTTTTTATGACTTTCATAGCTTTATCCTGTACTAGCTAATATTTAACAAGCCAGATGGTTTTCAGAATAGTTTTGTTACCTCTTCTGCAACTTTTATATTAAAGTGACAGAATATTAACTGATACTTTACATGTACTTTTAATGTAATAAGTTTCTTAAATACTTTGGAAATATTGAATATGAAATCTTACATTCTTCATATTGTTATAGATATTAGGAATAAACATACTCTAACTGAATGGAAGAGGATTCTTTAAATATTAAGTATTTAATGAACATTTATTTGAAGGGTGTCTCATCTCCCGATGAAGTGTGGATCTCATCTGCTATAATAAATGACATTTTTTTTTGCTAGATTTACTGTATTTGATTGTTCCAACTTTTTCATTTTATTTTAGAAAACAAGTTTTTCTCTTGTGGTTTTATGATAAATATTTAAATGGATTATAAGGCTGATTAAATCTTGTCAGGAAGTAGAACATAGAAGCAAAGGCTTATTTAATTTACTTACCTAAAGCAAGCATTTATTTTGTTGTAAATTCTTTGTTATATCCTTATAGTAAATTTAAAAAAGACAAAAAAAAGCATATCCTTTTTAGTTACATGTATTTACTAGATAGTCATTATGTAATGAACAGAAAAAAATGACAAACGTGTAAAAACAATTGATATGTTTTTAAAATATGGATTGTGACTGTAAATTCCCATGTAGTTGTATATAAATTAGTTCATACTTTATTGTTATGTTTCTTTGTAATAAAAATTAATGATATTAGTTATCCAGACTTTAAAGGAAAAACTCTTTCCAGTTAAAAGTAAAAATATTCCTTTTGAGATAACAACATATTATCATGGGTATTTTAGGAAATAATTTATAATTTAAAATGTATGATTAATTTTCTATTATGAGTCTTATACGTGTATTCATATTAATTGCAAATAAGTTATAAGTGATATTTGAAATATCCTATTAAAACAAGAATAATTGCATACTGGATATTTTGGAAATTGATTTAGAGTAGCCATCAAAAGCTGTAGTTACTCTAAAATCCATTTGCTATGACAAATACCTCTCAGATGTGAAAAGTGGAAGTCTTTAACAATAAAGTATCCTTTAGTATTATCATGATTTTGTAATACATTTTCAATATGTGACTATAAATTAGAAACCACTACATTTGATCATATTTTAAGCTTAAAATGCACTAATATCTTTTTAATGCACAAAGTACTTTATATGTAAATTTACAAATTCTTATGACTTTACTGTGAGCCTGTTATTAATATATGTGATGATTTCTTCTTACAATTTTTGGACTAAATACTAGAAACATTTGAGTTCAATTTTTTCCCATGTAATTGTTTCAGTAATAACAGATAAGCAGGTGCTGATAGTCAAAAGCTCAGAAAACTAAGGCAGAGACAGTACTTTTCTGCAATTTCACACAGCTCATTTAGTAGCAGTGATCAAGAGAGCTTTGGCTTTAAGCCTTCTATCATCTTAAAAAATTGTTTAAGAATGTAGTCAGTATGTGCTATTGGTAATATTTTAAGGAATCTGTGTTTATGGTTAATGTCTCTGTATTCTACGGTTTTGAAAATAAGCTGAATATTCATAGGAGCTTTAGGTGTTTCACAAATGGACAGAAATATAAAGCTTTTAGTTAAGTACATGGATTATAAATATAATTTCATTTTGTTGTGCTACTATCATTTTGTTAATTGATGCCATTGTATTAATCATGTATTATTGGTCCCCCACAGTATACAGCAGATACTGTAGGAGTCACAATCCGTAAATACTAAATGTAGAAGAAAGTTTATCATAGACTGTATAGTTACATAAAATTCTTTGGCAAATACAATAAACGCCTGTGCTTCATTAACTTTATATCTTCTTTTATATGATAAAGTACACAGCCATTGATTTAAAGTGGTTTGTATCCAAAAGAAGCATATTCTTTTGTTCAGTAAAGCTAGAATACATCACTTTACAGAAAGTCGTGCACAGCCAATATACATGTCTCCTCTGATTTCTCCTACCTGCTAATCTTAGCATACACTGGCAATATCTAAATGACTACAATTCAGTAGTATATCTTTATTTTAAAATCCTCCTTTTTTCCAGCTTTAATAGGGAATGAAACTAGTATTTCCACACTTTATTTTCTTTTATGTATTGTTTCCCTCTTTGTTTAGCTTGAACATGCGAAAGTGACACAGACAGAGTTGATGCGTGAGTCATTTAGACAGAAACAAGAAGCAACAGAGTCCCTTAAGTGCCAAGAGGAACTTCGAGAGCGCCTTCATGAGGAGTCCAGGGCCAGAGAACAGCTAGCTGTGGAGCTCAGTAAGGCTGAGGGTGAGCAATTTGCCATTGACAACTAAGGGTAGAGAAATTTCAGTCTTAAAATAGAGATTTTTGATGCACAGCCAGGTTTGGAAGCCGTCAATCCAATTTAGAATGACCATTAAAAAGTACTTGTGGTTTATCTTCAGAGTTCCTCCAAGCAATTTTTAAAACTATATATATATATATATATATATATATATATATATAAAATTATAAAAAGAATTTATAGAGTTACAGAAAATAATAATTTCAGAAAATACCAAAAAGGATAGTGGTGACTCGTTACTGTAATCACACCATCTTAAGACAACCCTTGTAATTTAAAGATGAGCAAACTGAAGCGAAAAGATGTTATTAAATTGTTAAAGGGCACAAATACCATTACATAGTGATTCCAGGCTTTGAATCTCTAAAGCCCTATGCTCTTTTTAATTCTCCTCTGCTGTTATGGGTGTTGGCCTTCTAAAATTACTTAAAATACCAACCTTCTAATTTTCAAAATGTGATTCAGTTCACAAGCATCTAATTTGTATTAAGCTTTTCAGAAACTTACTGTTTATATCTGTTTAATAAAGTGACTTACACCTACATAATGTGGTACTTTGGTATAGCAAAGTATTAGAAAATTCAGAGAAATTTCATGTTTATGCACAATGGTAAACAAGGAAATGTCTGCATTGACCATACCCTATTAAAGGTTGATAGTTGCTGTGATGAGCAGCAAATTCATTCAAGACTTTTAATAGGTTGGAATGATGGAAAGTTTTGCTAACAGTATACCTTTTGTTGTTTATATTAAAACCTAGTGGTTGAATTTGAAATGAATAATAGTTCTATTTTCTGTTAATTTTGTATTATAGGCGTCATTGATGGCTATGCAGATGAAAAAACTCTTTTTGAAAGGCAAATTCAGGAAAAAACTGATATAATAGATCGTCTTGAGCAGGAGTTGTTATGTGCAAGTAACAGGTTGCAAGAATTGGAGGCAGAGCAACAGCAGATCCAAGAAGAAAGAGAATTACTGTCCAGACAAAAGGAAGCTATGAAAGCAGAGGCAGGCCCAGTTGAACAACGTAAGTATTTTCAGAATTTGTATGAAACAGTCCTCTGATTTTATTTGTATTCTTCAAAGGCTTAAGGTGGCTTTTTTCCTCTTTCAGTGCCATTATTCATATATTTTATAGAGAGATTTAAAAAATTATAAGAAAATCTACCTTAGAGATAAATGTCTTATTAGCCAATCATGTGGAATCAGGTTTTTTTTTTCTTTTTCCTTAGGCAGATGTTAACAGGAAAAGATAGTTCTTCATTTATCCTCAAACTTCTGCTTCAAGAGAAAGCTGCAAATAATGAGGCAGGATATTTTAAAAATTGTGTAAGGTTTAGTTCTAATAGCAGAGAGGCAGCAAAAATGTATACTTGGATTAAATATCTAAAAGCACTGATCTGGCACTAGTAATGAGCAGGTGGAGGGGTTTTTTGACTTGCAAGCAGAGTAGATTTAAAAAGGTCAGTGGCTGGTAGGCTGACATCTAGTTTAATGTAGTAGGAATTCAAATAATACTTAAATGTTTAAGTAACCTTTCATTTTTCCTTAAATAAGATATTAAGTAATATCTTGAAGTGAAAGTTTGTTTAGCAGTAAATGTCAGTCTTGGTAATGATGGAACTTTAATCCTGTTTACCATGTCCTCTCACTTTTATATTACACGTGCAGTTGGATTTTTAAATGTGCCGTTTCACTGATTTCATTTTATCGGTTTAGAAATACAGCATACATTTTTGTAATATAGTGAAGTTTCTTCCAGCTGCTCAAATTAATTAAACAGGTTTAGTTTGGGATTTTTAATATGGAAAGTATATGTCATATATGCAAAATATTCAAGAAATACTGGAACTTCTCAAAATGTTACCAGTGATAATCAGTGTCTTCAACTCTTGTTTTTGATACGTGTGTGTGCATGTGCATTATCCCATTTTAGGAAGTAGAAGACATATAAATTATACTTTTGTTGTGTCTTTTTTTTTTTTTTTCTCTATTTTCCTAGGACTAGTAGATGCTGCAGTCGATGCAGCACCAGGAGCAGGTGTGTGTATACCATTGCATGGCCAATGTTTGGGTGGTAGACTTTAAACTCCAAAATGTGGGTGACCTGGATTTTCAGCCAACTAACATCTCTAGTTTTGCAGTGTTGCTGTTGTTCCATACTTACAGTTTTTCTCTTTAACAACAACAAATAAACTTTTCTTACAATAAAAGTACAAATTTTCATTTGAAATTAACATCTGAGATTCATACTGACCATCATCTTATGATGTCTATTTTTGCATAGAGCTTAAAACCATTTTGATTTTTGTTTGTTTGTTTGTCTGTGTTTGTTTTTTGAGATGGAGTCTTGCTCAATCACCCAGGCTAGAGTGCAGTGGTCTGATCTCGGCTCACTGCAACCTCCGCCTCCTGGGTTCAAGCGATTCTTCCACCTCAGCCTCCTGAGTAACTGAGACTACAGGCGGGAGCCACCATGCCTGGCTAATTTTTTGTACTTTTAGTAGAGATGGGGTTTCACCATGTTGGCCAGGCTGGTCTCAATCTCCTGGCCTCAGGTGATCCGCCCACCTCTGCCTCCCAAAGTGCTGGGATTACAGGCATAAGCCACCATACCCAGCCATTTTGAGTTTTTTAAGAAACCATTTAACAAATGTATTAAACTCTTTCAATCTATGAGTTTTTAAAATGCTCCTTCTAAATCAGGAAGTATGTAAGATGATGGTAGCAAAAGGATCAGTGAAATTTAATAAGAGGCTCTCTGGTTGATTTATTTTTATGTTAACATCTAATGTTGTTTTAAAAGGAAAGCTGTTTTCTAGAGATTCCTAGTCCTGAGTACAATGTTGGCATACTAGTTAAAGACCCTAGGGATATGTTCTTTCCATTTTCTTCATTAGAAGATTGTTTTATTTTTACTATATACACTTTGTTATATTAATAATATTAATAGCTAACACATAGTGCTTACCATACCTCAGACACTCTTCTTTACATGTATTAACTCATTTAATGCCAAAATAACTCTAAGAGATCAGTAATAATATTATTCTCAGTTTACATATAAGGAAACTAAAGGACATCATCATAACTGTCACATGGGAGATAAGTGGCTGAGCTAGGTTGGGCCTACGGTCTGTTCTTAAGCACTACACCACACTACCTCTCATACATGTCAGTTTTCCCTTGATTCACATACATGTGACCATGCAAAAGCAACTCAGGAATATGGATCTAATAAGGAGTAAGACTAACAGGAAATTTCAATTATAGCTGTATTTATATTTCTGTAACTCTTAGACTTGCCTTGGTTAAAGATTTACAGTGTTTGATCTTCATGTTTATTGTGTATGCAAATAAAATTGACTTTATGGGTTTGGAATGAATTGCTTTTTGCCTGAGGTGAAGAAAACGGTGAGTTTTTTTCTGTGCTTGAATTTAATTGGACTTTGTTCTTTGCCCAGTAGTAAAAATAGATTTTTTTTTTTTGGTCATTTGCTATGTTGTTTTCACAAAAATATTATTTTCAGTGACAGGACATATTTTTTGTTAATAATTCTGTATAATTTTATTAATAATTGCTTGTTTACTTATATAGAAATATTTTAATATAATTTTGATACTTTCATAAGAGAATATTTACTTTCATGTGTATTTAAAATAATTCTCAGCCTTTCATGAACGTAAAATTTGGACATAGTTATCAGGGATTTCATTATCATAAGATCATTAATTGTGATTTAATTCAGTATATTTTGTATTAATAAACAGAATTACTACAGGAGACAGAAAAATTAATGAAGGAAAAACTAGAAGTACAATGTCAAGCTGAAAAAGTACGTGATGACCTTCAAAAACAAGTGAAAGCTCTAGAAATAGATGTGGAAGAACAAGTCAGTAGGTTTATAGAGCTGGAACAAGAAAAAAATACTGAACTAATGGATTTAAGACAGCAAAACCAAGCATTGGAAAAGCAGTTAGAAAAAATGAGAAAATTTTTAGATGTAAGTATTCTCAAGTTGAATACTGATTTTTCTCAGTGGAATGTTCTTTGCTAGTATACTAGGCTATGAATTTTAAATTATGAAAAGACTGTTGAGTTAGTTTTTCAGTGTTTTATTAGGTGTCGAATCTACTAATCGATCAAAAAGTACTATTCCAATTTAAGATTCCAATAATTTTTATTGTGCAGCACTCAGAATTAAAATCAGTACATTTTATTATGTATTGAATTATACATGATAAAAATTATGAATAAGCCCCACTAGTTTTCCAAATTCAGATCAGGAGCTTATTCTAGTTTTTTATTTAACCACAGACTAAGATAGGCAAAGAGATAATGGGCCACCACTGCTTCACCTGTAAAAGATACACATAGAACAGTGTGGCCATTGGAAATGGGCCCGGAACAGTGGTCATGCTGCCATTACTCTCTTCCAAAAAGATGTTAAATCTCTAATTTCACATTTTTTTTTCCTTTGAGATTTCACTTAAGCCTGATACTCTCTTCATAGATCAGAGAATCAGATTCTTACTCATTTTATAACTTTAGACATAAAACCTAGATTAGGATTCAAGAAACTGATTTACCAAACAATTTGTTTTATGGATTTTGTTTAATGGCTAAACTAACATGGAATTCCTCCTTTGTTCCAGAAAAGTAAATTCATTTTAAGGTGAATATTTTTTCATCCTGTATTTAATATTACTTGAATAAAAAAAGAAATGTACTTGAAATAATATTTTAATATTAATACTTGAATTTTTGTTGAGGAGGCCAAATAGGCTATATGGCATATAAAAAATAAAATGTTATCTTTTAAAACTTTTGTGATTTGGGATGTTCCATGATCATCAGTCCTTTGTCTTCAAACAAAACTAACATATCTCTAAAGGAGAAGTAAGAAATAATAGCTTCTCTAAATACTGTTTCTTCAGCTACTATCATTATTGTCATTAAACTTTAGGAGCAAGCCATTGACAGAGAACATGAGAGAGATGTATTCCAACAGGAAATACAGAAACTAGAACAGCAACTTAAGGTTGTTCCTCGATTCCAGCCTATCAGTGAACATCAAACTAGAGAGGTAAGAACTTCACTGATATTGCCCAACTTACAGTAATTTGTATCAAGTGTAAAATAAGATGCATATCATTAAAAACTTAAAAGTGGATTCTTTCCTTTGTATGTAAATCTTCAAAATCAGAAAACTTAATATTACTTAAGCATGAGAAGGTAATTAACCCTGAAAATTGTTGGTATTGAAATTTGGAATCATTTCCATCTGCATATGTCTTCTAGTATTTCTCAATTAAATAAACTCTGTTTATTTCTTTATTCCCATTCCTAACAAAAGTGATCAAGAGAGTTATCTGTGTTCACTGTTTACTTTCCCATTTCCTTTTCTCTTACTAGTCCACTCCAGTGAAGTATCCAGCCCTTGTTTCTCAGTAGGGTTATACCTTCTACTCCATTTAAATTGTTCTTGTGAAGGTGACCCAGAGCCTCATGGCTATGGCTAATATCCAACTCTGTCTCCATCCTCCTCAACCATTCAGAGGCATTTATTGCAGCCTTCTCCCAGAAATACTTCCTTCTCTTGTTTCTGTGACACAGCTACTCCACTGGTCTCTCTCCTCTAGTCTTTGTTTCTCCTTTTCCTACCCAGCATAAATGATGGAGTGCCCCAAAACTTACTCTTGGGCCCCTTTTTATTTCCTATTTATAGCCTCTTCCCAGGCAGTCATATATAAATGCCTCCACATTTGTATTTCTATCTGTGACATTTCTGTTAAGTTCCAGCATTGGATATCCAGTGCCTACTCTGTCTCTGCTTAGATGTCTCAAAATTAACATGTCCAAAAGAAAGGTCTTGATTCCTGATTAGCCACTACCAGAGAAAGACAAGCATAAAACATTTTTCTTCTTCATCTCAGTAAATTCTGTACCTTCTAACCTGCCCCATTGCTGAGAACTAGAATCAGCCTTGATTCTCCTTTCTCTCAACCCCTGATTCCAACCCACTGATGGGTCAGACTGCACTACATCTTTCTGTTATTTGCACTTTTATTCATCTTCCTAAATCCCACTTGTCACTTGTTTGCCTGGATCACTGTGGTAGCCTCTTAACCAGTCTCCCTGCTTCTCCTTTTTCACCCCAACTGCCCATTTTCCTCATAGAAACATAGTCAAAACTCCACATTTACCAAATGAATGCTACATAAATGAGAGAGGATTCACTGTATGAATACCTAAAGATGGCTTGTCATGGTGATAAAGACATTGTGCTTAGGGTAAGGCAATCCCAGTTTGTATCATGGCTCTGCCATTTACTAGGTTATGACAATAACTAAGTCAGTTAACCTCTCAAATCTCTGTTAATTCATTTCTAAAATAGAGATTGTAATAGCACCCACATCATAGGAGTGTTGACCTGGCACATAGTGAACACTTTAACTAGTATTATTTCTGAAACAATTTTTATTTCGAATGTAATTTCTAAACAGTTCAGTGGATTTCATTTCTCTTAAAAGAAAGCCGAAGAAGTACAGAGTGCCAATAAACTCCTTATAATAAAATGTTGTATACTAGAGTAGTACAAAAGTTATCAGTCTCCAGGGCTGGGCGTGATGGCTCAAGCCTGTAATCCCAGCACTTTGGGAGGCCGAGGTGGGCAGATCACGAGGTCAGGAGATCGTGACCATCCTGGCTAACACAGTGAAACCCCATCTCTACTAAAAATACAAAAAAAAAAAATTAGCCAGGCGTGGTGGCGGGCACCTGTAGTCCTAGCTACTCGGGAGGCTGAGACAGGAGAATGGCATGAATTCAGGAGGCAGAGCTTGCAGTGAGCTGAGATCACGCCACTGCACTCCAGCCTTGGGGACAGAGCAAGACTCCGTCTCAAAAAAAAAAAAAAAAAAAAAAGAAAAAAGTTATCCACAGTTTCTAGTTATTGCCCCATTTCTGACAAACATATTTTTGGCTTTTAAAAAGTAGTCGTTTGTTGTACTTCAAAGAATATTTAAGCTCTAGAACCTAGGCTGTCATCTCCTATTATGTAGTTTTCTTTTATTTGAAAAGGTTGGCCTGCTTTGCTCATGAAACTTTAAGAAACTAACAAAGATGTGCATGTTTGATTTTTTTTTTCTACTGTTGCACCATTTTATTGTACCTACATTGTTGCCTTTTTTCTTAACCTTACTCCAAATCTTAGTCAACTTATTATTATTAAAGTTTCTCCTCAGCAGCTTTTTTTTTCCTTTTTTTTCTTTTTCCCTTTAAAACTGACTGCACATATCAGTGACTTTATTGCTATCATCCTTGAACCTGAAATTATAGTTAAGCTTGCATTCTTTTAATGTTCTGAGAAATAACTGTCATTTTTTAGATAATTTCCTCAGAATATTTCACTGAAAAGAAAAGGTAGAATTACTTTATTTCTTACCATCACATGTCGCTTTTTTTAAAGTAAGCTTTCCTTCCTCACTTTCCATACAGTACAACTAATCCTTCCTGTCACAGAACCATTCACTTGAAGGGATCTCCATATCATTCTTAGGGAATAGGTCTTGGCATGCATCATTATTTTGGTTAAAGGAGAAACCAAGACTAGAGACATTTAGGGAAACCTTCAAGGTGCACAGATCCCTCTCACACCCCTTCATCCTTAGCTCTTTCCTGGGCTGATGGAATGTATAGATTGAAAAAGCTTTCCCAATGACTGTTTTCAAAATATAGTCCATAAAAGATTTATTTAGGTCATTTTATCTCATACAAGAGTAAATCAGTACCTGCAAATTTGTCATCTTCATTAGGATTTAGTGTGGTTGTGCCATTAGATAATTCAGCCTTATGAAAAATCCATTTTTTCCCCTCTTCCTAGGTGGAGAAAGTCTTAGTCTTAAGAGAAAGATTTTTTAAAGGATTACGTGAAAGCAATATTACTTGTGGTCTACTAGTGTTGCTTAATTTTTTCAACTTGTAAAATGTCACCTTTGTTGGAGACAACAGTTGCTATCTTTATACAAAGTTAAATTAGCATAACATTTAAAAATACTTTTTAGAAAAAAATTTTTGAAATGAAGATATGTTTTATATGCATTGAGTATTCTTTAAAATGCTTGAGAGAAGTGTTTCAGATTTCAGATATTTTGAATTTTGTAATATTTGCATTATACTTACCTATTCAGCATCCTAATTTGAAATGTGAAATGCTCCAATGAGCATTTCCTTTGAGCATGATGTCAGTGCTTAAAAAGTTTCAGATTTTGACCTGGGCTTGTTGGTGTGCATCTGTAGTCCCAGCTACTCAGGAGGCTGATGCAGGAGAATTGCTTGAGCCCAGGAGTTTGAGGCTGTAGTGCATGACGATCGTGCCTGTAAATAGCCACTGCATTCCAGCCTGGGTAACATAATGAGACTCCATTTCTTAAACAGACAAACAAAAACGTTTCAGATTTTGGAGCATTTTGGATTGTAGATATCCAAAATGAGGGATAACTCAACCTATACTAACTAGCTTGCTGAAATTTTTTTTAAATTAAATTTTTTGCCTCTTATATTTCAGGTTGAACAGTTAGCAAATCATCTGAAAGAAAAAACAGACAAATGCAGTGAGCTTTTGCTCTCTAAAGAGCAGCTTCAAAGGGATATACAAGAAAGGAATGAAGAAATAGAGAAACTGGAGTTCAGAGTAAGAGAACTGGAGCAGGCGCTTCTTGTGAGTGCAGATACTTTTCAAAAGGTGTGGCATTTTATTTGGGCTAACTTAATAAGTGTTTTAATGAAGAATACTCTTAAATTGTCAACTTCTTGTAGGTATTATTACATATTATGTTTATATCTCTGTTGACATTGTAACCATTTCTGTTTGTTCTTATTTCCAAATGTTGCTTGCATGTCTTAGTCCTGAGAAGGGAAGAGTTTTTTGTTGTTGTTGTTGTTTTGTTTTGTTTTGTTTTGTTTTGTTTTGTTTTGTTTTGTTTTTTGGAGACATAGTTTCGCTCTTCTTGCCCAGGCTGGAGTGCAATGGTGCGACCTCAGCTTACCACAACCTCCACCTCCCGAGTTCAAGCGATTCTTCTGCCTCAGCCTCCCAAGTAGCTGGGATTATAGGCATGCGCCACCACAACCAGCTGATTTTTGTATTTTTAGTAGAAACGGGGTTTCTGCATGTTGATCAGACTGGTCTCAAAATCCCAACCTCAGGTGATCCACCTACCTCAGCCTCCCAAAGTGCTGGGATTACAGGCGTGAGCCATCATGCCCGGCCAACTTTTTTATTATTCACTAATTAGAAGTAGACTTTCTACTTCTAATTGGAGAAACAGGATTGCTGCTTCTCAAAAAAAAAAAAAAAAAAAGCAGACCAAAAAACAAAAAAAAACTGGATAATCAGGATTTAATTTATCAAATTTTGAGAAAATTTTTATATATTTAAAGGTAGAGGACCGAAAACACTTTGGAGCTGTAGAAGCTAAACCAGAATTGTCCCTAGAAGTACAATTGCAGGCTGAACGAGATGCCATAGACAGAAAGGAAAAAGAGGTAAGGAGTTTATTTTTAAATGACACAGCGTGGTTTGAATTATTTTAAATCAGTTACCTTGAAAATATTATTTGAACTGAATGTAGTTTATGATCTAAAACCAAAGTTGAGGCTGTTTCTCAGCTCAATGCCAAAATTGACCTTGAAGGCAGTAAACATATGAGTAATTAAGCTGACGGGAAAGAAGAGTGCTCCAGATAGAGAGAAGAGCCAGTGTAAAGGCCTTGAAGCAGGACGAAGTTCGGAGGAACAGGAAGAAGGCCAGTTTAGCAGGAGTGTAGAGGGTGGAGAGATATAGTAGTGTTAGGACAAAAGGCAATATATCCCTTTTCTCCTAACCGTAGAATACATATTGAATTATTGCTGCTTTGCTGTGTGGTTTTTTTTTTTTTTATTGTATTGCCCTGGGAGATTATAGTCCTGTTTTACAATATACAGAATATGTTCTTA
Source organism: Homo sapiens (assembly GCF_000001405.40). Lineage (NCBI taxonomy): Eukaryota > Metazoa > Chordata > Mammalia > Primates > Hominidae > Homo > Homo sapiens. The sequence continues at coordinate 92,071,460 of NC_000007.14, forward strand.
AAACAAAAAGATTAATAGTAAATTGCTTTAATAGTAAAGCAATTAAGCAATTATATAAAGTTCTCCTTTGTTTCTCTGCCCCTTCTTCCAAAAAACTAAAAATCTACTTTCAGAACAATGGTCACCTCAACTTCCTAATTTATAACTTATTTAAGCCTTTGTCTACTAATAGTTTTTAAAAAACATATCCTACTCTATCTACATTGTCTAGCTATATCTTATCATTTAAAATGTTTAAAATTTTTAAAATTACATTTTTGTCTCTAATATTCTGAGAAGACTTACTATATTTTAACAAATAGTTATGAACTTAAGCTGCTTTGAAAAATATAAGAATGATTTAGATATCAGCTAAAACTATAGTTCAGAAAACCTGTAGATTAGAGGAGAAAAAAGGCATCTATGTAAGTGACTGTAGTTGAAATCATTTCCATGAGAAGGATTATTTTCTCACTATCACATAATACTGAGTAATGTTTACCTGAGAGGCTCTTATTTATTTTGACTTTTGATTTTTTTTATTGGAGGTGGGGAGCATTTTTGTTTATATGTAACTATTTCTGTGTTTCAAAGAGCTAACATTTAAAGATTTCCCTTAAACTGAGTAAAGTAATTTATATGTTGCCTAAAAAGACAGACCTTCTCAACTGGACCCAAAGCAATGATAGTTGACTGTGGATAATTGATTAACCTTACTGATTTTATATTTTTATTATCTTCTGAATATAATATAGCACTGCTATCTTGAATTAAGTATCTAATAACTGTCTACCTTTTACTCAGAATCATAGTTGTTCAAAACTATGAGAAACTTTAGAGGGCATCTGTCAACTGACTGATGTTTTTTATAGATAAGGAGAGAAACGGTAAATGAGTAAGAGGTTAAACTGACAGCTGACCCTAATAACAGTAACAAGTACTTTATCAAAACCCATTCACCTACCATAACTGGAGACTGAGAGGCAGGAACATAGAATTAAAATGTATTTTATTGAAAATAACTTCTTAAGCATTTTTTCCCCAGAAACTAGGCAAATGCTTTCAGATATCTGATGGAGTATAAATATAAGATGTCCCTATGTATCATGGTATTTGAGATACTTTTCTCTCAGAGCCTAAATTTGTATAAAACATTTTTTAAGCTTATTAGAAATTTAGAAATGCAGGATGAATAAAAAGAGAACTCTAAAAGAAAGGAGTTTTAGAATTATAGGAGGAGGTAGAAAATGGGGAAAGGAATAGAAGGATTTTAGAAAAAGATACGTTCCATAGGTTTTAGCTCTCTGTAGAGCTAATGAGATCTAGCTTAGAGTTAGCAATAATAAATAATAATAGTTTTGTTGAGGCCTATCTAATTAGACAGTACTAAGTATTTAAATGCCCTTTTACCGTTAACACTTTCTTCCCGAGGACAGACTCTGTTATCCCCATTTTACAGATGTGTAAACTGAGCCTTAAGGGAAGTTAAATAACTTGATCATGGTCACACCTTAAGTGGTTGAAAAGGAGTTCCTCTCAGATTTCTGTGAGTCTGAAGCCCTTGTGATACTATACTGCCAAAGCATTGGGGCCCATTTTGTCTTGTTGGTGAGAAGTGTTAAAGACTGCCATTCAACATTTAGTGAGCTCTTAATGCACCTGTAGCACCAGTACCCAAATGTAAAACTAGCGGTGGACGTCAAGGAATCTACTGTGTAATTAAGGAGACATATGTACATTTGAAAGAGATAAAAACACTTTTTAAAAAAGGAAACAGGCCAGGCGTGGTGACTCACGCCTGTAATCCCAACACTTTGGGAGGCCGAGGTGGGTGGATTACTAGGTCAGGAGAGCGAGACCATCCTGGCTAACATGGTGAAACCCCATCTCTACTAAAAATACAAAAAAAAAAAAAAAATTAGCCGGGTGTGGTGGCGGGCGCCTGTAGTCCCAGCTACTCGGGAGGCTGAGGCAGGAGAATGCTGTGAACCCGGGAGGCAGAGCTTGCAGTGAGCCAAGATCACGCCACTGCACTCTAGCGTGGGCAACAGAGTGAGACTCCATCTCAAAAAAAAAAGAAAACAAAAATAGATGCAAATTAATCCAAACATTAATTTCAATTATTAGATAAATTAAACAAGATTAAAACAAATATTTACCAGCCTTTGTTTTTAAATCTTAATAATGTTCTTCTGGTTGTAGGTGGTTACAGGCTCAATAAGAAGAGAGCCTAGTACTAAACTAGAGCCTGACTGAATAAGAGGAAAGAATGTCCCATAGTGTCATTTGGGGGAATTGAAGTGTCTGATATGATGCCTGAACTTCAGCTACTTAGAATAGGAAAGTTAGTGCTTTAGACCAGTGCATTTCAAACTTTAATGCACATGCAAATCACCCAGGGATCTTGTTAAAACACAAGTCTTACACAAAAATTAACTCAAGATGGATTAAAGACTAAGACCTAAAACCATAAAAACCCTAGAAGAAAACCTAGGCAATACCATTCAGGACATAGGCATGGGCAAGGACTTCATGTCTAAAACACCAAAAGCAATGGCAACAAAAGCCAAAATTGACAAATGGCATCTAATTAAATGAAAGAGCTTCTGCACAGCAAAAGAAACTATCATCAGAATGAGCAGGCAACCTACAGAATGGGAGAAAATTTTTGCAATCTATCCATCTGACAAAGGGCTAATATCCAGAATCTACAAAGAACTTAAACAAATTTACAAGAAAAAACAACCCCATCAAAAAGTGGGCAAAGGATACGAACAGACACTTCTCAAAAGAAGACATTTATATGGCCAAAAAACATACGAAGAAAAGCTCATCATCACTGGTCATCAGAGAAGTGCAAACCAAAACCACAATGAGATACCATCTCATGCCAGTTAGAAAGGTAATCATTAAAGAGGAAACAACAGATGCTGGAGAGGATGTGGAGAAATAGGAACACCTTTACACTGTTGATGGGAGTGTAAATTAGTTCAACCATTATGGAAGACAGTGTGGCGATTCCTCAAGGATCTAGAACCAGAAATACCTTTTGACCCAGCAATCCCATTACTGGGTATATACCCAAAGGATTATAAATCATTCTACTATAAAGATACATGCACACATAGGTTTATTGCAGCACTATTCACAATAGCAAAGACTTGGAACCAACCCAAATGTCCATTAATGATAAACTGGATAAAGAAAATGTGGCACATATACACCATGGAATACTATGAAGCCACAAAAAAGGATGAGTTCATGTCCTTTGCAGGGACACGGATGAAGCTGGAAACCATCATTCTCAGCAAACTATCACAAGGATAGAAAACCAAACACCACATGTTCTCACTCATAAGTGGAAGCTGAACAATGAGAACACATGGACACAGGGAGGGAAACATCACAAACCAGGGCCTTTTAGGGGGTGAGGGGTACAGGAGGGATAGCATTGGGAGAAACACCTAATGTAGATGACGGATTGATGGGTGCAGCAAACTACAATGGCACGTGTGTACCTGTGTAATAAACCTATGCATTCTGCACATGTATCCCAGAAAAGTATAATTTTTTAAAAAAGATTAAAAAGGAATATATAATAGAGTTCATTTCCTATCTGATTACTGTAAAACAATAAAATGAGTCAAAAATTAAAAAAAAAATAAAACACAAGTGTGGGGTGTGACATGGCATTTTGCACACCCAGCATGCTCCCACATGATGCCAACTCTACTGCTCTCGAGACCACACTGAATAGCAAGGCTTCATGTCACAAAGTTAAGAAATTGATCATAAACTGTTGTATAAAAAAAGGAAATTTCGTATGAGATAGGGCAGCAATTTGAACTTAAATAACTATTTATGTGTTGATTTTAAAATAATACCTTGTCATCAAAGTAGTTACAGAAATGTAGGGATAGTTGTAAATACTATGTTAAATCACTTTGAAGAAGATATAATCATTGCAGTTTTCAGCAACCTGGTAATTATTTATGTTCAGTCATTAAATGTATTTCAGTGTCTACTGAGTTTAATAACCAGTGTTACAGAAAAAATTTTAAGTGTAAGTCTTAGACATTAGTTATTAGAAGCAGGATAAGTGATAGTTTAGAGTGGAAGATTCAGAGATAAACTCCTCAGGTTCAAAAGCTGGCTTCTCCACATACTCGCCATGTGGCCTGAAAGCAAATTACTCCTCTCTGTGACGTCCATCCTCATCTCTAAAATGGGGATACTCAGAACAGATCTTATAAAGTTGTAACAGGGTTTTAAGAAATAATACATATAAAGCACTTTGTGCAGTGCTTAGCGGTAAACTGTTACAAGTGATGGCTGTTACTACTAGTATTGATACTGTTTAGGAAATACTAAGCTAACTGGTTTTTAAGGATTTGCCAGTGTTCAGATATGGTTCTCAGTATGTGATGTGTTAGTGTGTAATCAGCGATTCCCTCTTTCAGTTTCTAAGGCAGTAAATGATTCATAAGCTGCTTTCTGAGCCACTTGTCACTAAGTGTTGCTGAGGATAGGCTCTGTTGCCTTAGATAACAGAGATGCTCCTGCATCTTAGTTTGCTTTTTGATCAGCAGTTTTGATCATGAGGTAAATACACATTTGGAAATCATTCATTCACTTTGTATTAAGTAGCAACAAACCAGTGAGCTAAATGAATGTTACTGTCCTCAGTCAAAACCAATTTTCAAATATAAAAATAATTCTTAATATTCATCATTCGTTTCAGTCTCTAACCATCAAAAAGCAGTTGCTTTACCATTATTCATAATCCATCCTCAAAATGATTAAATAAATTTCTGTTGTCCTACCTATAGGAGCTCTCTAATTTTCTCCTGAATTGTATAATTCACTTACTCTAAGGTTTTTGTAATTCAGACCTAAGGATCTCTTGGTCTTAGTTTCTATCTTGGCTTCCTTCTGCTTAACAAACCACATGGCAGCCAGGCCTTTTAGTAAGTTAATTAGATATTTTTGGACTAAATTGAGTTAGTCTTATATGGTGGCTAACAAAACAAACAGTTCTACAACTTTTCTAGGCCTTTTGATAGCAACTTAATGTAACATAAACTAAGATTTAATATGTGGACTCTTTCCCTTCCTCCTATGACTCTTTTCTGCTTCAGGAGAAGAGACTAAGGTAGGAAATGGCTCCTTTTATCCTTCCTCAGGAGGTTTCCTCTCTGCTTTGTGTAGGATAGTTTAAGGATGGCCAGTTTGAGCATGTCTAGGAACCACACAGGTAACACAGATTATACCTGGCTTAGAAAAACCACATTCCTTTATTCTTATGACTCATGTTTTAAGCATGCATACTTTGTAAAGCTAATATAGCACTCTTCATTTTATCTTGATAAACGTTTGTATAAACATTTTTTCTCTTTTGATAATTTTGTTATTAAAGATTACAAACTTAGAAGAGCAATTAGAACAGTTTAGAGAAGAACTGGAAAATAAGAATGAAGAAGTTCAACAATTACATATGCAATTAGAAATACAGAAAAAGGAATCTACTACCCGCCTACAAGAACTTGAACAGGAAAACAAATTATTTAAGGTAATTAGTTAAGAAAAACTTTTATCTGTAAATAAGTCATAGTTTCAGTCCTATATTGCTTTATTATTATTATTATTATTATTTCTTTCTTTTTTTTTTTTTTTTTGAGACTTAGTCTCACTCTGTTGCCCAGGCTGGAGTGCAATGGTGTGATCTCGGCTCATTGCAAGCTCCGCCTCCCTGGTTCAAGCAATTCTGCCTCAGCCTCCCGAGTAGCTGGGACTATAGGCACGTACCACCACGCCTGGCTAATTTTTGTATTTTTAGTAGAGATGGGGTTTCACCGTGTTAGCCAGGATGCTCTCGATCTCCTGACCTCGTGATCCGCCTGTCTTGGCCTCCCAAAGTGCTGGGATTACAGGCGTGAGCCACCACACCTGGCCCCTATATTGCTTTATTAAGCATTCGATAAATCCAGCTGTTAAATAATACTCAACAGAGGAACATTAACAGGCAGACACATTTGCATACAGCTTATTTTCAGCCCAACCTGAACATTTGAATTCATCATAAATGAAAATTTTGGGATCATTTATCAAAATATTTTAGAATTATTGATTTACAGTAACCATATGGTGTCTCTGATTTTATTCATTTGTACGTTATAGGCTCTGATTTCTTTTGTAATTATGTTCTGAAAATGATAGGTAATGATATATCCAACTGTGATAATTATTTTTGTTCCTAGGATGACATGGAGAAACTGGGACTTGCCATAAAGGAATCTGATGCCATGTCTACTCAAGACCAACATGTGCTATTTGGGAAATTTGCTCAAATAATACAGGAAAAAGAGGTAGAAATTGACCAATTAAATGAACAAGTTACGAAACTCCAGCAGCAACTTAAAATTACAACAGATAACAAGGTATACTCATTTAAAATTGATTATGAAATTAATATGAACCAGAGTTTTAAAGGGCAAAATGGTTATAATGTTGCTCCCCATTGAATTTAAAAAACAAACCAATTTTATTTTATTTTATTTTATTTTATTTATTTTTTTTGAGACAGAATCTCGCTCTGTCGCCCAGGCTGGAGTCCAATGGTGCAACCTCGGCTCACTGCAACCTCCACCTCCTAGGTTCAAGTGATTCTCCTGCCTCAGCCTCCCGAGTAGCTGGGATTACAGGCACCCACCATCACACCTGGCTAATTTTTTGTATTTTTAATAGAGATGGGGTTTCACCATGTTGACCAGGCTGGTCTCTATCTCCTGATGTCAGGTGATCCACCCACCTCAGCCTCCCAAAGTGCTGGTATTACTGGCATGAGCCACCACGCCTGGCCCAATTCTCTTTTATTAATTTTAATTTATTAAGACACATTGGTGGCCAGGCACAGAGGCTCACACCTGTAATCCTTATACTTTAGGAAGCCTAGGTGGGCGGATTGCTTGGGCCCAGGAGTTCAAGACCAGCCTGGGCAACATGGTGAAACTTTGTCTCTACAAAAAATATAAAAATTAACTGGACATGGTGGCATACCACCTGTAGTCCCAGCTGCAGTGAGCCTCATCATGCCACTGCACTCCAGCTTGGGTGACAGAGTGAGACCCTGTCTCAAAAAGAAAAAAAAAAAAAAGCAAAGACACATTGGTTTAATAATTTATATGTATTTTTCTCCCCTCCTAATATTGTCATAGGATTCTAATGTTTTTCAGAAAGGCTCTGTGACTTAGATTTTATCATGTTATTCTAACCAAATCTATTATAAATTATAATATTTAATATGAGTTAAGTAAGGTAATTACCTTTGGTGCCATCGGTTGTAGACTTTATTTCCGTACTTCATCCTTTTCCATTAAGAAGTATTGATATTGACTATTTTCCTAATAGGGAATCAGCAACTAAAAGCTTATATTACTTTATACTTAACAGAACTTTCTGAGCCTTGTTTGATATGATGGGGGAGATATTGGTCTATAATGAAATTAAGTAGTATGTCTGAGAAGTAGTGTATTATTTTTGTGTGTGATCATCTCTTTGAGGTACTGCCCTAAAATAAAGTAAAATTTTCAAAATGTAAATACATATATATTATGTATGTTACCTTTTTCATTAATTATTAGGTTATTGAAGAAAAAAATGAACTGATAAGGGATCTTGAAACCCAAATAGAATGTTTGATGAGTGATCAAGAATGTGTGAAGAGAAATAGAGAAGAAGAAATAGAGCAGCTCAATGAAGTGATTGAAAAACTTCAACAGGAATTGGCAAATATTGGACAGAAGACATCAATGAATGCTCATTCCCTCTCAGAAGAAGCAGACAGTTTAAAACATCAATTGGATGTGGTTATAGCTGAAAAGCTGGCCTTGGAACAGCAAGTAGAAACCGCTAATGAAGAAATGACCTTCATGAAAAATGTACTTAAAGAAACCAATTTTAAAATGAATCAGCTAACACAGGAATTATTCAGCTTAAAGAGAGAACGTGAAAGTGTGGAAAAGATTCAAAGCATACCAGAGAATAGTGTTAACGTGGCTATAGATCATCTGAGCAAAGACAAACCTGAACTAGAAGTAGTCCTTACAGAGGATGCTCTTAAATCCCTAGAAAATCAGACATACTTCAAATCTTTTGAAGAAAATGGCAAAGGTTCCATAATTAATTTGGAAACAAGGTTGCTACAACTTGAGAGCACTGTTAGTGCAAAGGACTTAGAACTTACCCAGTGTTATAAACAAATAAAAGACATGCAAGAACAAGGCCAGTTTGAAACAGAAATGCTTCAAAAGAAGATTGTAAACCTACAGAAAATAGTTGAAGAAAAAGTGGCTGCTGCTCTTGTCAGTCAAATCCAACTTGAGGCAGTTCAGGAATATGCAAAATTCTGTCAAGATAATCAAACAATTTCATCAGAACCTGAAAGAACAAATATTCAGAATTTAAATCAACTAAGAGAAGATGAGTTGGGGTCAGATATATCAGCATTAACCTTGAGAATATCAGAATTAGAAAGCCAGGTTGTTGAAATGCATACTAGTTTGATTTTAGAAAAAGAACAAGTAGAAATTGCAGAAAAAAATGTTTTAGAAAAAGAAAAGAAGCTGCTAGAACTACAGAAGCTATTGGAGGGCAATGAGAAAAAACAGAGAGAGAAAGAAAAGAAAAGAAGCCCTCAAGATGTTGAAGTTCTCAAGGTTAGTTTTGTATTTTATTAGTTTCATTTAAATACCCCAAGAAACTAAGCTGATTGCTAATTTACTAAATATGGTGTTCTGTTTACATCTAACAATTTATACAAGAAGGTTTTTATAAAAATATACCACTTATAAAAAATAAACTCTTGTTAAAAGAAAAACTAGGACAGGCGCGGTGGCCCACGCCTGTAATCCCAGCACTTTGGGAGGCCGAGGCGGGTGGATCTTGAGGTCAGGAGATCGAGACCATCCTGTCTAACACGGTGAAACCCCGTCTCTACTAAAAATACAAAAAATTATCCGGGCGTGGTGGTGGGTGCCTGTAGTCCCAGCTACTCGGGAGGCTGAGGCAGGAGAATGCTGTGAACCCGGGAGGCAGAGCTTGCAGTGAGCCAAGATCGCGCCACTGCACACTCCAACCTGGGTGACAGAGCGAGACTCCATCTCAAAAAAAAAAAAGAAGAAGAAAAACTAGACAAACTAAATTTACGAGAGTTTATTTGAACAAAAAAGGATTCACGTATTGGGTAGCATTCAGAACCAGAGGAGTTTCACAAATCTCTTTTGTGCAACAGTGGCCAGTGAATATTTATAGACAGAACTACCAAATAAAATACAGAAATAGCTTGATTAGTTACAGTTAGGTGTTTGCCTTATTTGGACCCAGTCTGCTCAGTTGACTGCTTGTCATTAGCTAAGAGTTGGCTGTTTATTATACTCCTAAGATACGTTTTCAGTTTGCTTACGTACTCCTAAGTTAGATTGTAGTTCCTTACATAGGAACTCAAGATACAGAGACAGCCTCAGGCCAAATTTAACTTAACACTGTGTAGTCATATTATTATCACTAAAATAATGGATACAGACTGTATTTTATGGTCTTTAAATATGATATTTATTTCATTAACATCATCATTAAATGGAGCAGTCAGAAGAAACTAAGAAACATTAATTTTAGCAAATGTTCTCTAGGATTTATGGGGATTTTTTTCTTAATTTGCTTCTAATATGCATGTTATGTTATCATTCCTTTTAAGTAATAATAAGTATGAAAATATGTTAGGATTGACAAAGAATGCAGACTTTACAGAAAGAAATCTATTATTTAATAGCATCTACTGAATTAATTAATGTGTGGGTGACATATTTTACAATTTTTTTTTTTTCTTGAGACAGAGTCTCGCTCTGTCGCCCAGGCTGGAGTTCAGTGGTGTGATCTCAGCTCACTGCAGCCTCCACCTCCTGGGTTTCCAGCAATTCTCCTGCCTCGGCCTCCCAGGCGGCTGGGATTACAGACACGCACCACCACACCCGGCTAATTTATATATATATATATATATATATATTTTTTTTTTTTTAGTAGAGACGAGGTTTCTCCATGTTAGCCAAGCTGGTCTCAAACTCCTGACCTCAAGTGATCCGCCTGCCTTGGCCTCCCAAAGTGCTAGGATTACAGGTGTTAGCCACTGCGCCTGGCCAGCTTTTACAAATTTTATACCTGATAATAGATTTCATCTGTTTTAAGTAAAAATGCGTAGTTGACCTCTGTAAGTTTACTTATGAGAAGATCTGAAATCGCAGTTATTTCTTAGCATATGACAGATAGGACAAGAGCTTTTTTTTCCTCCAAATTCTCACCTTATAAATTTATAACTTTGAGTAGCTGAACTTCAGTCTTCTCCAAACACCAGAAGATTAACTGATAAATCACAATTCTATAATTATATATTTTGCAAAGAATAATAATTCCCTGGCTTTTTCCTCCTTCATTGGAACTAAGTTACTTAAGTTATAGATAATTAAAATAGTAATATAACTTTCTTTTTTTCCTGGACACAGAGTCTTGCTTTGTTGCCCAGGCTGAAGTTTAGTGGCGCAGTCTTGGCTCATTGCAACCTCTCCCTCCTGAGCAGCTGGGACTACAGGTGTGCACCACAACACCTGGCTAATTTTTGTATTTTTTGTAGAGACAGGGTTTCGCCACGTTGCCCAGACTGGCCTCAAACTCCTGGCCTCAAATGATCTACCTGTCTCAGCCTCTCAAAGTGCTGGGATTACAGGCGTGAGCCACCGTGCCTGGCCTAAAATAGTAATGTAACTTTCCATTTTAGGATGTATATGAATAACATTACTTACCTTTTATTCCCAGAAAATCATTCTTTTCTCAAGAAGAAAATCATTGTCTCAAGAATATAAGATGATGGTTCTGAAAAAGCTTCTCTGTTTTTGGAAAGAGCATTGATTTGTTCCAACTCCTTATATCTGTAGGCAGTCATTCCTTGGATGGTTTTATTAGAATGTATAAGAGCCTTGAATTTAGCTATATTTTTTTTAAATTATGTGTTTCTTGTGTTTCCGCTGTCATTCAGACAACTACTGAGCTATTTCATAGCAATGAAGAAAGTGGATTTTTTAATGAACTCGAGGCTCTTAGAGCTGAATCAGTGGCTACCAAAGCAGAACTTGCCAGTTATAAAGAAAAGGCTGAAAAACTTCAAGAAGAGCTTTTGGTAAGATAAGTAACATAGCTCCTAATTCACTCATTTCTACCTATCTTAATTACGTTTCAAAGTATATACTCTTTTATAACAAATGAGCTCCATAACTTAAAAGCTAGATAAAAAGTATTTTGTGGATTTGATGAAAACTTTCATTGTTATAAATTTCTTTACCAACATCTTCTTGCTTGGTTTTCCTGGAAATCTTTCTTAGGAGGATACTTTTTATTTCCATTCTGTTAATGAAGGAGTAGAAAGTTGTTAAAGAGAACTGTATATCCCATGAGAACCAAAAATAGAAGCTAATAAAATTATTTCATTTCTATAGTAATCTATGACCATACGTACATACAAATATATATATGTAAACTGTGAGCGTTTCTGAAATGTTTTTCCTACTACTCTGAGGAAAATGAACGTATAATCATGAATTACATTCCTCCCACACCCTTTAAATTCTACATTTAATATGGGAAGATTTTAACTGAATGCCCTACTGTTCTATTCATTACGTTTTAGGTAAAAGAAACAAATATGACATCTCTTCAGAAAGACTTAAGCCAAGTTAGGGATCACCTCGCAGAGGCAAAAGAGAAATTGTCCATTTTAGAAAAAGAAGATGAGACTGAGGTACAAGAAAGCAAAAAGGCCTGCATGTTTGAGCCACTTCCTATAAAACTGAGTAAGAGCATTGCATCCCAGACAGATGGGACTCTGAAGATCAGTAGCAGCAATCAGACTCCACAAATTCTTGTTAAAAATGCAGGAATACAAATTAATTTACAGAGTGAATGTTCCTCAGAAGAAGTTACTGAAATAATCAGTCAGTTTACTGAAAAAATTGAGAAGATGCAAGAACTACATGCTGCTGAAATTTTGGACATGGAATCCAGACATATTTCAGAAACTGAAACCTTAAAGAGGGAACACTATGTTGCCGTTCAGTTACTGAAAGAGGAATGTGGTACCTTGAAGGCAGTGATACAGTGTCTGAGAAGTAAAGAGGTATTTGGTTTTTATAATATGTGTTTTTCAACATTGTGTGGTTTTTTAAAAAAAAAAAATCAGTTTAATTCATTTTGTAGATGACAAACCAAAATGCAACTCATTAAGGCACTTGATCTTTCTAAGTAGGTGTATTATCAAGGCAAGTTTTAAACTCCTAGTACAATATTCCTTTTTTTTCTTTTGTTATACTTTAAGTTCTGGGATACACGTGCAGGATGTGCAGGTTTGTTACACAGGTATACACGTGCCATGGTGGTTTGCTGCACCCATCAACCCGTCATCTACATTAGGTATTTCTCCTAAAGCTGTCCCTCCCCTAGCACCTCACCCCCGACAGGCCCCAGTGTGTGATGTTCCCCTCCCTGTGTCCATGTGTTCTCATTGTTTAACTCCCACTTATGAGTGAGAACATGCAGTGTTTGGTTTTCTGTTCTTGTGTTAGTCCGCTGAGAATGATGGTTTCCAGCTTCATCTATGTCCCTGCAAATGACATGAACGCATCCTTTTTTATGGCTACATAGTATTCCATGGTGTATATGTGCCACATTTTCTTTATCCAGTTTATCATTGATGGGCATTTGGGTTGGTTCCAACACTGTGTGCTTTTAAGAGAAAATAAAAAAACGGGGGCAGTCTCTTCCTTATGATCGCAATTTTAATGGTTTTGAACTTTTTTAAATTTAAAGAGTTTTTAGTTTTAAATTTCTTTAAATCTTTCCATTGCATAGAGTTAAATAATATATGATGTTCCTGTATGGATTTGGAACATGTTATCTTTCCTTAATTCATGAGTATCTCTTCTTATGGTAATATTCATGAAGAAACAGACTTGTTAAAAAAAAAAACCATGAATAATTTCATTTATTATGAAAGGTGTGACAGATTTGATTGATTACAGCACGGGAAACCAGCAAAATAATTCATTGTATTCTATTTTTATTAAAGCAAAAAATATATGTACTTTTTGTTTTCTCTAATTAGGGATCCTCAATTCCTGAGCTAGCACATTCTGATGCTTACCAGACTAGAGAAATATGCTCCAGTGGTAAGTTATATAAATATTTGTAATGTTTGTAGTAGTTGTTTAAGAAATAATAGTTTTTTGGGGACTGGGGTTTGATTTTTTTTTTTTTAACAGCAAATTATTTTCTTTATTTTAGATTCTGGATCAGACTGGGGTCAGGGAATTTATCTTACACACAGTCAGGGATTTGACATAGCATCAGAAGGCCGAGGAGAAGAAAGTGAAAGTGCAACAGATTCCTTTCCAAAGAAAATAAAGGTACTAAAAGATAGATACCTTTTATTAACTCAGCCAGTGTTGTTTCTATGTTGAACATAGCAGTTCATTAGAAGTTATATGGTGGGATCATTTCTGAAGAGAGAATTGCTTAGCTAGAAGGAATCTGAGAGATCTATTTTATTTCCACATTTCACAGATAATAAAGTAAGAGATTAATGATAATATGTATGAAGACTTTTTTTCTTAATAATTCTTATTCCTGATGTATTCGTTTGCCAGAATTTTTAAAGTAGTCTCAAAGAGTAGAAGTTAGAGCCCATGTATTTATTTTGGTCAAATCAGTAGCTTATCAGTAAACCTAGGAAGAGTACATTAGCCAAACAGAAGGAACTTAGAGATGAGAGCTATGGAAAGTCATAGGCCATCTGCTGGGGTTGGCTTACCCCTCCACAGGAAGAAGGCATTCAGTAATGTTGGGCTGGAGTTTTCTCTCTGCAAGCTATCTTGCTTAAAATTTATTTCTGTTTGTAAGTCTAATTTTTCAGTCTGTGAAGAAGTTGTCATAATTCTGGCTCTTGGGTTTTGGTTTCCAGGGATTACTGAGAGCTGTCCATAATGAAGGCATGCAGGTGCTTTCTCTCACTGAGTCTCCCTATAGTGATGGAGAGGACCATTCTATTCAGCAGGTTTCAGAACCTTGGCTAGAAGAGAGAAAAGCTTACATCAATACAATCTCATCTCTAAAGGATTTAATTACAAAGATGCAACTGCAAAGAGAAGCCGAGGTAACCAAAGAATACTATGCATTTAAATCATTTTATGTATTATTTGAACAATAATAATACATTATAAATTAAATTATCTTTTATACATATTTTTGCATGAATAACTATATATATATATTTTCACACTTGAAACTCAGCCAGAAGCAGTGCCTCATGCCTGTAATCCCAGCACTTTGGGAGGCCGAGGTGGGTGGATCACCTGAAGTCAGGAGTTCAAGACCAGCCTGGCCAACATGTTGAAACCCGTCTCTACTAAAAATACAAAAATTAGCCAGGCGTGGTGGTGGGTGCCTGTAATCCCAGCTACTCAGGAGAATCGCTTGAACCTGGGAGGTGGAGGTTGCAGTGAGCTGAGATCATGCCACTGCACTCCAGCCTGAGCAACAGAGTGAGACTGTCTCAAAAAGAAAAAAATAAATAAATAAAAGAAGTACACATGCTCCTAGGCTTTTAATTATTTTTCTTTGTAGATTAATATTTTTAGAATGTTTTTAAAACATGCTTATTTGAAAACTAACTATCGTTATATGTACTTTGCTAGGTTTATGATAGTTCTCAATCTCATGAGAGCTTCTCAGACTGGCGAGGTGAACTACTGCTTGCCCTTCAACAAGTTTTCTTAGAAGAGCGTAGTGTTTTACTAGCAGCATTTCGGACGGAGCTGACAGCTCTAGGTACTACAGATGCAGTTGGTTTACTAAACTGTTTGGAACAGAGAATACAAGAACAGGTATAATGAAACTTCATTTTAAAAACACTTTAATAGAAATAAGGAAATGACTATTGATTTTAGAGTCTTAATTTAAGTATGAAGGTTAAGATTTTAATAGGAGCCACTATGAATATTTTAAAAAAATTATTGTAACTATTTTAACGTATTATGTTAGAAGGTAAGAAAGACTGAAAGTTAATGAGCTTATTTTCTAACCTAGGAAATTAGAAAAAGAGCAACAGAATAATCCCAAACAAATTTGAGAGAGTAAATTCTCATTATTTGCACTGGTTATGTTCCATAAAGTTGCTCTGAACATTGAGCGGTCATTGCTCCTAAGGGAAATACAAGGTTAGGTTCCTGTAAGCCTTTGGTCACAACATTTTCATCAGTCAGCACATAACCTTGTCTATATGTGATTCTATTTTAAGACACCTTATTTACTATATATTATTGATTGATTAACCTTGAACACCACCAACAGCACTATAACTCATGCCTGAAAAAAACTTGTCTGACACACATATTTTCTCCTTAAGGCACATCACAGCCTTCTCGTACTTAGGAACACCATAAAGCACTTCAGCACTACTTTTGGGGGCCATTCTAAACAGTGAAATCACAAATAAAAGGCACAAAAATTTGAAAAGTCACTAAGTACTCTGTAAAAAGGACATTTGACTTCAGCTGGGGACACCCACATTGGACCATTTAAATTTTTTGCTGCTGTATGCATTTCTGTGAAAGACCATGAAAGCAACACAACAATGGATTTGGGAGTTACAAATACATTTTAGTGAGAAGGCAAATCTGCAAATATGGAATCAGAATAATGAGGATTCCCTTTAACGAAGAAGACGACGTCAATAGACACACTGGTACAATAGGATAAAATGTTAAAAGTTGGACATTTGAACTTTTCTGGAGAATTGGTTAAGCAAAATGATAAAGCACACATTTTTAAAGTTAGGAATGAACTAAAGATATACCTGAGATATAAAAATAATAGAATATTATGAATAATTTCATGAGAGTAAACTTAAACACTTGGGTGAAATGGACAGATTTTCTAAAAAGAAATTCACTTATGAAAACTCTTTCAGTAAGAAATAGAAGACCTCCAAAGACCTATTACTAGTAACAGAATCAAATCAATAGTTAAAAATCTACTCATAATACTTAACACCCAGATCTTTTTTTTTAATATATTCTCCACTGAAAAGAACTAGGACTTCTTGTAGAACTGATGATTCTAGGGATGGACCAGGGAAAGTATAAGGTGAGCCTGGAACATCTTGTTTTGCTGGCAAGTAAGGAATTGTTCAAAGAATGAAGGGAACATGTCGAAAGGTCATAGAAGCCAGCTTGAAGGAGCTCCAATTGACCAAATTCTAGAAAAATTTAAACATTATATTAAATGATAGTGACAAATTATAAGCCAAAGAGTGAAATAAGAACTCATGAGACCATACTGATATAAATAAATAAATATATATATAAATAAATAAATAGTATTACCATGGAATGACAGCTAGTAAATGTAGAAGGAACAATGAAATTAGGAAATCACCCTTTATTAAACACTGTAGTGTTAAATCACCCTTTATTAAACACTATTCAGGCAATAGTTCGCAACAGATGCTAAAACTAGTGTGAAAAGGTTTGTTAAGAAAGTATATTTACATAGTCTCAAAGTAAATCCCCAGAAAATCTTCTTTAATTACCAGGGAAAAGCAGTAACTTTACAGTGGAGAAACCTTGCAGATACCACCTTAACCAAGTGATCAGAATTACTATTACCAGAAATGGAATAGACATCATACAGTTCCTAATGTGAAGGGCACGATGCCACTTTTGTAGTGTTTTTGTCAAATGAATATTCAGAGTCTACTCTTGGGGAAATATCAGACCAAAACAAATTGAGAACACTACATCTATCAAAATAAAAAATAGTGACAGCAAGTACTGGAGAGGATGAAAAGAAACTGTCTCATAGATTGCTGGTAGCAATGTGAAATGGGAGGGCAATAGCCAAAAACTGGAATGTTCTTTGACAGGGGAATGGATGGACAAAATGTGGTACATCCATACAATGAAATATTACTCAGCAATTAAAAAGAAACAAACTATTTATGCCTACAACCACTTGTATGCTATATAATGCTCTTAAAATGACAAAATTATAGTAATAGAAAGCAGATCAGTGGTTGACAGGGGTTAGGGTTAGGGAGAGAGTTTGACTACAGAGGAGTTTCTTCGTGGTGAGAAAACAGTTGGTACTCTGATGGTAGTGGTGGTTACGTGAACCTATCCATACATGTGATCAAATTTTGTAGGACTACACACCAAGAAAACTAATGATCAAATTTTGTAGGACTACACACCAAGAAAACTAATGTGAAAACTAATGAAATCTGAGTAAGCCCTATAGTTTGGTATTGTACTAATACCATTTTCCTGGTTTTGATAATATACTATGGTAATGCAAGATGGTATCATTGGGAAAAGCTGGCTAACAGATACATGGGAACTTTAGCTTTAATTAATTCAAAATAAAAAGTTTTTTAAAATTGAGGAACGTACAACAAAATAGCCTGTAGTCTTCAAAAATTCAAGGTCATGAAAGACAAAGAAAGACTTGGGAATATCACTTTTTTTCTTTTTGCTGTGAAGTACATTTCACAAAATTTGAATAGGCTCTGTATATCACATAATAGTATTGTAGTAATGTTAATTCCACTTTTGCTAATTGTAGTTATGTAAAAGAATGTTCTTGTTTTAAGGAAATACACTCTGGTATTTAGAGGTAAATGAGCATTTGTCTGCAGCATATCCTCATACATTTTGGAAAGGAAAAATAAGAAAATTTTTTAAAAAAGAAAATTTTAGTATGTGTGTTCCATTCATTCTTCTTTAGATTTCTTGGTTGTTAATTGTATTGCCTTTACATTGCTCTTCACTTGTTTTTTACCTTCCTTTGTTACAGGGTGTTGAATATCAAGCAGCTATGGAATGCCTCCAGAAAGCAGATAGAAGGAGTTTGTTATCTGAAATTCAGGCACTGCATGCACAAATGAATGGTAGGAAAATTACTCTGAAAAGAGAACAAGAGAGTGAGAAACCAAGCCAAGGTATGTTGTATGACAAGCTCATATGGTTACACAAACAGGTGAAAAGATTTCACTTTGTTTTCTTTCTTATTATTATTAAGTTAAAACATATTTTCTTGGTCACATTTTCTTCTCATTCTCATAATGTTAAGGATACAATCTATATTAATTACTCTAGGGGTTAGAGGATTGTCTAATTGGTTTAAACAGCTACGTTGACTTTAAAATAAACTGCCATTCCCCTGATAAGGTTAAGCCCATTGGATTCATTCTTTTTCTTTATTTTAGAGCTGTATGTTAAGAAAACAGTCTTTCCAATCATAAAACAGAAAATACTCTTTAGAGGAAAATCCACAATGCATGTAACTAATTATTTTTTAATCCTTTTTTAAAAAAATTGTGAGCCATAACATACAGAAAATTACAAATTGCAAATATGCAGTATGACGCATTTTTAAATGAGTATCTATGGAAACATCACCCATGTGAATATAGCCAGTATCCCAACAGCCCCTTCTCCCAAGCACATGCTCCTCTGAGTAACTTAGAGGTAATCATTGTTCTGATTTTTCTTTAGTTTTACTATCTATTTATATATTCCTAAAACATTTAAGTTTCAAGTTTTTTTCTGTTTTTGAACTTTATCAATCTGTATGTATTTTTTATCTTGTTTCTTTCACCTCTCTGTAACATTCTTCCAACATTCTTCCAAGTTACTGCATTTTTCAAGTTACTGCATTCTTCCAAATTAGTAGTAGAACATTCTTCCAAGTTACTGCATTTATCTCTAGTTCATTCATTCTTGTTACTCTATAACTCTATGACCCTGTGTAGGGCCAGGCACGGTGGCTTACACCTGTAATCCCAGCACTTTGGGAGGCTGACGTGGGTGGATCACGAGGTCAGAAGTTCAAGATGAGCCTAGCCAAAATGGTGAAACCCAGTCTCTACTAAAAATACAAAAATTAGCCAGGCGTGGTGGCGGGTGCCTGTAAGGCCAGCCACTCAGGAGACTGAAGCAGAGAATTACTTGAACCCAGAAGGTGGAGGTTGCAGTGAGCTGAAATCACACCACTGCACTCTAGCCTGAGCGACAGAGCAAGACTCCATCTCAAAAAAAAAAAAAAAAAAAAGAATTTCCTGTATAGATACTCCAAAATTAATATATCCATTCTATTAATATGATTGAGCATTTGGGTTGTTTCTACTTTTTAGCTGTTTAGCTATCAATGTTATTATAAACATTGTTGTATAGTGTTTCTGCTACATATGTGCATGCATCTTCTGAGTATATGACTAAGAGCAGAATTGCTGGGTCATGGAATGCCTATCTTAGATAAGGTCAAATGATTTTCCTACATAGTCATATTAGTTTATACACTTAGTAGCAGTATATGAGAGTTACGTTGCTTCACATCTTTGCCAACAGTTAGTATAGTCAGACTTCTGTTGCCAATCTGATGGGTGTGCAGTGGATTCTTATTGTGGTTTTAATTGGCTGTTCTCTAGTTCCTGAAGGGTTTAGTCCTTTTTCATATGGTAATTGGCTAGTTGGATTTTTATTTTTGTGATATGCTTGTTTAGGTACTTTTTGATAACAGTATCTGGTCTTTTAAATTGAGCTACAGATGGAAATCATTAGAAAGTAAAGTGAAATCTAATTTTCATCATGTCCACTGAGGACACATACCTGTGTGTTCAGTAATTTTGTGTCATGTACTGGTAGAAACATGTATCCTTTGGAAAATTTTGAAAGTCACAGCATGGTCTCACATTGGTCATTATAAAGCTGAAGCAGGCTGGGCCCTGTGGTTCACGCCTGTAATCCCAGCACTTTGGGAGGCCGAGGTGGGAGGATCACGAGGTCAGGAGTACGAGACCAGCCTGGCCAACATGGTGAAACCCCATCTCTACTAAAAATACAAAAATTAGCTTGGCGTGATGCTCGGTGCCTGTAATCCCAGCTACTCGGGAGGCTGAGGCAGGAGAATCGTCTGAACTTAGGAGGCAGAGGTTGCAATGAGTTGGGATCGTGCCATTGTACTCCAGCTTGGACGACAGGGCAAGACTCTGTCTCAAAAAAAAAAAACAAAAAAAAAAAACAAAGCAGAAGCATTCTTACCACTGAGTTTAAGAAGGAAAAAAAAAAGCAGGTTAAAATTACTTCAGAAAAGAGAGTCATAATGAGATAAACATATCACTTTAAACGTAGGCGTAATTGAAGATGTCTTTTAGAGATAGATTAATATTGTTTTACTTAGGTTAAATAGAACACCATTGAAAGCTTAATGTCACAGATTCACATTTATGTAAATCCTTAACCTCTAAAGTTTTTAGAAGCCTAAATTAAACATGATTGATTATCATCTAAAGCTAATGTTATTTCTGTCTCCTAACGTCAGTAATATGAATTGTAATGTGAATTGTTGAACTTTGATAGTATTTTTTAAGTTAAAAATGTTTTTCTTATTAGAGTAGTATAGTATTACATATTTATGGTAGAATACAGAAAAGAATAGAGTGAAAATCATCCCTTGAATCACCTAAATCCTAAAATAATGACTACCTAACACCTGGGTAAATATGTCTCCAGACCTTTTCAATGTGCATGTGTACATAAGCTTGTATTTTTCATAAAAAAGGAATCCTGATACATATTTTATAACATACTTTTTTTCATTTAACATACTGAGGCATTTAAAATTTTCAGTTTGTTTTTATTGTAGCAAACATGTAGTAAGGGTTTGGTTGGCTTTCAATGGATAAAAGGACGGTATCCAAAGGGGGGTTTGAATTTCCCACTTCTGGGAACAGACTCCTATTAAAGTTCCAGGGGACTATCTGCAGTGGGGTGCTGAACAAAAGATATCAGCAGTGCTCATCATTGTAGTAACTTGGGTAACTCCTCCAAATACTTTGTGTGACTATCAGAAATCTTTGGAATTTTTTAATGTACATTCTTGAAATTCTGAATGTACAAATATGAGTTCCATTTAAAGTTTTTTTTTTTAATTTTAAGTCTTGCATCCATTAATGTATTCTCTTAAACTTTTATCCTTATATATTTATAGCTCTGAAATCTTGGCCACTAGCACTATGAGGAAAACATGCCTGAAATTTATTTTTATACGTTACCAACCCTTTTTGTTTGTTTTTTTGAGACAGGGTCTCACTGTCACTGAGGCTGGAGTACAGTGGCATGGTCTCAACTCATTGCAACCTCCACCTCCCGGGCTCAAGCAATCCCCCCACCTCAGCCTCCTGAGTCGATGGGACTACAGGCACATGCCAGCACGCCCAGCTAATTTTTGTATTTTTAGTAGAGACAGAGTTTCACCATGTTGCCCAGGCTGGTCTTGAACTCCTGGCCTTAAGCAGTCCTCCCTCCCACCTCAGCCTCCCAAAGTGCTGGGATTACAGGTGTGAGCCACCATGCCTGGACTGCATTACCAACTCTTGGGACTATAATTTTTCATGTTTCCTTTGAAGTAATCTCCTTAACTACAAATCAGTTCTTATCAACAAATATTTATAAACCAAATATGAGTTGCTTGATTATGTTTCAAATATTAATCATGTTCTGTGTAGAACTCTTGGAATATAATATACAGCAGAAGCAGTCTCAAATGCTGGAGATGCAAGTGGAGCTCAGCAGTATGAAAGACAGAGCAACGGAACTGCAGGAGCAGCTGAGTTCTGAGAAAATGGTGGTTGCTGAACTGAAGAGTGAGCTTGCACAAACTAAATTGGAACTAGAAACAACACTCAAGGCACAGCATAAACACCTAAAAGAATTGGAGGCTTTCAGGTGTGCCAGGCTTCCTTATTAAAAACATGTAACAAGGAGTGGGAGTAATTTTGTCATAAACACTGTGCAAATATAGAGAAATGTAACATGCATGATATTTAAATAGCATGCAACTGTTTTTTTTAGGAAAAACTATAATAGAAAAAACTCTAAATGTTTCCAAATGATGAACTTATGATCGTGATTATAGCATATTCTCTACTGTGACTTCAGTTCTGTGTGAGACTTGTATGAAATAGAATTTTGACTTTGACCTTTATTTTACCATCAACCAATTTGAAGTGATATTTATGAACGCAGTAGAATTCATGATTGAGTGAGCTAAAATATGCAAAATATTTGAAGAGACAATGCTTGTTAAAAGAATATATTTCTTGGTATAAATACTGAGATATTCTGTTGCCAAAGACACATTACAACTAGTCATTTTTATATTGAACATTAGCTTCACACACAAATAGATATGGTGATTCCCATGTTCAGTAAAAGACAAAAATTTTATTTACTTTTTATTTATTTATTTATTTTATTTTATTTTTATTTAATTGTTTTGAGATGGAATCTCGCTCTGTCGCCCAGACTGGAGTGCAATGGCATGATATTGGCTCACTGCAACCTCCACCACCCGGGTTCAAGTGATTCTCCTGCCTCAGCCTTCTGAGTAGCTGGGATTATAGGCACCCGCCACCATGCCTGGCTAATTTTTGTATTTTCAATAGAGACAGAGTTTCACCATGTTGACCATGCTGGTCTCGCACTCCTGACCTCAGGTGACCCACCCACCACGGCCTCCCAAAGTGCCGGGATTACAGGTGTGAGCCACCATGCCCAGCCAAAATTTTTATTAATACTATTTTGTAACAATAAATTGCATAGTTGTTTGCATTGATAATTAATAACTAGTAATTGTACTACTAGAAACAGTTAATTTGAAGCCAGGTGTGGTGACTAATGCCTGTAATCCCAGCACTTTGGGAGGCCAAGGCAGGTGGATCACCTGAGGTCAGGAGTTCAAGACCAGCCTGGCCAACATGGTGAAACCCCATCTCTACTAAAAATACAAAAAATTAGCCGGGCATGCTGGCATTCACCTGTAATCCCAGCTACATGGGAGGGTGAGGCAGGAGAATCACTTGAACCCGGGAGGCGGAGGTTACAGTGAGCCAGGATCGCGCTATTGCACTCCATCCTGGGTGACAAGAGGGAAACTCCGTCTCAAAAAAAAAGAAAAAAGAGGGCCGGGCGCGGTGGCTCATGCCTGTAATCCGAGCACTTTGGGAGGCCAAGACAGGCGGATCATGAGGTCAGGAGATTGAAACCATCCTGGCCAAAATGGTGAAACTCCATCTCTACTGAAAATACAAAAATTAGCTGGGCGTGGTTGCGGGCACCTGTAGTCCCAGCTACCCGGGAGGCTGAGGCAGGAGAATTGCTTTAACCCGGGAGGTGGAGGTTGCAGTGAGCCGAGATGGCGCTACTGCACTCCAGCCTGGCGACAGAGCGAGACTCCGTCTCGAAACAAAACAACAAAAAAAAGAAAGAGTTAATTTGAAATGAACCCCAGTCAAGAATCTTTAATAGTTTATATTTTCCTCTTAGCTAGTTTATTATATGCCTCAACTTATCAGTAGAAGCTGTTTTTCTCTCTCTCATTATATGCTTCGTCAACATAGCTTTATGGAAATTCATTTGTCTTTCTGACTTAGGTTGGAAGTTAAAGATAAGACAGATGAAGTACATTTGCTTAATGACACATTAGCAAGTGAACAGAAAAAATCAAGAGAGCTCCAGTGGGCTTTGGAGAAAGAGAAAGCCAAGTTGGGACGCAGTGAAGAACGGGATAAAGAAGAACTTGAGGTACTGTTATCTTTGTCTTTAAATGTCTGGAAAATCCAGAATGATAGAAGAGGGTCTTAAGGCTTTCCTCCATCTAAAATGTCAACCTTAGACTTCTTAATAAGATATGGTAAGTTGTTCACTGTGCATTGAATACTACATAAACCGTATTATGAGGAAATGCTAATGGAGTGGTGATTGGTTTTTTTTGTTTGTTTGTTTGTTTTGCTACATCCAAAGATGCATATAGACTGCTCTGCTGCAACATGTTTTGGGCATGTGAATTGGTACACACAGATAAATATGGCAATCCTGTCAGTTTAATACAGAGGTAGTTTTGGTTCCTGTTTTCTCCTAGGGAAGAGGAACAGGGATACTTTTCTGGAGCCCTCACTGCTTAAGAACATTTAAAGTGAACATTGGCCCCTTTCAGAGAGACACACCCCTGCTTTGCAAGGCTCTCAGCTCAAGGCAGGCTGCTTTGAGTATCTGCTTTTAATAGAGGTGGAGTATACATGAAGTATCTGCTTTTAATAGAGGTGTTGTTGTCTCACTGGCTCAGAGCTCTTCTAGCCACGTAATCCTAATTCTCACTAACTCTGTGCTGAAAAACAATGTGTTGCTGGCATTTTTGCCCGATTTTTTATTTTTAATGTCCACTGTGTTAGCCTCCAGGCAAAGAGAACTCTCTGCCCGGCAGGGACATGATATCTCCCTAGGTACCAATTATAGTTTTTTAACCATTAAAAGTTTATGTATATTTTGAGTTATTTGCCCCTAACCTTGCTTTCGTTATAAGCCCTATTATTTTTAGCATGTGATACTGCAAAACACAAGGTTTTTCAGGAACTCCTATCACATTATATCAGGAACATTTATTTTTTAAACAAATTTATTAATGTGCACAGGAATCTTATCAAAACGTAAGATCTCCAGGAACAGTTATATTTTTAAAGGTTGTTATTCTTATAAGAAATGTACCCTGCTTCATATTACTTAGTGAGATTAAGATTTTTTGAGAAAAGTATTATCTTACCCTTCTTTTATTTATATTTCATGATTATGCACTAACTACTGAACATTTAAGTTAATAAACTAAATAATCAGTTCTATTTTCTAATAAAGATACTACCAACATAGTATTAATAAAGGCATGGTTGTATACTTCTGAAGTTTTTTTTGTTTTTTTTTTTTTTTTTGAGTCAAAAGTCTCACTCTGTTGCTCACGCTGGAGGGCAGTGGTGCAATCTAGGCTCACTGCAACCTCCACCTCCCGGGTTCAAGCAATTCGCCTGCCTCAGCCTCCCAAGTAGCTGGGACTACAGGCACGTGCCATTGCACCCAGCTAATTTTTTTGTATTTTTAGTAGAGACAGGGTTTCACCATGTTGGCCAGGCTGGGCTTGAACTCTTGACCTCAGGTGATCTGCCCGCCTCGGCCTCCCAAAGTGCTGGGATTACAGGCGTGAGCCACCACGCCCGGCCAAGTATTTTTAATAATATTAACAAGTTCTTAAATTTGATTTTCTCGTACCAGGATCTGAAGTTTTCACTTGAGAGTCAGAAACAAAGGAATCTTCAGCTAAATCTACTTTTGGAACAACAGAAACAACTACTGAACGAATCCCAGCAAAAAATAGAATCACAGAGAATGCTATATGATGCCCAGTTGTCAGAAGAACAAGGTCGAAACTTAGAGCTTCAGGTACTTCTTGAATCTGAGAAAGTTCGAATTCGGGAAATGAGTAGTACCCTAGATAGGGAGCGGGAATTGCACGCACAGCTGCAGAGCAGTGATGGTACTGGACAGTCTCGGCCACCCTTGCCCTCAGAGGACCTACTGAAAGAGCTGCAGAAACAGCTAGAGGAAAAACACAGTCGCATAGTAGAATTGTTAAATGAGACTGAAAAATATAAACTGGATTCTTTGCAAACACGACAGCAAATGGAAAAAGATAGGCAGGTTCACAGGAAAACACTGCAGACAGAACAGGAGGCCAACACTGAGGGACAGAAAAAAATGCATGAGCTCCAGTCCAAAGTGGAAGATCTTCAGCGCCAGCTGGAAGAGAAAAGACAACAAGTTTATAAGTTAGACCTTGAAGGACAGCGACTACAAGGAATCATGCAGGAATTCCAGAAGCAAGAACTAGAACGAGAAGAAAAACGAGAAAGTAGAAGAATTCTGTATCAGAACCTTAATGAGGTAAACTGACAGTTTCTTTTTAGATATTTTTAAGGAAAGCACTGCAGCCCTTTGATCATTAAATTTTGATATTGGATTAAATTACTTAAATAGCTATATGTAAATCACTTAAAAATGAAATCTATAGAAGTTTATTGGATATAAACAATAATTGTGTTCCCTTAAGATAGACTGTGATATGCTGTTCACTTATAATTATTGTTTTCTTATTCTGTCCAAAATTGCCAGCCAACCACGTGGAGCTTAACCAGTGATAGAACTAGAAATTGGGTTCTTCAACAGAAAATAGAAGGAGAAACAAAAGAATCAAACTACGCTAAATTGATTGAAATGAATGGAGGAGGAACCGGCTGTAATCATGAATTAGAAATGATCAGACAAAAGCTTCAATGTGTAGCTTCAAAACTACAGGTTCTACCCCAGAAAGCCTCTGAGAGGTTAGACTTTTCTGCCTGATCTTTGGGAAAGTAGTATTCTTAGGCTGGGTAGACCCCATGCCTCTGGGACAGCTAGCCAAGGGTGGGGAATTGAAATTTTAAAGGTAATGCGTGTTTACATTAGGAGGTGATATTCTTTAACAGAACTCAAATGTCTGAAAACAACTATCTAACACTTTGACCCAGGGAAGAAAGCATGGGATATAAGGGAGAAGTGATAGGTGAAGTAGAACGTCGCCTGCTCTGTAATGTTTGTGGTAGTAAACACCCCCAATTGAGAAGGTATGTTTTGACTTTTTGTCTTTTTCTTGAAGACTACAGTTTGAAACAGCAGATGATGAAGATTTCATTTGGGTTCAGGAAAATATTGATGAAATTATTTTACAACTACAGAAATTAACTGGCCAGCAAGGTGAAGAGGTAATACTTTTTAAAAGTTATTTCTGAAGCATTGAGAGCAAAGATTTAATAGAAACTGGATAATTTGAAACTTGCAGCATATTCTTTATACTCTTTATAGAGTTTTATTTGTATCTTTTTATTTATTTTAAATATGAATAATAATGCTTGCTTTCCCCCAAGAGAAGATAATGAAAGCTTAGGGGGGGAATTAGCTTTCATTATTGTCATTGAATAATTATGTTGACCTTTTACTGTATGGAGACAAGCTTCCTGAAAGAGTGATCTGGCTTCTATCCTGTCTACTCCATGAAACACCCTTAGACTCCTACAGTGTCTAAACAATTGACTAGTCTGGTGAATCTTTTCAGTTTATCTCTTGACTTCTTTGTAGCATTTGATACTTTTGACCTGTTTTATTTTCTTAAAACCCTCTCTTTCCTTGCCTGTCATGTCAGTATTCTAGCATTTCTTCTGCTTCTTTCATCAGTTGCCTTTATGATTCCTCTTCCTACCCTCTTCCTTCTTTTCTCTAACCTATAACTATGAAAGCTCACACAGTCCGACACCCTGAGCTCTCACTAGACTTATTTATTAAACAAATACTTATATTGAACACTTATTCTGTGCCAGATAGGTTCTGGAGATACAGTGAACAAATCTGACTAAAACCTCACCCTTATGGAGCTTATCTTTAGTGGACTGTGGTTCTAGTCTAGACTTCTGTCCTGTGTTCCAGGTTTATATTTTCAATTAGTTACTAAACATTTTTCCCTGGGGAAATGTACCCCATAGTGACCCCTTAGGAACCTCACAGGCACATTCCAAACTGAACACCATCTTCCCTTTCTACTTCCTGCTCCAGACCCTCATTTCTAGTCATGATATTGCCCAGTTTAGAAAGCTGAAAGTCACCATAGACCACTTTCCTTCACCCTTATCTGCACATCTAGACAGTCACTAAATCCTGTCCCTCTTACCTTCTAAATACCTCTCCCACACACCCTTTACTTTCTGTCCCTTAGTCGTTGCCTCCATTCAGGCTTTCAGCATTTCTTACCTGGCTGTTGAAACAACTTCCTGATAGGTCTACCTGACTCGAAGATTATATCTTCCCTAATTTCCCCTGCTTTGTACATTACTACCAAAGGAATTTTCCCAACACATAAATTTTGTGTCATATTTTTGCATCAAGCCTTTCGTGACTCTCCATTGCCTACATTTAGGTCTGTTATTCATAAAGTGAAGCAATCTAGACTTACCAGGCAACCTACAACACCCCGAAAACAATACACACTCGCTCAAGCCTTCGTGCCTTTTGCTTAATATGCCCTTCCTTATCTTTTCTGCCTGGTAAATATCTACCTATTACTGAATACTCAACTCAAGCACCAATTCATGAATTCTGTTGTTCTCGGTGCCTATTCACACTTTATATGCATTATTCACATCCATTTGTGCTTAAGTGACCTTACACCATTTTATTTTTCCAGCCCAGCTTGGTGTCCCCAAGTACTTCTTGTGGCTCATTGACTGAAAGACTACTGAGACAAAATGCTGAGCTGACAGGGCATATCAGTCAACTGACTGAAGAGAAGAATGACTTAAGGAACATGGTTATGAAGCTGGAAGAGCAGATCAGGTGGTATCGACAGACAGGAGCTGGTAGAGATAATGTATGTCCATTTTTAGCATCTCCATATATGAGAATTAGTGCATGCTTATCATTTCTGCTGTCTAGTTCAAGTTTTAATCCTGTTAATGTAAAACTATCACACACCTGATTCTTAGGATCTGTAGAAAATTTTATAGGGATGACAATAATAATATTATTACTAAGTTATAATAATTACTGTTATTTATTGGAAACCATCTCTGTACTCGACTCTGGGTTGTATACATACAGAATCTCTAATCCACATCCACCTTATACCTGAGAAAACTGAATTGAAGTCGTAGTCAAACCAAGATACTTGTATCTCCAAAGCCAGATACTTTGCTACCTAGGGACCAACAACAGATACACGAGATGTTCAAATGTGAATCCTGACTGTTCTCTTCATTTAATTATTAGTTATTGTGTTGATGACTCAATTAAAAGGTTCTGTTAAATTACGTCTTTCAGTCTGAAATTACTCTGAGAATTTACTTAAAATTTTTCCATTTAAAAACAGGTATAAAATTAATTGCTAGTTTCCATAATCACCCAGTATAAAGATAGAAAAGACCTGTAAGACAACTGTGTGGTTAAATACATGATAACACATTTACGTGCCTTTTATAGAAATCCACTTATTATGTACATACTGGCTTGTTTTTTTCCCACTTCTCCAGTACACTATTTCAGGCACAGGCTCAAAATTTGAACCCAAATGGTCTGTTAGGTCTCTTGACTTTTTCAGTTCAAAGCTCTGCTAATCTGCTAAACCTTCCCTGTGGCCAGGCTTTCTCAAGGACTTTTAGTTGTAAAACTAATGTACTTAGCAAAGGACCATGTACTTAAGAGTTAGTGTATATGCGTAATGTCAATTGAGATTGGCTTTGAACTTTGTCTGGGTGGGGTTAGAAAGTTGAGACTGCATCATCATGCAGATATCTTTTTAATATGTTTAGCTCAGACTTTTCTTCAGAGACTTGTGTAAGTAGGCTGTGGTCTTTGCAGTCTTCCAGGTTTTCATTGAATGGTGGTGCCAACATTGAAGCCATCATTGCCTCTGAAAAAGAAGTATGGAACAGAGAAAAATTGACTCTCCAGAAATCTTTGAAAAGGGCAGAGGCTGAAGTATACAAACTGAAAGCTGAACTAAGAAATGACTCTTTACTTCAAACTCTGAGCCCTGATTCTGAACATGTCACTTTAAAGGTAGGAGACATCTCCCATCTAAACATCACAGCTGGTTCTATGTTTTTGCCTTCTTTCATCTCTCACTGACCTTAAATAAACAGTCTAAAGAAATTTAGGGCCTGGCACAGTGGTTCACGCCTATAGTCCCAGCACTTTGGGAGGCCGAGATGGGCAGATCACGAGGTCAGGAGATCAAGACCATCCTGGCTAACACGGTGAAACCCCGTCTCTACTAAAAATACAAAAACAAAAAATTAGCTGGGCGTGGTGGCGGGTGCCTGTAGTCCCAGCTACTGTCCCAGGCAGGAGAATCGCTTGAACCCAGGAAGCGGAGGTTGCAGTGAGCCGAGATCGCGCCACTGCACTCCAGCCTGGGCCACAGAGTGAGACTCCGTCTCAAAAAAAAAAAAAAAATGTAGATAGTATTCAGGTTTTGTCTCTAGGTCTTTTTATTCAGTCTTTGTCATGAATGCAGGTCACAGAGGTTTCTGGAAAGGCATGCCCAGGACTGGGACCAGATTAACCTTTATTAATGGTCACAGTGGCAGCCTGGGCTCATGGTTCCACTTTCCCTGGTTTCATCCCTAATAGACCAAAAGAATGGTATCTTTTCAACTCCTAACAAAAGCTCTACTATTGTCAATGTAAGAACATCATACTCTGTAAAATGGTAAGCCCTCTGAAAAGCCTCTCCGGTGACTAATAATGAATGTTGTTAAAACTACCTTAATCAGTCAACATAAAATTCAAAACAAAAAGAAAAACTTTTGGAACATTTATTCCAGTTTATGACTCTGAAGGGATAGAAAACATTAACATTTAAAAAGTTAGATTAGGCCAGGCACTGGTGGCTCACACCTGTAATCCC
Source organism: Homo sapiens (assembly GCF_000001405.40). NCBI lineage: Eukaryota > Metazoa > Chordata > Mammalia > Primates > Hominidae > Homo > Homo sapiens. The sequence continues at coordinate 92,101,907 of NC_000007.14, forward strand.
AGCACTTCGGGAGGCCAAGGTGGGTGGATCACTGAGGTCAGGAGTTCGAGATCAGCCTGGCCAACATGGTGAAATCCCATCTCTACTAGAAATACAAAAATTAGCCAGGCATGGTGGTGGGCGCCTGTAATCCCAGCCACTTGGAAGGCTGAGGCAGGAGAATTGCTTGAATCTGGGAGACGGAGGTTGCAGTGAGCCGAGATCACGCCACTAAACTCCAGTATGGGTGACAGAGTGAGACTCCGTCTCATAAATTTAAAAAAAAAATAAATAAATAAATAAATAAATAAATAAATAGATAGATTAGTGACCCTAATAAAAATAGCTCTGTACAATTAAAAAAAAAATTGGGATGACAAAAATATTTGCAATTAATATGATTAATGAGGGCTAAAACCTAAAAGAAACAAGAAGCCTAACTATAATATTAGTATTCAGACTCCATTGACTAATAGAGGCAAAAGTGTAAAGGTTAATTTATCTGAAATTTCAACTTTGCTGATAAAGTAGAAAACAGTGATAGGAACCTGCCGTTTTACTATTACTACTACTACTACTACTACTACTACTACTACTACTACTACCACCACCACCACCACTACTTGTTAAAATCTAGGTTATTTTCCCCTAGAGAGCAGGGTGAATGTTTTCTTAATGTCTTTACATTCTTCTCTTCCCTAAATATAGAGAATTTATGGTAAATACTTGAGGGCAGAAAGTTTTCGAAAGGCTCTCATTTACCAGAAGAAATACCTGCTGCTGTTACTGGGTGGGTTCCAGGAATGTGAAGATGCCACCTTGGCCCTGCTTGCCCGGATGGGGGGGCAGCCAGCTTTCACGGATCTAGAGGTGATCACCAATCGCCCAAAGGGCTTCACCAGGTTTCGGTCGGCCGTCAGAGTATCCATTGCAATTTCCAGGTAAAGACTTGAAGGAAAATGCATTTTACTAGTAGACTCTCTAAAAGGATTAGTTATTTTTAATTCTCCCTCTATTCTCTGCTGGTTATACTCTATATTTATATAGTAGGAGGTATGTGCCATCACTGAAGCATGTCTGCTTTTTTTTTCTAGGTTTTCATTCATTTAGCAGGAATACTGGCAGGGTATGTGTAAACTATGAAAAGGGCCTTCCTAGGTCCAGGCAGCTGGTGACTCAGAGCTGGCCTATCCAATCACGGCTGCCTTTTAGAAAACAATCTGGGCCAGGCGTGGTGCCTCATGCCTGTAATCCCAGCACTTTGGGAGGCCAAGGCAGGCGAATCACAAGGTCAGGAGATCGAGACCAGCCTGGCCAACATGGTGAAACCCTATCTCTACTAAAAAAACAAAAAATTAGCTGGGCGTAGTGGCAGGCACCTGTAGTCCCAGCTACTTGGGAGTCTGAGGCAGGAGAATCACTTGAACCTGGGCGGCGGAGGTTGCGGTGAGCCGAGATCGGCGCCACTACACTCCAGCCATGTGACAGAGTGAGACTCTGTCAAAAAAAAAAAAAAAAAAAAAAAAAAGGCCGGGCATGGTGGCTCACACCTGTAATCCCAGCACTTTGGGAGGCTGAGGCCGGCAGATCGTGAGGTCAGGAGATTGAGACCATCCTGGCTATGCTGAAACCCCATCTCTGCTAAAAGTGTACAAAAAAATTAGCCAGGCGTGGTGGCGGGTGCCTGTAGTCCCAGCTACTTGGGAGGCTGAGGCAGGACAATGGCATGAACCTGGGAGGTGGAGCTTGCAGTGAGCTGAGATCGCGCCACTGCACTCCAGCCTCGGTGACAGAGCAAGACTCTGTCTCAAAAAAAAAAAAAAAATCTGAATAAGCCCATGAACAAGCTCACACATGTAAATAAATAAAAGATTATAAAATTTAAAAATGTGGTTGACAAATTACTTCTTAGGCTGGCGTACATTCATTTTCTTCATTGCTAAGATAACCCACTTTTGGTGCCCAGTTATGGAAGGTCCTTTCCTAACTGCATTCAAATCAGAGGTTAGCCTTTAAGGCATTGGATTTTTGCTTTTTGCTAGTGCTTTTATTGTTCTTTCTCTAGTAATTCCAAGCAAAGAACTCTGGTATTCATTCTGTCTGTGATTGACATGGAGCCAAGACTCAAACTACTTTGAGGACCTGGCCCACTACAGTCTTCTGACCTGGTTATACGCATACAAACACCAAGGCTTCTCCATGCATCCCCCTCCCTTTTAGGAGGCAGACAGAATCTTAAAGGAATTTTGCTTTTTAAAGTTATTTCTATCAGGTCACATCTGATGCTGCTTTATTTATTTATTTATTTTTTTTTTTTTTTTTTGAGACAGAGTCTTGCTCTGTCGCCCAGGCTGGAGTGCAGTGGTGCTATCTCAGCTCACTGCAAGCTCCGCCTCCCGGGTTCATGCCATTCTCCTGCCTCAGCCTCCTGAGTAGCTGGGACTACAGGCGCCCACCACCACACCCGGCTAATTTTTTTGTATTTTTAGTAGAGACTGGGTTTCACTGTGTTAACCAGGATGGTCTCGATCTCCTGACCTCATGATCCGCCCGCCTCGGCCTCCGAAAGTGCTGGGATTACAGGCGTGAGCCACTGCACCGGCCTATTTTTCTCTAAAAATATGGCACAGTTTTTTAATTGGAAGCTGTCTGAGATCACCTAGTCCAGAATCTCATTTCACACTTGAGGAAACTGAGGCAGGGAGCGGTTACAAAGCCAGTAGTGATAGAGCTAGGACAACCAGCCCAGTCTCCCAAGTCTCATTCATGCTGGCTCTGGAAACAGGAGCACAAGTTTTATCTTAACTGTGGGCCTTAGACCCTCCTTGCTTCTGATATTCCATATTGTAGTCTCCTGGTTTCATTTACTCTTCCTCACCTTTCATTTCCTTCATCACCTTGTATAGAGTAAACCAGGGTAAGTGCTGGTAGATGCATTGATGAAAAAATATATAATCCTGCCTAAATACCTAAAGGCAGCTCACTTTCTAGTGGGGAAGACTAATATGCACAGAACTTAGAATATAATAAGTAAATGGGAGGTCACAGGAGTTAGCTAGTAATTTTGATTAGAGGGATCTAGAGAGGCTTCATGAGAGCGGTGTAGAAGTTGTTATTGACATACTTCACTCTGCCCCACTTTTTCTTATCCAAGATTATGTTTATCATATTTTGACCCTCCTAAGATGGAGCCTTGGAACTGATTCAAAGTAAATCAAAACTGGTGCTCCAAAAGCTCCTTGGGCCAAGATGGGGAAGAAGGTCGTAACTTGCTGCACCTGGGTCATGAAGCTAACACTCCCATTCCTTTTGAAACCAACGTTTTTTTGTCCCTGATCAAAGGGACAAGAGCTTCACCCACCTTGCAGCATTCCCAGCACATTCTTATTGCCAATTTAAGGGTCTTTTTGTTCTCTTCTTATCTCATCTGCCCTTTATTCTCTGTTCTTTTCTCTTTTCATTACTTCTCACCCTTTCTTTGCCTATCTGCTTTTCCCATCTACTTTTGCCTTCCATCTCCTTATACCCCATTTATCCCTCAAGCTGGAACCTGATGCTGGCAATATAAGAGACCTCTAATGCCTCTTGGGAAGGGGATGAGGGGATTTTGAGTCCCTATTCTTCCGTTCCAGTTGATTTTGTCACAACAGGCATTGACATAGTTTAACTGGGCAATTGTGAAATTTGACATTTGTTCTATGTTCATATTTAAACGTGTGATGTGATTTTTGTAGGAAATGTATATACTGTTTATAGATGGGCTGTGAAATTTTATCTTGGAATCTTTTTTAGAATGAAATTTTTGGTTCGACGGTGGCATCGAGTCACAGGTTCTGTTTCCATCAATATTAACAGAGATGGCTTTGGACTGAATCAAGGTGAAGTCAAAATAGCATATTTTCTTATGTTTATGACTCTCTAAATCAGAGGTCCCCCACCCCCAGACTATGGACCATACTTGTCTGTGGCCTGTTAGGAACCAGGCCGCACAGCAGCAGGTGAGCAGCGGGCATTACTGCCCGAGCTCCACCTCCTGTCAGATCAGCCGTGGCATTAGATTCTCATAGGAGCACAAATCCTATTGTGAACTGCACATGTGAGGAATCTAGGTTGTGTGCTCCTTATGAGAATCTAACTAATGCCTGATTATCTGGGGTGGAACAGTTTCATCCAGAAACCATTCTGGCCCCTTTGGGTCCATGGAAAAATTGTCTTCCATGAAATGTGTCCCTGGTGCCAAAAAGGTTGGGGACTGCTGCTCTGAATTACTGCATGTGTAATACTTACCAAGTAATGAATTCTGGAAGCAATGTTTTCCAAAGACAAAGCCCTTATAACTGCCAAAACTAGGTAACTTCACTGTTTTAAAGAGGGTAATAATAACTGATTTTCATGGAGAACTTAGTCTGCACCTGGCCATGCTCTTTTCATGTATTCTCCCAATCCTATGATATAAGTACAGTTTTACTACTCTCACTTTTAGATGAAAAATCGAGGCATGGAAAACACAAGTCATTTGCCCCAGAATGGCCAGTAGGGAAGTGATGGAACCAGGACCAAACACTGGCAGTCTGGGTCCAGAGCCCACACTCTTCATAACTGCATTTAAGGCACGGTTCAAGACAGGATTGCTGTTAGTCATATGGAAGAATTAGGAAGTTTTCATAATTTAACAATATTCAAACAAGTTTCTGAGTTTACCAACAGGTTGTATAATAATGGTAACAGCTAAAATTCCTTCTGTCTACACCTAGAAGTGGAAACAAACTAGGGCTTGAACATTTCTGGCAATAAAGATGAGGTCCGAATCTGGGGAGCACACAGAGGACACAGCATCCCTGTGCTGTGTATTCATAGTAAACCACCTTTACATACTCTACCAGGAGCTGAGCATCCTACAGAGGGGAAATAGATTTGGTACCCTACACAAAGTATTTTGAAATATCATTACACTGAAACAGCTGAAATTTGTACCATAATAAGTTGTGTTTTATTAAAAGTTAGCAAATCTTGGTTTCAAGTCAGTAGATTGGAATGGTTACATTGGTCTAATATTTTTTATCCACATCATTTCCCACAAGCCACACCCACTCAGACACCCCTCACCTCTCATCTACTTAGAGCTAAGGTCTTTAAAGAAGAAAATATGCCAATTAAATAATTTTCTTTGAGACATAATTCCAGATATCAGAAATACTCATATTCAAAAGTAAACAAAATAACATTTGAAAGCCGAATTTTTGTTTGTACTGTTTTCTCCTTTATCAAGAATAATAGAAAATGACTATAAATAGGAGATTGTATAATATAGTATAATAGTCTTTTGAGCAGTTACCTATTTTGTAGAAATTTTTTAAGGTCTTGGGATTTTATTTTTCTTTACAAGGAATATTTTGGGTTACTTTAGGTGCAGAAAAGACTGACTCATTTTATCATTCTTCTGGTGGGCTGGAGTTATATGGAGAACCAAGACATACTACGTATCGCTCAAGATCAGATCTGGACTATATTAGGTCCCCTTTACCATTTCAGAATAGGTAAGAATATGAGAAAACCTGCCTGGAATTGTTAAATGTATTAATATTTAACAGAGATAAATGGACATTTTTAGGGCTTTGACTTCTTTGCATTGAGATAGACATCTTTGTTATATATAATTTACATAATATGACCAAGTGCGGTGGCTCACACCTATAATCCCAGCACTTTGGGAGGCTGAGGCGGGCAGATCATGAGGTCAGGAGTTCAAGACCAGCTAGTTGGAGACTAGCCTGGCCAACATGGTGAAACCCTGTCTCTACTAAAAATACAAAAAATTAGCCAGGCGTGGTGGCAGGCGCCTGTGGTCCCAGCTACTTGGGAGGCTGAGGCAGGAGAATGGTGTGAACCCGGGAGGCGGAGCTGGCAGTGAGCTGAGATTGTGCCACTGCACTCTGGCCTGGGCAACGGAGCGAGACTCTGTCTCAAAAAAAAATACAAAAAAATTAGCCAGGCATGGTGGTGGGTGCCTGTAATCCCAGCTACTCAGGAGGCTGAGGCAGGAGAATCGCTTGAACTCAGGAGGTGGAGGTTGCAGTGAGCCGAGGTCACGCCACTGCACTCTAGCCTGGGCAACAAAGCAAGATTTGGTCTCCAAAAAAAAAAAAAAAGAAAAAAAATATACATAACCTAAGGCTTAATGTAAAAATGTAAAAACCAGTGTTTAAATTTGTAACTGATTTCCAAGGGTATAGCAAACAAGCTGACCAAGTGTTATTTAGTGTATGCTATGGTTAGATATTGGGAAAAGTATTGACTAAAATTGATACTCTGATCATTATGAAAAGCTTAACAGTCTTCATGACAAGATACATTTATACATACCCAATTTATTGAGACCTCTGCCACAAGCATTGTATTGGACATTCTTATGTTGACTTAGTAGCATCTTTGAATTCATTGGAGAGTTGTCTCTTTCTCATCCCAAGCTCCAAAGCTGAAGCTTGGAGGAGATACATTATGTGTGTACAAGTGACCCACCTTTTTGGGGAAGGGAGTGGAGGCAGGTTGGTAACTTATATGCATATTTCTGGATAACTTGATTCATGTACATATTTTTAATCCTTTAGGTACCCAGGCACTCCAGCTGATTTCAATCCTGGTTCTTTAGCATGTTCTCAGCTTCAGAATTACGATCCTGACAGAGCCCTAACAGATTATATCACTCGGCTAGAGGCACTGCAAAGACGACTTGGAACTATACAGTCAGGTGCTCTGAGTTTAACCACATCTTGGCAGCACCACAGTGCGAGACCCACAGCTCCCCTTTCTTTGAAATTCTTTCACACTCATTAGGATAATCAAAGCTTCCAGTTTAGTGCATGAGCTAATTATTAAGTTAGCCAAAGCTTAAACTCTTGTAACCAGCAGAGAAACTGACTTTAAATAATTTAAGTGAAAATATGATTTATCACCCCAGATCCCACTCCTCCCAAAAATGATTTCCTACTATGTTCATTCAGCGGACTGATGACACAAAATGCACAATGAGCACCAGTGTGCAAGGTACTCTGAGTCTACAGAGCCTAACTGGAGAACGTATTCCTAAGTAGCGCATGGCAGAAAGTGGTAAGGCCGTGCCGCAGCACTCCAGCCTGGGCAGCAGAGCGAGACCCTGTCTCAAAGAAAAAAAAAAAAAAAAGAAAGTGGTAAGGCATGCAAATCGGGTGGAGTTAAGGAGGAAGCACTTACTTTAAGCACTTAATGTAACCATTATCCCTGCTACTATATTGTGCTTTTATGTATCATCGAAAAAAACTATCCCATTTAAAATACTTTGTAAGGATTATTTTTTCTTTGTTCAAAAACAAAAAACAAGTCATACTTTAAAATAAAGGTGGATTCCCTGTTCATGGAAGGAAAACCTCTTTTCCCTATCTCACTTCAGTTCACTCCTGATTCAGAGACTTTGAATCATTGAGTAGTTTATCTCTTCCTTCAAGAAATCATTTGTTTACACCCAAGCATCTTGTAGTAATAGGAAACTTTTATTATCATAGCTGAGTTTGTTGGTTTGCCTAGGCTTGTTTTGTTTTGAGCATCCAAATTTCACAAGACCCAGATTTTGAAGACCAAAAGATTTTTCAAAAATGTATGAGGTATAGAACATCCAACTTTGAGAGCACTTTAAAAAAACTCTAAATATTAGTCTCACCTACCTTGCCATAGAGCCAGTCATGGTGATTTTTACATATATATTCAAAATCTCTTAAAAGTCAGCTTAAGTATATGGGCTGGGCGCGGTGGCTCATGCCTGTAATCCCAGCACTTTGGGCGGCCGAGGCAGGCGGATCACTAGGTCAGGAGTTCAAGACCAACCAGTTCGAGACTAGCCTGGCCAACATGGTGAAACCCCGTCTCCACTAAAAATACAAAAATTTGCTGGACATGGTGGCATGTGTGGATAGTCCCAGCTACTCAGGAGGCTGAGGCAGGAGAATCACTTGAACCCAGGAGGCGGGGGTTGCAGTGAGCCAAGATCACACCACTGAATTCCAGCCTGGGCAACAGAGTAACACTCCACCTTGGGGGTAGTGGGGAGAGACTCAGTTTAAGTATGAAGAGGACATTTTAAGGAAAAAAAGGGCTTTAAAAAAATGGAGAATAATAATAATTTCCTTTGTGTGAACTCTGGTGGGTCTGATACAGGTAGCAATGTAATTTGAAATCAGTTGAATTTCCTGTTTTTCTCTCATAGGTTCAACTACTCAATTTCATGCTGGCATGAGAAGATAATCCTTTGAAACATCATTAATTGAAGTGATTTTAAATAGATTTCCTTTTGTAAATCAATGGTTCTTTTGTGCTTTTGTATTGTGAATATTCAATGGGACCAATATGAACACAGCTTATGATTGTATACAAATCCCTTGCCAGCACATGAAAACAAACTGGAATTTGTATATATAAGCATTGTGTATGTATTCATGCACAATAATTATTGAATTACCTGTATATTTGTGGAATGCTAATTTAAAACATTAAATTATAAACCTTGTGTATTTATCAAATGGGTGAAAAGATTAAACTTTTACGCATTACAATACTGCTGAATGTGTAGCTCGAGGTGTCCTGCACTTTTCTTATAAGGCTACTGAAGTTACATGTTTTGCCTAATATATTCTACTGGTGATGAAGACAGATAATATCACTTGTAGAGACCTATTTTTGTATAATGGTAGAAGTTTTGAATTTTATGGGGTATTTTGTCAAGTACTGAAATAAAAATGACTTCACCATTTTCACCACACTGTATTTGAACCTTCTTCATTTTTAACTGAGCCATAGTTCTTGGTACATAGCATCTCATTACTTATGTCAAATATGTAGGAGTGAGAGATTCAGAGAAAGTTGTCCTAATCTTAGAGTTAATACTGTTGAAAGTTTTCCATGTGTCTTTGTATCAACTTTACATCTACATAGTGTTTTTTAAAAGCTATATTGGTATTTCATGATTAATCAGTATTTACTATATTACAGTTAGTGTTACTTGTTTCCAAAGATGTGTTCTCACAAATCCATGGCCCACTAAAAAGATGAAGAAATCATTAACTCAAAAGATCTTAATCACATTGCAGCCGAATTAAACAGTATCCCTGTTGTCCAAGCCAAATTCAGACTGGGAGGCTCTCACAGAGATAATACAGATCGCAATGTTATTTCTCATCTGGAGTCCTCCTCAATAACATGGCAACTCACTAAAACAGCAAGAGGACTAGTATTTGATGCTTACACCTGGAGGATTTTGTCTTATTATTTGATGTTCCATGATTTATACCAACACAAACAGGCATGGTAGAAAGTTGTACATGCTTGAACATTTCTAATTTCAGTCATCCCTCGGCATGTGTGGGGGATTAGTTCCAGGATCCCCCTTGGATATTACAGTCCGCGAATGCTTAAGTCTCTTATAAAACAATGTGCTATTTGCAGATAGTCTACATACATCCTCCTGTGTACTTCAAATCATCTCCAGATTATTTGATACCTAATACAATGTGAACATTATGTAAATAGTTGCTAATACTGTATTTTTTTATTGTGGGGTTTTATTTTTAGTATTTTGAACCTGCAGTTGGTTGAATCAGAGGATACAGAACCCACAAATAAAAGGAGCCAACTATACTTAAATTTTCCACATTAGAAGCTGGGTTCCAATAAGAGGAATTCTAAAAATAGCAAACGTACTCTAAAGCAGTTAGTTGAAGGGGCAGGTTGTGGGTAAAAACCTTTTTCAGCTAGCATGGCTTGCCATTCAAGGCTATTCTGCTCTAAGAGACAGTGGAGAAAAAAACAGATGGACAAATGATCTGATCAAGCTGAGTTCAGTGCCATTGTTTGACCACCACGCCTCCTTATGATAGTAGGCCTCTGCAATCACACTTGTTTATGCATCTCAATAATTAATTAGTCTGTGATTAAAAATGAAATCTGTTAAGAAGTCTAAAACTATTCACTAAACATTAGACTAGCCTTATCTCGGGGTCGTAACTAGATACTTCAAGAAATCTGTAACATCTGTAATATGAAAATATCTGAGATTTCTATTGACAAAATCATGGATACTGCTAATAAAATGCTGCCCAAATTCATAATTGAAATAAATACTAAATTGCAGTTAGAAATTATTAGTGCAAATAAAGATGTAATTTTTCCCCACCCAAGTTCCTGGATTCCCTAACTCTGCTCACTGAAGCACATATTTTACAATTCATGAATACAGACTGTATTTTTTCAAAGAGAATTTTAATCTGAAAAATTAGCAGAGATTCTGCCTTCACAATTAGAGTTTAACATGAGTCTTCCAGTGTTTTAAAAAGAACTGTAATATACATAAAGCAAAATATTTTGGCATCACCTAGTGAAAACAGACGATGTGGTATTTTTTCAGCCATCTCATATAGTTAGGCCCCGAGTTACAATTTGAGATAAGTTGATTCCTAAACAGAATGTGCTTTACAGAATGTGACCAATTTTATTACTCCCAAGGACCTTGTTTCAGATTATCTTAAAACCAGAGTTCACTGATCTCACATTTTAAAAAGAAAAAAGTTTGTTAACTGTTTTAATCAATATGAGTAGTAACAAACATCCCTAATTGGATTCTAGAGAGGAAGCAGGGAAGGCCAGGTGCGGTGGCTCATGCCTGTAATCCCAGCACTTTGGGAGGCCAAGGCGGGTGGATCACGAGGTCAGGAGTTCAAGACCAGCCTAGCCAACATAGTGAAACCCCCGTCTCTACTAAAAATACAAAAAATTAGCCAGGCATGGTGGCAGGTGCCTGTAATCCCAACTACTTGGGAGGCTGAGGCAGAGAATTGCTTGAACCCGGGAGGCAGAGGATGCAGTGAGCTGAGATCGCACCACTGCACTCCAGCCTGGGCAACAGAGCGAGACTCCATCTCAAAAAAAAAAAAAAAAAAAGGAAGCAGGGAACAACTGAGCCAAAACAAAATTATCCCCTAAGGACTTGACTTTGGACTTCCACATAAATGTGACCTTGTAGAACTAGATACATATTTATCAGGTAAATAAATATGTAATTATTTAGTAATTAGATCAAGATACATGAGCAGTCTTTAGCATTAATAATTACATTATTTTTAGGAACTCTTATCAAATATGGTCCTGGATCTCTTAATTTCCCATATGCAGTGATTTTAGTTAAAATTCCAAAGGATTTCTTTTTCCTATAATATCTCCATTTCTGAGTATCATCATACCAAAACAATTAGTATTCTCTTATTCAAGGCTTTAGATGTTCGATTATTCCCTACCCTTCCATCCTCACACACACAATAATTGCCCAGATAAATAATAATAAACTGTGGTTTCCAAGTATCTCACTGGGATTTTTATTCTTTATACCTTGCAGGACTAGTCCAAGATTTGAATACCCTGAACTTATTTGGCAAGAGCGATGAGTACTCTTAAAATTACTATCTGGAAATTATATTATTTAGAATCTGCCAATTACCTAGATCCCCCCTCAACAATTGTTTCACCAAGGAACTTCCTGAAAGCACATGTATAAGTATCATAACTATTAGAAAATGTTTCAAATGCTATTATATTTGATAGAACCATTCAGTTAACAAAATCCTAAATCATAAACTGGCTTTTAGAATTACACACTTAAAAAAACAGTAAACTACAAGAGTTGTTTTGTACACTTCATTCTCTTCGAATGCCTTTGTGGCTTACAGTGATAATCACATATATTCGTTCCTTGCAACCTTTTTCATTTTGATCTTCGTTTGTAACGGATAACTGGGTTTTCAGGGGTGTGAATCATAGTTGTATAATTCACAGTGGGAAAGTATCCATCAATGAGATCAAATTCATATAAACGAAGCATAGTGGACCAAATTGTCTTAATTTGAACATAGGCAAAATTTTCCCCAATACAACGATGACGCCCTAAAAAAAAGAAAAAGTTATAAGAATCAGTTTAAATTCTTTCTCATCCTTTTTAGCCTGGGGTGATATTATCTACATTTTAGATGAACAGCAAATGTACAGATAATATAATAAAAAGATGACATTCTTTTCACATAAAACAACATGAATTATTAAAAATTCCAGGAGATTTTCAATACCACATTTTAGGAAAACAGTACTTGACTGATCACATAACTTTTCCAATTACTTTTTCTGAAAATATATATCTGGGTTAAATATATGGAAAGTTTGAATCATAAGATGGTAATCTAGTTTGGGAATATAGTAGAATATTCTGTTTGTCCCAAGAAAGCCCTAGTTAAAAGTCAATATGAAAACCTTCCAATCAAACCTCAAATGTCATTATAAATGTATGGAAGAAAATGAGATTTAATGAACCCAAAATAATATACTAAAAAGTCACACCCATGTAGAAACTGACAAGCTGATTCTAAAATGCATATAAAAATGCAAAGGACCTAGGATATCCAAAGCAATCTTGGAAAAAGAACTGAGTTGGAGGACATAAAACTGATTTCAAATCTGACTTCAAGACTAAAGATAAAACAGAGTGGTACTAGGTAAGGATCAACAAATAGATCAATGGAACAGAGCAGAGAGCCCAGAACAGAATATTTTTATGGTTATTTGATTATCAGTACAGACACCAAAGCAAGCCAATGAGGAAAAGCAAGTCTTTTCAACATAAGGTCCAGGAATAACTAGATATTACATGGGGGAAAAATGAAATTCAACTCCTATGTCACACCATAATCAAATACTAATTCAAGAAGGGTCACAAACCATGATGCTAACAGCATAAATTTCAGTAGAGAAGAACAGGAGAATATCTTCATGACTCAGGGGCTAAGCAAAAATTTTAAGACAGGGCCAGAAAGCAATAACCATTTAAAAGATTGATACATTGGACTAAACTAAAGGTTATTCATTTGTCAAAACTCAATGAATGTTGACTTAAGATTTGGGCATTTCATTGCAAGATTTTTCATCAAAAGAAAAAACCTAAACTGATAGTGCTTAGCACAGTGCTTGCTTGGCCCATAACTGTACTTATTTCTAGGAGTGACATTTAAGATGAGCATTTACAAATTGGTCCATATTTCAAATATAACAACTAAAGAGAAGCTTGGCTTACAGGAAGAATAGTCCAAGGATTTAATCGCAACAAGCAAGAAGTATCCTAATTGAATCAACATAAGAGTAGATAAATTCTGATGATTCACAAAATGTAATATTATGAAAATGAATGAACTATATGCACCAACATAAATAAACAGCACAATTACGAGGTAAAAGAATGAGTAAAGAAATTAGAGACATGTAATGTGATATTTAACAAGATTAACGTAAGATCATATATCCCCCCATAAATTCAAGTCCATCCAGAACCTTAGAATGTGATCTTAATTGGGAAATAGGATCTTTATATACACAATTATTTAAGATGAGATGACCCTGACTTAGGGTAGGACTTAGATCCAATGACTGGTGTCCTTATAAGAATGCCATGTTAAGATACAGAGACATGAACAAGAAGAAAGCCTGTTGAAGACAGGGGTAGTAATTGGAACAATGTAGTTACAAGCCAAGGGTTGCCAAGAGCCACCAGAAGCTAGGAAGATGCAAGGAAGGATTCTCCTGTAGAACCTTAAGGAGGAGCACGGTCCTGCCAATACCTTGATTTCACACTTCCAGCCTCCAAAACTGTGATAGAATATATTTCTATTGTTTTAAGCCACCCATATTGTAATTAGTTACAGAAGCCCTAGGAAACTAACACAAAGATTGAAAAAAAGATGGAGGAGACATTATATCTGTACTCAAATACCTCATACAATATAAGTTCAGAGACTATGGTTAGGACCAACTATAAATGAGATGTTAAAAAGAAACAGATTTCAGCTTTAACATAAGGCTCTAAAAATGACAGCTGTCCAAACATAGAATGAGCCATCATAAAAGGTAACTGAACAACCCACAACCCATTTCTAGTAAAGTTCAAGTGGAAACCAGATAATTACTAGTTTAGAAACGATTCCTCTTTGGGGCAGAATTTGGGCTACAGAACTAATGCTCTTCCCATCTGTTAACAATCTGATTCTTTGGCCAGGTGGCATGGCTCACGCCTGTAATCCCAGCACTGTGGGAGGCCAAGGTGGGCAGATTGCTTCAAGCCTGGAATTCGAGACCAGCCTGGCCAACATGGCAAAACCCAGTCTCTACTAAAAGCTCAAAAATTAGCTGAGCGTGGTGGTACACACCTGTAATCCCAGCTACTCAGGAGGCTAAGGCACGAGAATTACTTGAACCCAGAGGTGGAGGTTGCAGTGAGCTGAGAGATTGTGCCACTGCACTCCAGACTGGGTGACAGAGCAAGACTCTCTCAAAAAAAAAACTATGATTCTTTTATATATTGTGTTATACACCACAGTATTAAATTTATTACATAAAGTTAAGATCTGAAGTTCCCAAAGGACTTTATATTTTCCTTTATATGTGGAAAAAGTGTGACCAATGACAAGTCATCTGTCATTTAAATGATCCCTTTGGAAAGACTAAAGCATAGAATATAGTTTAATCAGTACAGAGAACCAATGGACAGAGAAATTACTGGAGAAACAAGGGTATAGCTAAATTATTTTAGGATCTTACTGGAAATGAAATTTGCAAGCCTACACACAACCTGCCCAAATTTAAAGACCATTTTCTCATACGGATATTCAGAGAGCAAAAATGTTGACTAACGATCGAGAAGAGCTTTAATTTTAAAAGACTGCCTTTGCTTTTTTGTGAAATGCTAGTAATCTGTTATTCCCTGAATGGTGTGCTGACTCCAATGGTTCTTTAAAAGAGAATCCACAAAGAGCTTTAAATACCATTGTAAGGGAAAACAAGGATGTTCTATAAAAATTAGACCTAATAAAACCAGACAGGTTAGGAAGTAGTGAAGCATTATATAAGGATTTATGGAACAATTCCATTTGGTACAAAGGAAATATTTTTCTCCAACTTATAAAGATTCTTCTCCTAAAAAAGTTTGCAAAAATGTCCCTATGAGGAAAGGGAGAGATAATTTGTAAACACAATTCGGAATATTTTGACAGAGACAAATATGTTATCAGAACAAACATTTCCAATCTAAAATATAATCATCTTACCAGCTCCAAATGGCACATAGGCAAACTTTTCCCCTGATGCTGGGTTATCCTGTAAGTAGCGATCAGGATTAAAGTCCAGGCGTTCTACCCATGAGTCTTTAAGTCTTTGATTGACAGTGGGAGAAACACACACCTGATGTCCTGGAGGAATGGTATACCCTGCCACAGTCTATAAACAAAAGCCACACATTTCATTAGAGAATTTAAAAATGTGCTGACAAATAATCAGATCATTGTGTAATAAAGCATGAATATACATGGGATACTCAGATGCTCCTTGACTTATGATAGGTTTACATCCTGATAAATCCATCATAAAGTCAAAAAATTATAAGTTGAATCACATAAATCAAGAACCATCTGTACATATATTTAAAAACTGGCTAGATAATAGGCAAACTAAAAATTATTTTAACTCAAGATGATTTCCAGTGAGCCAGCGTTGGGTTGGAAGTACACAGTACACAAATCAAACCCATAATGCCTTGGAGGTAGGGTTGGAATTTCAGAGAGGCTTTCACTATCAATTTGTACACTTCATATTAACAATTTTTTACAACAAAATGTTATTTTTAAAACCAAGAAAAATATGTACTTTGATTTTTAAAACCCCAATTGTTAAAGAAAAATGCAGAACATGATTAGCATTAAAGATTAGCATGTAGGCCGGGCGCGGGATTACACCTGTAATCCCAGCACTTTGGGAGGCCAAGGCGGGTGGATCACCTGAGGTCGGGAGTTCGAGATCAGCCTGACCAACATGGATAAACCCCATCTCTACTAAAATACAAAAAATTAGCCAGGCATGGTGGCATGCCCCTGTAATCCCAGCTACTTGGGAGGCTGAGGCAGAAGAATTGCTTGAACCCGGGAGGCGGAGGTTGCAGTGAGCTGAGATCGCACCACTGCACTCCAGCCTGGGCAACAAGAGTGAAATGCCGTCTCAAAAAAAAAAAAAACAGATTAGCACGTATACTATCTACAATTAGGTAAAAATATGTTTTTAGAGTATATAAAACTGAAGATTAGGTAGAAGTGATTATTCTACTTTTTTAATTTAAAAAAATCTCTTTTATGCTACTCTACTTCCTCTTTTCTTTTTCTTTCTTTTTTATTTTTATTTTTTTTGAGACAGGGTCTTGCTCTGTTGCCCAGGCAGCAATGCAGTGGCGTGATCATGGATTACTGCAGTTTCAACCTCCCAGGCTCAAGCAATCTACCCACATCAGCCTCCCAAGCAGCTGGGACCACAGGCATGTGCCATTATGGCCAGCTAATTTTTAGAAAAAATTTTGTAGAGATGAGGTCAGTCTCACTATGTTGCCCAGGCTGGTCTCAAATTCTGGCCTCAAGTGATCCTCCCACCTCAGCCTCCCAAAGTGTTGAGATTACAGGTGTGAACCACCACACCCACCTATTTCTTCTTTTTGATAAAAACTGGGGGTATAGAGGGGAAGATGTAGCCAAGATACTCACCTGAGGAGTTCTGGCCATTCTCATCATGATCATTATAGGAGGTCTAAGTCTTAATGTTTCTTTTATACAGCGATCAAGTAAATTTAGATCCTTGAGCTAAAATGAGAAAGCATTTCCTGATTGTTATAAATAACATACTTCAACAGTACAAAAAATTAGTTTAACTTCTTAGTTAGTACAAGACAGCTTGCATTCCAGCTAAAAGTACAGAGGTAACTGGTTCAGGGTGGCTGGGGTTATCATGCTCTACCACTGTCCATGGTGAAAAAGGAGGGCAAGGTAACAGAAGCGATTGCCCTGAAGAATGAAGTAAGAACCTACAAAAATTCACTCCTCCAAAAAATGAAAACAGTAGCAACAATCTTAATGTCAACTTTTTCAAAATTCTGGAAGATTAACCAAAGGCTTGCAACAATCTAAGGAGAGTTAATTCAAGAAAAAGAAATCTGAATCTTGGTAAGAAGAGTAAGCTTTGTGGTAGTGTAAGTTGTATTTCTTTCATCCTCCTCTCCCCAAATCCATGGTAGCCCCGGAAACCAACAGCATGACAACTATAGCAGCTGTGAAAGCCAGAAGCCTAACAACTATTAGAGGAGCCAGAGCAAATTTTCCAAAAATATTTAGCAAAAATTGTTTAACACTGAAGGCGCCTGAGATGGTGATATCAGTTGGTGCTAAGAGACAGAACAAGAAGTTTAAAAGGGAAAACTGGGGAGTAAGATGTCCACAGGAGACTTTGAAAAGTTCCAACATAAGAGAATCTTGAAGGCCACACATATGTATAAGACCATGCATATGCCCAGGTAAGATCTAAGAGGCTGTAATCTTTTACCTCTGGCTGACCTGTACACACAGGTAGTGAAGGCAGACTTGTAACTGCCTGTTGGAGTGTTAATAACATCCCCTAACACACACATACAGAGCCTTTCAGCAAAAGCTAGGAGACTGGCTGTTCAAAGCACTTCAGTAAATCTCTGTCCAAATATTAGATGCCCACTAAAGTAAGCAAGCAGAGATTTCAGTGACCTCACTGAACAAGGAATGACATAATTAATCCAGGAAACGCAGTAAACAAACAGCAGCAGCAACAACAACAACAACAAAGAGCCAGCAACAATAAACCCAGGGAGGAGGGCATCTGATTTCCACAGTTGCCACATTATTTTAAATGTACAGTTTTCAACAAAAAAATTACAAAAAACACACCAAAACAGGAAAGTATGGCCAGTACATAGAAAAAGCAAGCAGTTTAATAGAAACTATCCATGAAGAAGCCCAGACATTGGACTTACTAGATAATGAATTTAAATCAGCTATTATAAACAGGTTCAAAGAACTATAGCAAAATATGCCTAGATATCTCTAGTAAAATGGAGAATATCAATATATTATTTTTTTAGAGAACCAAATAGAAATTCAAGAACTGAGAAGTATGAGAACTGAAATGAAAAATTCACCCGAGGGGATCAACAGCAGATTTGGACTGGCAGAAGAAAGAATAACATCAAAAAAATAACAATAATAAAATACTTAAGAATACATTTAACAAGAGAAGTTTAAACATTGTGCACCAAAAACTATAAAACATTGTTGAAAGAAATTAAAGAACTAAAATAAGAGAAAGACATCTCATGTTCACAGATTTAAAGACTAAAATTGTGCTCCCAAATTAATATGGCGATACAATGCAATCATTGTCAAAAATCTCAGCTAGCTTCTTTGCAGAAACTGACACACTGACCCCAAAATTCATATGGAAACTAAAGGGACTAGGAGTAGATAAACAGCCTTGAAAAGGACAAAGTCAGAGGACTCACACTCCCGAATTCAAAACTTATTACAAAACTACGTAATGGCATCAGACTAAACATATCAATGGAATAGAACTGAGTCCAGAAATAAAGCCTTAAATTTATGGTCAAGAGGCTTTTTAAAATGTATTTATTTTTTCAGAGACAGGGTTTCGCTATGTTGCCCAGGCTGGACCCCAAGTCCTGAGCTCAAGCGACCTTCCCATCTCAGCTTCTCAGTAGCTGAGAATACAGGCACGTGCCACTGCGCCTGGCTATAATAGATTTTTTTACAAAGACAATTCAACGTGGAAAAAATAGTCTTTTCAACAAACAGTGTGGGACAACTGGATAAACACATGCAAAAGAATGATGACCTCACATCATATACATAAATTAATTCATAATGGATCAAAGACCTAAATGTAAGATATGAAACTACAAAACACTAAGAAGAATACACAGAAATAAATCTTCATACACTTTGATTAGGCATTAGTTTCTCTGACACCAAAAGCACATTAAAAAAAAATAGATGAACTCTTACAACTCAATAATAAAAAGACAACTCATTTTAAATATGGGAACAGGATGTGAGCAGACATTTCTCCAAAGAAGTATACCAAAGCCAAAGAACACATCATAAGACACTCAACATCACTAGTCACCAGGGAAATGCAAAATCAAAACAAAATACCAACTGGGCATGGTGGCTCACACCTGTAATCCCAGCACTTTGGGAGGCCAAGGCGGGCAGATGACTTGAGGTCAGGAGTTCAAGACCAGCCTGGCCAATATGGTACAACCTTGTCTCTACCAAAAATACAAAAATTAGCCAGGCGTGGTGGTGTGTACCCAGCTACTTGGGAGGCTGAGGAAGGAGAATAGCTTGAACCTGGGAAGCCGAGGTTGCAGTAAGCCAAGGTCGCGCCATTGCACTAGAGCCTGGGCATCACACCAAGACTCTGTCTCAAAAAAAAAAAAAAAAGTATCACTTCACACCTATTATAATAAAAAAATCAAGTAACAAGTTTGGTGAGGGGGTGAAGTCAGGACCAACATATACTGTTTAGTGAGATTTGAAAGTGGTGCAGCCACTTTTTAAAACAGTCTGGCAGTTCTTCAAAGTTACCTTATAACCCAGCAATTCTACTCCTAGGTATGACCCCCCAAAATTGAAAACACATGTCCACATAAAATCAGTACACAAACGTTTAGAGCGGCATTATTCATAATAGTTTAAAAGGTGGAAACAACTCAAATGTCCATCAACTGATGAACAAATAAACAAAATGTGGTCTATCCATATAATGGAATATTATTGGTAATAACAAAGACTGAAGTACTGATACATGCTACAACATGGAAGAACCCTGATAACATGCTAAGTGAAACAAGGTAGTCACAAAAGACTACAAATTGTATGATCCCATTTACATGAAATATCCAGAATAGGCAAACTCACAGAGGCAAAAGGAGATTAATGGTTGCCAGGGGCAGCAGTCAGGGAGAATGAAGCATGACTGCTAATGGGTACCAGCTCTCTTTTGGGAGTGATGTAAATGTTCTAAAATTAAATTATGATGATGGTTTCCCAACTCTTAATATGCTAAAAACCACAAAGTGTACATTTTAAATGGATGGATTTATGCTATGTAAATATATCAGTTAAGCTGTTATTTTAAGTTACTAAAAACAAGAATGAGTGTTGAGACATCACTACTGAGCTTACAGAAATAAAAAGGATTATGAGAATACTATGAACAATTGTATGCCAACAAATTAGGTAACCTAGATGAAATGGACAAATTCCTAGAGAGATATAAACTACTGAAACTGACATAAGAAGAAATGGAATATCTGAATAAACCTGTAACAAATAAATTGAATTAGTAAGTAAAGTCTTCTCAGAAAGAAAAGCACAGATCTAGATGATTTCACTGCTGAATTTTTGCAAATATGTAAAAAAGGATTAACACCAATCATCCACAAACTCTTCCAAAAATTAGAAGAAAAAAAGAATACTTCCAAATACATTCTATGAGATGAGTATGATCCTGATATCAAAACCAGTCAAAGACATCACAGTGAAACTAGAGATCAATATCCTTTATGAATATAGATGCAAAAATCCTCAACAAAACACCAGCAAGTTTATATGTAGTAACATATAGAAAGAACTATGCACCATGACAAAGTAGGATTTATCCCAGGAATACAATTAACATCTGAAAATCAGTGTAATGTGCCATATTAATATAGGACCAAAAGCACAAAAGATAACAGGAAGATGACATCACCAAGGTTTGCTTCCAAGATGGAATGTCAGGTTGTGCAGTGAGTTGTCCTCTCTTCCTTTCCACCCAGCAAGTTGCATGTAGTATTTGTAAATGTCTTGTCCTCATTACTACTACTACTACTACTTTTAGAAGTCTCTGCTCATGCCCAGGCCACTCTGGACATACAGAATTCTAAGTAATTCAGAGGCTTCTACACTTCATAAGACACACAACATGCACATAATATCCTCTATGTACAGAAGCCAGACTTTGAAGCAGAGGAAGTAAGTACCAAAGAAACATCCCCAAGGATCTCTAAGCCATCAACCCAAAACATATCTGATAAAGCTTAATGGCAAGAAGCAATAACATTAAGATATTTTAGGTAAGGTTATAGGGAATTTGCTAAAAATAGAGAAGCTGATCAATTTAAGCTATAGTATATAGAAAATCTCAAATTGTCCCTTTTAAAAATTAGCCACAGATCCTCAAAGTCATAAGGCAGCAATGAAACTGAAAAATCCAACAAACCTGGTCATAAGTTAAAGGAGGCAGATTCTCTCCACAGACTGTTTTCTGTTCTAAATAACATTTTTTTTGAAGTGTTTTGTCTCTGGCCAAAAAGAAGCCCATCCAAGCACTAGTAGTTGAGGATGTATGCTGCCCTGCCAAGAGTAATCCAATAAGCATCCCTGCTACTTCATCATCAGTCAAAGGACGCCCATCCCTAAGGAATGAACCAAAGACACAAATTTAACATTTTGGCAGATACATTTCATGCCTCAACCTTTAAATAAAGTGTCATAATGAATACATTTTTCAGGTATAGTGGTCTCTTATATTTGACTATCACAAGTCAAGAGTTTTTTTTCTCTTAGGGAAGAGACAGACCAGCACAAAACGATTTTGATTACAAAAGACTCCATTACAGTTCATTAGCAAACTTTTACCATACCCAGTCACTGGGATTACAGTAAGACACAGGATGCCAATAGTTTATGTCTCAACAATTTAAAGAGTCCAAAGATCACAGCTACCAACTTATTTTGCCAGCATCACTGTTTTTTAACTGGAAATACTATTTAACTGTGTTTTAATGTGTAATTTCCTGCTTCAGCTTAATATGTTATCTGAATAGCTCTTACTTGTATGTAGCATCTAGTAAAGTTTGGAGAATGTCATCAATTTTTTCTTGAGACTGTCTGCGTTTCTGGATTGCCTTATAGAAAATATCCTTGATTTCCCGATGAGCTCTGTCCCTGCGTCTGTAATTAAAAGATAAAGATGATTTTCTTAAATAAAGAAATAACCTTCTAGGATCAAATTCATTTTGAGAACCAGGACCGAGCATAAAGCATCTTATTTAACCAACTTTAATGACTCTAAAATAATTGACAAAAAAATCAGAACCAGGAACATACTGGAAGTCATGAAAATCTTACATTGTTAAAAATGTCCATAGTCCCTAAGGGCAAGAACTGTGCTTTATTTAACATATATATCCCAGATTCTTAACACATTGCCTGTGTTCAAACTAAAGGCCTAAAACAAGCAAGAAATTCCTTTAGAAGTATTTTCCAGTTCAACAGAAAGTAGGATACTCTTTTAAATTAACATAAAATTCCAATTTTAATACCAAATCAAGTCTTAAAGCAGAAGAGTCACTCTGGTTCTTCCATGGAATCTGGTTCTACTTTTCACTTTCTAATACAATAGTTTTTTGTAGGGGGTGAAAATACTAGCAGATTCAGAAAACAAGCTTCAACTCCTAAACTTTACCTTTAAATAGTATGTTCACTATGTAGCAGGTACCATGTTAAGTGTTTTACATGAATTACTCACTTTTATCTTCCTGTGAGGTACATACTATTAACCTCAAGTTATAGCTAGCTGCATAAGATCACACAGAAAGCAAACATTGGAGCTGGAATTTAAAACTAGGCAGTCTGACTCCCAAGCCCCCTCTTAAATCAAGCCTTCTAAAAAAAACTCCTACTCTGTTTCATTTACAAGACTGTTAATCTGTTATTGAGGATCAACTGAAACCATGTGTACAGAAGAGAAGATGTTGGGGCTTAACTGTATGAATACAGTCGAACCAGGAAAACATAGGCCTGTTTAAGAAAGTGAATTGAATAATCTGGTTAAATTAGTTGGTATGAGTAGAAGAAAGAAAGACTGGGCCAGAATGTGAAGGGCCTAACATAGCAAGCTCTGACTTCATCCAAGAGACAGAGCAGGTAGAAACAGGCAGGTAGAAATGTACATTTATGGGCCAGGTGCAGTGGCTCACGCCTGTAATCCCAGCACTATGGGAGGCCGAGGCGGGCGGATCACAAGGTCGGGAGATCAAGACCATCCTGGCTAACACGGTGAAACCCCATCTCTACTAAAAGTACAAAACAATTAGCCAGGCTTGGTGGCGGGTGCCTGTAGTCCCAGCTACTCGGGAGGCTGAGGCAGGAGAATGGCGTGAACCTGGGAAGCAGAGCTTGCAGTGAGCCGAGCTCATGCCACTGCACTCCAGCCTGGGCGAGAGAGCAAGACTCCATCACCAAAAAAAAAAAAAAAAAAAAGAAATGCACATTTATGGAGAACCCACTATGAGTCCAGGGCTGTGCTGGGTGTTCTAATATAAGATATATGAAAACATTTTGAAACTGCAAAGCTCCTTGCAAATATAAGGTATGATGAGTTCCAGAGAACTTTAGGGAATCTCTCCTGGCTCTTCCTTTTACTCCCACCCCTCTTCCAATCTGTAACTAGATAGAGGGGGCAGAAATAGAAGAAAAGGGACTAGCAATCTATCTCCTCCCCATCTGTCACCTAAACACCAATAAATCAACAAAAGTACAGAAAGCCTACTAATATGCAAAACACTAAGCACTAAGCTATAGATCAAGTCCTAAGAGCAATATTTCTTTATATCAGAGGCAGTCCCTGTCCTTAAGAAACAGAAAATTAAATAAAGGCACAAATATTTAAAACAAAGAAACTTCACAATACAATAAAAAGCCACCAAAGATTTCAAACAAGTGCTAGAGAAGAGCTGTATCACTTTTAGGTATAGTTCAGAG
This sequence comes from Homo sapiens, assembly GCF_000001405.40. Taxonomy (NCBI): domain Eukaryota; kingdom Metazoa; phylum Chordata; class Mammalia; order Primates; family Hominidae; genus Homo; species Homo sapiens. The sequence goes on from NC_000007.14 coordinate 92,125,666, forward strand.
ACTTTCCTGAGGATAAGGAATACGTGAGGTAAGCAGGCTTTTAAACTAGGCTGGGCTCAGTGGCTCACGCCTGTAATCCTAACACTTTGGGAGGCTGAGGCAGGTGGATCACCTGAGGTCAGGAGTTTGAAACCAGCCTGGCCAACATGATGAAACCCTGTCTCTACTAAAAATAGAAAAATTAGTTGGGCATGGTGGCACGTGCCTGTAGTCCCAGCTCTCAGGAGGATGAGGCAGGAGAATTGCTTGAACACAGGAGGCAGAGACTGCAGTGAGCCGAGATCACACCACTGCACTACAGCTGGGGCAACAGAGCAAGACTCCATCTCAAAAACAAAAACATAAATAAAATATTAGACTAGACAGACAACAAATCACCTTTTTAATAAACTGAAACTTACTTTAAATGAGCTCATTATATAAAGAAAATTTGTCTTGAATTCTTATAGAAGAAAGGGGATTCATAATCTTACCCATTTTGTATGTTTTACTTGTTTAATTTTTATCTTTGTTAAGGCAAAGCATACCAACACTACAATAATTATACAAAGTTAAATAACCTAGTGTAATATATTCTTTATCCATACCTGAAACTAGGCAAAGGCAGCCAACCTGGTAAGAGCCAGGCTGCATGGCTGAAACCTCCATCCAAATCTGCATACAGCTGTGCTACCTTTTCATTGAGTTGACTTCTGATTTCCTTTCCATGCAAACAATGGCTAGCTGTTAAAATTATGAGCTCAGAAAGAGCTTCAAACACATCTAGGGAGAAAAAAAAGATTATTCTCATTACTATTTCCAAAAAGTGAAAGAAAATTGAGAATTAAAAACAGAACTCAAGAAGAAACAAGATCCTATTCATATCATCAAAAAAAGTCTGTAGACAGACATGTGACTATGTACAACAACAAAGAGGGGCAATAAACCAAACAATGTGAAGCACCCTGTCCCTCTAAACAGCCAAAACAGATCCCAGAAACACATCTCAAAACCCCACTCATGAGCACTTCATCATGAAAAGAATAAATGTGGTTATTTGATTTCCAGGTCACAATAACAAAAGCAGAAAAAAGGTTATTTATAGTGCATATGACAATAATAAGGTACTTCCCAAGGAATAGTAGCCAAAGATCAGATTATTTCCCAGGTTAAAAGTAGGAAGATCAGGGCCAAAATGGAATTACTGGCGATATGTAAAAGAAAACTATAATCACCAATTAGTATATCCCAACACTGGAGACAAATGCACCAGGCAAGCATAATTTGATGACAACTAATAAAAATTATCCAATTAATTTCCTGTTAATTCCACATTCACTAAATGAACTTCCAATGATCATCTGGCTTTCCAATTATATTTGTCAATAAAAAGAATATCAGTAAATATTCTGGATTTCTTGGTGCTGTAATTATATGTCTCACATGCATTATTACATTGGCATTCTAATTTATACATCAGTTTCTTGTATGGTTAGAAAATATATCAATATCAACTTAAGTATACCAAAAACAAAGATTCTGGAACTCTTACAGAGGCCAAAGGCCAGACCCAGAATATAGTGACCTGCTGCCCTGGGTCCTGCTGCCCTGTGGGCAGATGTTGCTTCCTACTATGGGCACAGCAATTGCTTCTGAAGGCAATACTTAACTTGCAGCCCAGTATAAAAACTGGATTCTCAGTTACAACTTCATGGTAATCATTACATAACCCTCCCATAAATCTAAGGTAGTTTTACATACACTGTAATTTGTTTTTTATATACTACACACATATATACTCTACTTTTCTATTCACAGAGAAGTAGAAATGTTAGGACAAACATAAAACATTTTGCTTACTTTTTTCTCCACTTTCTCCCCAACTCTCAAAGTATTCCTTTGTTTCTTTTTCAATTATAGAAACATGCTGTTTAAAGTGGGCTATGTTAAGGCCACTTTTTAACATTTTCTTCTGCTCCAAGAAAACCTTCAAAAAAATTCAAAACGGGGATACGGCATTAAAACACATTTTTGTTTTATCATAAAATCCATTTAGGTTATTATAATTATGTAACACTAACACAAGTAATGGTTTTAACCCTTTGGGCATTTACATTTTAAGAGTCTAAATGAATAGATCTATCTGACTCTAAATGAATAGAGTCTAAATGAATATATATATCTGAACAGAGGGATTTTCCAGGGCCCTGTTTTTTGGCCTTAAGGAGAGGCATTCATTCCCTCATTCCCCATCACTAGAAACAAGATTTAATGTTAACTCTTAACTGCTATACTAGGGTACTGGCTAATGTGTGTTACATTCACAGCCAGAGCCCATACCAAGCATTGGGGCCAATTGTCTGATTTGTGTTCTATATCAACTTAAAACAATTTCGTATTTGGCTTTTGAGGGTAAAACATACACATAGATGTACCCCACACGTGAAGTTGTTGCATTAAAAGAGGACTTCTGAAGTCAGCAATCTCTAAACAGCGCTTATGTTAGAATTTCAGGCAGGAATGGGTAGGCAGGAAGTCCTTTTGATGAAGTAACAGCATTGTCTAATAACCCTTTCAAATTAAATCCCAGTATGCTAAGTTATCATTGATTCCATTATTTGTACAGGAAGCCCTTTAATATTGTTTAGCCATGACAGCAAATATAAAACTAAATACCCATTACTTATCAGTTATCCATGGCCTTTCTTCTCATGATTCTTCAGACTTTTGAACCAAGGAATAAACTGGTTCTACATTTTATTACATTTTTGTTTGGTTGGTTTCTGTGTGTGTGTGTGTGTGTGTGTGTGTGCGCGTGCGTGTGTGTGTGTGTGTTTGGTTTTTTGTTTCTGTTTTTGAGACAGGGTCTCACTCTGTTGCCAAGGCTAAAGTGCAGTGTTGTGATCTCGGCTCACTGCAACCTCCGCCTCCTGGGTTCAAGCGATTCTCATGCCTCAGCCTCCCAAGTAGCTGGAATTTACAGGTGTGCACCACCAGCCCCACCCAGCTAATTTTTGTATTTTTAGTAGAGACAGGGTTTCACCATGTTGGCCAGGCTGGTCTTGAACTCCTGACTTTGAGTGATCCACCCACCTTGGCCTCCCAAAGTGCTGGGATTACAGGAATGAGCCACCATGCCTGGCTGTTTCTACATTTTAAATGTATAATGTCTCACTATTAGCTATAACTACTGAGGTATAGATTTGTCTTTATTTATGGTAACAGTGTCACCTACTGGATTAGGCACATCGTATGCAACTCCCTTCCCAAACACAGGTGTTGTCAGGCGACTGTAGACATCTTCTGCATTCAGGTCTTCATTTTTACTATTAAAAAGCAGTGCAGCAGCATCACTCCCCAGAAGGTAAGTAAATGTCTTGCCTACCATGGTAAAACTAAATACAGGTCCATACTAAAAAGAGAAAAGTACATATAGTGATGTTACAAAAAATATGCAACACTACGACAGTAACTTTTTAAAATCACAAAATAATGCATTATTAAAAAAATAAAAACATATATAAACCTTAAAGCAATTCTTTTCATCTTGCCATACTCCTCCTTCCTTTGTCCAAATTTATAATTATGTTCATTTAGTTGCAAATGTAGTATAAATATAACTGTTTATTATGCTTTTTTCAGTTTATATTGACAATGTTTTCTATTGTCTATATAAACATCACAATGTTAATTTACTGACTACTCTTTCATTATTGGACATATGGGTGATATGTCAGGGTTTTCTTTAGTTATTACAGCTAATTCTGTGATGAACACCTCTGAAAATATAGACTTCTTCCCCCTTTGGTTAAAAACAAATTTTACAAGACTAGCCAAAGAATTTGACCTTTTCTATAGTACCTGCTATGTGAAGACACTACAAGTTTATTTATCTATTTTAGCACTATCTCACCTACACTAAATGACTTCATTTTTTATTTTATATTAATTTGGTTAGATGTTAAATACTTTCCCTTGCAGTTTTCTGGTTATGATTGAAGACTAGACTCTGGGGGTATAATCATGAAAAAAAATACTGTCCCAACTCACCAAGCTTAGTCTATTGGAAAAAATACAAATTAATCAAATAATCACATTAACAAACATAAAACTGCAAATGTGACAAGTATTACAGAAAGGAAAGCAACTCTGTGATGAGAGAATCTAAAAAAGGGAGACCTAATAGAGGAAAAGACAACTAGGTTGAGACCAGAAGAATGAGGAGCTGGTTTGGTAGCTAAACATACACAAAGGCCCTAAAAGTAAGAGAAAGAGAAAGGAGGAGATGAGAGTTGAGCATTAGGCAGTGCTAGACCATACAGAGCCTCATAAGCCATTTTGAGGAAGTTTTTAAACGGGTGACAAGAATTTTTCAGAGAAAAAGGAAAGATGCCATTGAAAAAGAAGTCAACAATACACTGAGAAAACAAATAAAAGTAAAAAGTTCCTGAGACAAAAGAGGGATGGAGAGTTCAGCCTCCGATAAGAGGCAAAATATAGTTGTAATAAAATCAAAGTGGTAGAACGCAGTGAGCCAGACTGTCCGTGTTCAAATCCCAGCTCCTCCACCTACTTGCTGTATGACTTTGGTCCTATAGTCAGAGAACTTAGTCTCTCTGTGTTTCGTTTCTCTCACCTATAAAATGGTAATAATAATAATAGCAGTTCTTCACAGAGCTGCTGCCAAATTTTATATACAGGGCAGAGAAGAGTACCTTGGCTTACTTAGCATCTTAATGACTTGTTTTCCATTATTGTTATCATTAATAAAAGTATAGGCTCAGAAATCAGACCATGTGTAAATCCTGGCTTGGCCACTGTCTAGCAGTGAGTCCAAGAAGAAATTATATATCCTCTCTGCTTCTCAGTTTTGTCATCTATAAAACAAATATACCTGAAAGGGTTTTTGTGGAGCTTCAGTGAGATGATCTTTGTAAAGCACTAAGTACTGGCATAAAGTAAGTGTTTGATAATTATTACTGTGATAGGAAGAAAGAGAATAGGATTACTATATAAATACAAGTAGGTTTGCATATTTGAAATTGAGAAAATGAGGAAGTTTTCTTTGAATGTTTTAATAATTGTCTCCTAAATCAACGTTTTTAATCATTGTCTCCTAAACAGGAGAAAAAATCATCTGCTTTGATGGAGAGGTAGAAAGATTCAGAAGTTTAGAAAAGTGAAGGTTTGAATTAGTCACTGTAATGAGTGGAAAAGTAGGCCCAATCACAAGAACATAATAGGACTGTGGAGCAGTGTTCAAATATCATTAAGGTAGGCAATCATAAAATCAGGAAGAAACTAATCTGGTGCAGAAGGAGACAATAACTGGCTGCCTCCAAGGGTGACTTCTGCCAGCTGAACACAATGAAAAGATGCGGGGTCGAGGAAATTTAAAGTACAGTATTGCCAAGAGTGTAACAGAAACGACATGCCATGGACCCAAAGCGGAAAGAGGAAAGTGAAGAATGAAGGCTGATGGATCAGGAGAAAGTAAATGGAATGCAAGATCCAATGAGGTCAAAGAATAGTTATAATTTAAGGAGTTGCACAAGCAAACCAGGAGACGGTATGGTCTACGAATAGGATATCTAAATTAATATTGTGGAAGTGAAACAGTTAAGAGTGACAAGTCCAAAGCGAGACTGTGAAGTAAATGGCTTAACTGGCACAGGGAAGCTCATTAGAGAGAAGACGGGCAAATAATTGAGTAGCTATGGTGTCATGTGGGTCATTCAAGTGGACAGTGAAATCACAGAAGATGTATAGAGCAGGTTAGAAAACCCCACAGATGCATGGTAAAGAAAAATGAGGGTTAATTAATATCAATTTTAATGACAATAAGTGAATAGAAAACTCAGAACAGTGGCTTTTAAACCATAGTTGCCAGAACTACAGGTTTCCTCAATGGTGTCTCAAAGACGACCCCAGGACATGGGAAAAGCTAAAAGGATAGGTATCTATAAGACACCATCTCTTAAACCAGAGCAGTTTCCATTTTGTTTCCTATACTGAGGATATGTATATGATTACAATGTTTTTAAATGTTCTGCCACTTTTTTAAAAAAGTTTAAAAAGCACTTCTCTAGTTGTTTTTTTTTTTTTCCTCTAATTATTTGGAAGACTTACCTTCTCATATGCATTTTCTAGAAATTCAATTGGACTTTTCCCAAATGCTATGGCATGCCCAAGGAATGGAATTGGGGAGAAAATGTATGGAGGACTTTTCTACAAGAGAAAAAAATAGTAAATTCAATTCGTGTTTCATTTCAAGAGAGAAACCCAGTTTCGTTTCATGACCAAACAATTAAACAAAATAGCTATTAAGACTTCAAAAAAAAGTTACCAAAAAAAAAGGAAGCATCAGAAGTAACTTGAGAACAGCCAAATTGCAAATACCTCAAGAGAGTAGCTATTGTAGAAAAGAACAGAAACTCAAAACACGGTATAAGATAAACGACCAGATAAACACTAAGGCACTGTAAATTTAAATGATGGACACTGTCCAGAATATGTCCAATTATTATTGGTGTCTCCAGGCAACTTTTCTAACCATTAGTAGCAAAAAACCAAAAAGGTCAAACTACACTTGTCCCTTGGCATTTGTGGAGAACTGGTCCCAGGACCCCCTCACAGATTTGTATCCAGGGATCCTCAAGTCCCTTATATAAAATGGCAAAGTATTTGCGTATAACCTATGCACATCCTCTCATATACCTTAAACCATTTCTATATTACTTACAATACCCAATACAATGTAAAGGCTATATAAACTGTTATTAAACTGTGTTTTTTTATTTGTATTATTTTTTATTGTTGTGTTATTTTGTATTGGGTTTTTTTCCCCTGGGTATTTTAGATCTACACTTGGCTGAATTCCCAAATGTGGAATTCGTGTCCCCAGAGGGCCCACTATATTGTTTCTTCACTACTTACTACTACTACTACTCACAATTTTAGTCCCAGATACTTGCTTAAAGAAGGTATAGAAAAAGACAAGCAGTAACTTGTAGTATAGAAAGAAGGGAAATGTTTAAGAAGCTATATTTACTTCTCAGTAAACAATCAATCTCATGCTTCTCTCACTGCAAGTGAACTAGAGCCACTGATTTTAGAGTTTTTAAGAGAGTAGATCAGCTCTAGCAAGAACTCTAGCATTCTTCATAAAAGTTTCTTTAGATGCCACAAAATGAGACCTGCAGATTACAACATTAAGTATCCTGAAAATCAAACAAAATAATGAAAAAGGGTAATACTCCTCAATTCTCTGGTGGTCTCAAATAGAAAGGAGCACCACAACCTCACAGTACACCTCAGCTAATAGAACTATCTTTAAACACTAAAAGTAACTTTGTCTTCCCAGAGACAAATATCATTTCCTTAAAGATCCCATGTGTAGGAAAAAAATAAATAAATAAATAACTCTTTCTTATGCCTGGTATGGTTCAAACAAAAATTATTTTAAAAGCTACTTGGTCAAAAGTTTGTACATTGCATTGTCAGTAAAAGGGTAGTTTTCAAAAGCTACTTATTGCTGACTGTAAAAGGCACAATCAAATAACATTTGGGAGATTGAAAGCTAGGTTAATAAGGCTGTTAAATTGAAGAAAATGATTTTTTTTTTTTTTGAGACGGAGTCTCATTCTGTCGCCCAGACTGGAGTCCAGTGGCGCAATCTCGGTTTACTGCAACCTCCGCCTCCTAGGTTCAAGTGATTCTCGGGCCTCAGCTTCCCAAGCAGCTGGGACTACAGGCGTGTGCCACCACATCCAGCTAATTTTTGTTTTGTTTTGTTGTATTTTAGTAGAGATGGGGTTTCTCCATGTTGTTCAGGCTGGTCTGGAACTCCTGACCTCAGGTGATCCGCCCGCTTCGGCCTCCCGAAGTGCTGGGATTACAGGCGTGAGCCACTGCTCCCGGCCGAGAAACTGTTACATTATTAGCATCAGAGGAAGGCCCTTACCACACTCCAGTCACTACCATTACCACACTCTACACATCCTCCTTAATATGGGTATAAACCACCATTAGGGGCACTGCTACAGCCCACAGAACACTGAACCACACAGGGCAGCCTCCAGGATGACGGGCCAGCTGCCAACAGCATCTCCGTCAGGACCCCCACCAAGGGCCCCAACGACCACCGGGTCGTTCAAACCCACAGCCGCCAATCCAGCCACCGCCACTAGGGGCACCACTGCTGCGGTCAGTACAGACCGCTACAACCACAAATGCCGCAACCACGACCCCGTCTAGGATCAGATACACAGCCGGGGAGGCCAGCACCGCCCCCCAACACAAGGCAATGGCGGGTGCTACAGCCAGCGCCACCAGCAGCAGTGCCGCCGCCGCAGCCACTACTCCAGCCCCCAGCGCGCCTGCCACCAAAGCCACGCCAAGCATGGCCGCAGTCGCCCCCGCCCTTGCCATCCACTGAGCCGGTCGGGGCCACGGAGCCGCCCACGCCAGCCCTTCGGCCGCCTCAGCTGCGGCGCGCGCCCCACTCAGACCCTAAAGAATGTACGTACCACCCCTGCGGGCAGCTGGACCAGGTGGCCGGCGGCCAGACGGATCAGGTAGACCAGGCTGAGGGTGAAGGCGCAGGCGATCAGCAGCATGGACAAGAGGTTGCCGCCTGTCACCTTCTCCATCGCCTGGCCCAGCACCGACCCACCCGCCTGCAGCAAGCCCAGCAGCAGCATCCCAGCCGCCGCCGCCATTCACTCCGTCGGAAACACTGAAGGCCGAGGTCGCCACCGCTCCTCCCAATCGACGGAACGAGAGAAGCTGGCAGATGGTCGTCCACAGGGGGCCTTGCCCCAGGTCTCCTACTAAACCCAGCCCCACCCCTCGGGTCCCACGCGCGCCACCCCGTGCGTCACAGAATGGGGCGGGATGTTCCGCTGGCCACGCCCCTTAAATAACACTCTGTGAAGCCGTGGTCTTCTTGCGCGGGATAGGGCACCTGAGGAAGCGGGCTGCGCCTGTGGCACAGTGGTACGGGGCCGGAAGATAACTTACCTGAAGAGGCGATCAATCCCTGAGAATCGCGGGCGACCCGTTTTTTGTGTGCCCGGGTGCGGGGTGCCGGGACACGGCGTTGAAGGCGCTGAGCGGAGGGATCTCAGGGCGAGCTCGAGCGGCGACGGCGCGCTCTGTGATTGCACCGCGAGCGCCTGAGGTGATCTCGGCCTACATCGCGTCAGCGGGGCCTTGGGCGTGAGCACCGCCCCCTGTCCGGACGCAGGGTACTGGGGCACCTCGAACTGTGGCACCTCACCCTTCTCCGGGGCCACGTCTTGGGGACTCCGACAGCCCCAAATAAGCCCTCGGGGACTGGGGTTGTGAAAAGCGAGGTCGTGAAGACGCCGGCCTCATACCGAAGGGTAGGACGGTGAGGTCAGCCCCGTCCCACTCCAACTAAAATCAACCTGACAGGTATTAATATGCCACCATGAAGTTAACAAATGTTGGTGATTAAGTATGCTAGGTTTTACGAAAACAGATTTTCCAAAATAAATGTACATGTTTTAGGACGTCGCGAGCCGTTTGAGGCAGCATTCCCCAAGGACGCCACTTAGTCTGTAGGTTTAGCGGCTAGAAAGATTCAGAAGCTGAGTTCAGTCCTGCCGCCACAATCAATCTTCGCTCCTATGGCTTCACAGAAGCGTCTCCCATGACTACCAAATTTAACTCCTTCCAGATCACCCACGGGAGCACCTGACCGGATTCATTTATTTAATCAATGTTAAGAACTAGGTTTTGTGCTAAGCTAGGGGATAGAGCAGCGAATGAGACAAAACTGCAAGGCCCTGGGGGAATTAGTAGGAATATCCAGTGAAAGGGAAATTAATGAATTTTATAAGTATACTAATCAAGAAGTATATTCTTTTCCTTTGAGGTAGAATGTAATATAGCACCTCCCCTACCCAAGGCCTGGGTTAAGAGTATATTAACTGCTTATTTCTCCCCTATGCGTGGAGAGGCTTATCTGTGTTCCATCGTTTCACATTCCTTGAGGCACAGCGAGTTCTTGCTTCCCTCCCTAGCGCTGCTGTAAAGTCACAAAACTGATTAGCAAGTGTTACAAAAGCATGTATTCCCAAGGACGTAAGACATATGGTGTAACAAATGTAAGAGTAATTTACTGCCTTTGTTCTTGCTTCTGCAAGTACACTTCATGCAACACGTAACTCCCAACACAAACTGCTTAAAAGGTGATTGATCCCTTTGTTCGGGGCTCAGACTTTCTGGACCCTAGTCCGACTGAGCCGGTGATCACCTTAATAATAAAGGCTCTCCTGAACTCTGCTCGGTCTCTCCCGTCTATGATTTGTCCCGCAACACCAGTTGCCTGCGGAACACCTCTACCTAGAGAGCTAACACTCATCCCCGGTCAGTAAATCCAAAACTAAACCCGTTGCCTCCTCCTACCAACCTGTCCCTCCTATAATGCCTGTGAAGAAAAGGCATCACTGTGCACACTGTTGCCCTCTCCATGCTTCATCTAATCAGTCATCAGATCCTATAATTCTACCACCTTAAAAGTTTCACCGTTTCTTCCGTCCAGTCGCGGTGGCTCACGCCTGTAATCCCTGCACTTTGGGAGGCCGAGGCGGGAGGATCACCTGAGGTCAAGAGTTCGAGACCAGCCTCACCAACATGATGAAACCTCGTCTCTACTAAAAATACAAAATATTAGCCGGACGTGGTGGCAGACGCCTTTAATCCCAGCTACTCGGGAGGCTGAGGCAGGAGAATCACTTGAACCTGGGAGGCAAAGGTTGCAGTGAGCCGAGATTGCGTCACTGTACTCCAGCCTGGGCAACAAGAGCAAAACTCTGTCTCAAAAAAAAAAAAAAAAAAAAGAAAGAAACTGTGATATATATAAATATATATTTATATATTTATATATGGAATGGAATGCTACGTGGTCACAAAAAGGAATGAATGAATGGCATTTTCAGCAACCTGGATGGGATTGAAGACTATTATTCTAAGTGAAGTAACTCAGGAATGGAAAACAAAACATCATATGTTCTCACTCCTAAGTGAGAGCTAAGCTATGAGGATGCAAAGGCATAAGAATGACACAATGGACTATGGGGACTCAGGGAAAGGGTGGAAGGGGGTGAGGGATAAAAGATTACAAATTGGGTTCAGTGTATACTACTCGGCGATGGTTGCACCAAAATCTCACAAATCACCACTAAAGAACTTACTCATGTAACCAAATACCACATTTCTTAAAACCCTATGGAAATAAAAAATTAAAAAAGAAAAAAGAACCCAACAGTCTTCTATTAAGCCAGGTGTAAAAGAGATTTACAAAAATCTAAAACTATGCCATTCTTCTCACTAATATTTTATTTTTGAAAATATAGCTATAGGCCGGGTGCGGTGGCTTACTCCTGTAATCCCACCACTTTGGGAGGCCCTGGTGGGTAGATCACAAGTTCAGGAGTTTGAGACCAGCCTGACCAACATGGTGAAACACCATCTCTACTAAAAATACAAAAATTAGCCAGGCATGGTGGCGCGTGCCTGTAATCCCAGCTACTCAGGAGGCTGAGGCAGGAGAATCGCTTGAACTCGCAAGGTGGAGGTTGCAGTGAGCCGAGATTGTGCCACTGCACTCCAGCCTGAGTGACAGAGCAAGACACCGTCTCGAAAAAAAAAAAAAAGAAAATATAGCTATATTCATGAAATGACATTATTTATGTAAATAATTATTTTCAATAAACATTTTCATTTATTTTAATTTGTAATACTGTAAGTTTTGATAGATATAATCCATTTAAAAAAATGACTCTCTAGGGTTCTTAATAATTTATTATTTTAAGTCCTAATGTAACCACCCAAGGGGTTCACCTTGCCTGCTGCCTAGACAGAGCCAATTCATCAAGGCAGGGGAGTTGCAATAAAGTAATTCACGCAGAGCCAGCTGTGTGGGAGACTGGAGTTTTATTACTCAAATCAGTCTCCCTGAGCATTTGGAGAGCAGAGTTTTTAAGGATAACTTGGTGGGTGGGAGTTGGGGGGTAGCCAGTGAGCCAGGTGTGGTGATTGGTCAGGGGTGAAATCACAGGGAGTTGAAGCTGTCTTCCTGCCTTCAGTCAGTTCCTGAGTGGAGGCCACAACATCAGATAAGCCAGTTTATTAGTCGGTGGTGCCAGCTGATCCATCAAGTGCAGGGTCTGCAAAATATCTCAAACACTGATCTTAAGAGCAGTTTAGGGAGGGTCAGAATCTTACAGCCTCCAGCTGCATGACTCCTAAGTCATAATTTTTAATCCTGTGGCTAATGTTAGTATAGTTCCCAGGCAAGAAGGAGGCCTGTTTTGAGAAAGGGCTGTTACTGTCTTTGTTTAAACTATAAACTACAAACTAAGTTAGTTTCTCCCAAAGTTCGTTCAGCCTACACCCAGGAATGAACAAAGACAGCTTGGAGGTTAGAAGCAAGATGGAGTCTGGCTGGGCATGGTGGCTCACACCTGTAATCTCAACATTTTGGGAGGCCGAGGTGGGTGGATCATTTGAGGTCAGGAGTTTGAAACCAGCCTGGCCAACATGGGGAAACCCCATCTCTTCTAAAAATACAAAAATTAGCTGGGCGTGGTGGTGGGCGCCTGTAATACCAGCTACTGAGGAGGCTGAGGCAGGAGAATCACTTGAACCTGGGAGGCAGAGGTTGCAGTGAGCCGAGATAGCACCACTGCACTCCAGCCTGGGCAACACAGTGAGACTCTGTCTCAATAAAAATAAAAATAAAAAAATAAGCAAGATGGAGTTGGTTAAGTTAAATCTCTTTCATTGTCTCAGTCATAATTTTGCAAAGGCGGTTTCAGGTTCCCTTCATAGACACAGAGCAGTTGTCCTGTCTGAAGTTTACCTCTCTGCTGCTCCTCAGTGAATGGGCTTTCTTTAATCCCTCCCCATTAAAAAAAAAAAAAGTCCCATTCCCTTGCAGGAAAACTGTAATGCCTACCCACAGGGATTGGTCTCCCTCTGGCATCCACAGCCCACCCCACAACACTCCAAACCCCAACTCTACCTTTCACCAGCAGAGCAATTCATAAGACACAATTATGCAAAACATAATAAATCTGATTTTTTCCGTAGGAGGTGGTTCAGGAAAACGGTCCCATTTGGCACCTCAAGTCTAGGTCCCTCAAGTCTCTACAACAGTATGCAAAGAAAATGTTCATCTTCATTCTTCTTATAGTTTTCTGGTAACTTACTGAACCAAGCGCACACACACTCTCCAAGGACAAACATTTTTCAGTGCTGGGACAATGCAAATTCAGGTAAGGGAAGACAAACATTTCCCTAAGTGCAGATAAATCTACACTGATTTTCCTACTCTTAACAGAATGGGTTGGGCATGGTGGTTTATGCCTTTAATCCCAGCACTTTGGGAGGCCAAGGCATGTGGATCACGAGGAGAGGAGTTCAAGACCAGCCTGGCCAGAATGGTGAAACCCGTCTCTACTAAAACTACAAAAAAAAAAATTAGCCAGGCATGGTGGTATGTGCCCGTAGTCCCAGCTACTTGAGAAGCTGAGGCAGGAGAATCACTTGAACCCAAGAGGTGGAGGTTGCAGTGAGCTGAGATTGTGCCACTGCACTCCAGCCTGGGCGACAGAGTGAGACTCCGTCTCAAAAAACAAACAAGAAACAGAATTGGACTGTACAGGATTGTGCTGAGAGAATCAGTTTTCCTATTATTCATTCTCTGGATTTCAGACTATGCTAGCTAGAGCATTTGAAACAACAGGACCAATGGGACCATCTACTGCTGGTGGATACTTTTCAGTGACCCAAAAGATCTGGCAGTAGCTTTGAAATTATTGCTTTTCTTTACAGTAGGTCAGAGTAAATTATCACTATTTTTTAATTTATTGCTTGTAATTTGTGTCATATCTAAGAACCATCTAACCCAAAATTTATACCTATGTTTTCTTCTAAAAGTTTTATGACTTTAGCTTTTCTATTTAGAACTTTGATCCATTTTAAGTTTTGTATATGGTGTGAGGTAGGGCTCCAAATTTATTATTTTGCTGGTGGATCTAGTTGTTACAGCACCATTTGTTGAAAATACTGTTTTTCCCCCAGTGAATCATCTGACACCCTTGTTAAAAATTGATTAACTGGGCTGGGTGCAGTGGCTCATGCCTGTAATCCCAGCACTTTGGGAGGCCCAGGCGGGCAGATCACAAGGTCAGGAGATTGAGACCATCCTGGCTAATATGGTGAAACACTATCTCTACTAAAAATACAAAAAAAAAAAAAAAAAAATTAGCCAGGCGTGGTGGCAGGTGCCTGTAGTCCCAGCTACTCGGGAGGCTGAGGCAGGAGAATGGCGTGAACCTGGGAGGCGGAGCTTGCAGTGAGCCGAGATCACATCACTGCACTCCAGCCTGGGTGACAGAGCGAGACTCCATCTAAAAAAAAAAAAAAAAAAATTGATTAACTGTATATGTTAGGGTTTATTTTTGGCCTCTCAGTTCTATTCTGTTGATCTATATGTCTATCCTTATGCCAGAACTACACTGTCTTGATTACTGCAGTTTTGTATTAAGTTTGAAAGTGAGATCCCAGCACTTTGGGAGGCCAAGGCAGGCAGATCACCTGAGCCCAGGAGTTCGAGACCAGCTTGGGCAACACGGTGAAACCCCATCTCTAAAAAATACCAAAACATTAGCTAGGCATGGTGGTGTAGGCATGTAGTCCCAGCTACTTGGGAGGCTGAGGTGGGAAGATTGCCTGAGCCCCAGAGGTTGAGGCTGCAGTGAGCTGTGATTGTGCCACTGCACTCCCGCCTGGGCAGCAGAGTGAGACCTTGTCTCAAATTAAAAAAAAAGAAAGAAAGTGAGAAGTATGAGTTCTCCAACTTTCTTATTCATTTTCAAGATTGTTTTGACTATTTTGGGTCCCTTTAGGTTTATTTCACTTTAGGATCAGTTTGTCAATTTCTGCAATGAAGCCAGCTGGACACTTTTTTCTTTCTGTTTTTTTGTTTTTTTGAGACGGAGATCTCACTCTGTCGCCCAGTCTGGAATGCAGTGGCACAATCTTGGCTCACTGCAACCTCTGCCACCTGGGTTCCAGAGATCCTCCTGCCTCAGCCTCCCAAGTAGCTGGGACTACAGGCATGCACCACCATGCCTGGCTAATTTTTGTATTTTTAGTAGAGACAGGATTTCACCATGTTGGCCAGGCTGGTCTCGAACTCCTGACCTCAGATGATCCATCCACCTTAGCCTCCCAAAGTGCTGGGATTACAGGAGTAAGCCACCGCACCTGGCCTACTTTCCAATATTTTTAAAAAGATTTTTGGGTTGGGCGTGGTGGCTCATGCCTGTAATCCCAGCACTTTGGGAGGCCAAGGTGGGTGGATCACCTTAGGTCAGGAGTTCAAGACCAGCCTGGCCAACACAGTGAAACCCCAACTCTACTAAAAATACAAAAAATTAGCTGGGCATGGTGGCAGGTGCCTGTAATCCCAGTTACTCTGGAGGCTGAGGCAGGAGAATTGCTTGAACCCGGGAGGCGGAGGTTGTAGTGAGTCGAGATCATGCCATTGCACTCCAGCCTGGGTAACAAGAGCAAAGCTCCTTCTCAAAAAAAAAAAAAAAAAAATTATCAGAGGGTGATATGGTTAGATCAGTGTTTTTAGAAGATAAGTCTGGTAGCAATGTACGGTGTGGTTTGGGCGAGTCTATGGGCTAGGATATTTGTTAAAAAGTGTGTAATTGTAGCAATTTAGCAAAAGTTGATAAGAACTGACGCTTTCGTGGTTCTGATGTTACCCAGCTTTCTTCTTTTCTCTCTGTCTCTCTCTCTTACTTCATACCAAAGCTTCACCTAGAACATTTTCTAGTCTTTATAACTTCATTTCTGAAGGAAGAGTAGAGAAACCAGTTCATATCACTTAAATTTTTTTAGGTCTTAAGTTTGCTCATTTGTTAAATGAGAAGATAGACTTCACTAGACAATTTCCAAGGTCCTTCACACTTTAATGTTCTATGGAAGTACCTTGCCTCCAGTGGAAAACATTAACAACAACCATCATTAAGCCAATATAAACCCACAGGTTCTCATCCCTACTGCAAGAAGTTTTAAAATAGGGAAGGATTAGAGACACAGGCTGTATAGTTGTTAAACCAATGTTATGTTGCACTTCCAAAATGGCAACAAAATATACACTTTAAATTTTAACCTGCAAAATAAATTTATTTAATATGGTCTCACATAGAAAATTATTTTTTAAGGTAACAAAAACTGCACTATGTCCACAATATTTTTTTTTTTTTGAGACAGAGTCTCGCTCTGTTGCCCAGGATGGAGTGCAGTGGTGCCACCTTAGCTCAC
This sequence comes from Homo sapiens, assembly GCF_000001405.40. Classification (NCBI taxonomy): domain Eukaryota; kingdom Metazoa; phylum Chordata; class Mammalia; order Primates; family Hominidae; genus Homo; species Homo sapiens. The sequence continues at coordinate 92,142,019 of NC_000007.14, forward strand.
TGCAAGCTCTGCCTCCTGAGTTCACGCCATTCTCCTGCCTCAGCCTCCCGAGTAGCTGGAACTACAGGCGCCCGCCACCATGCCCAGCTATTTTTTTGTATTTTTAGTAGAGACAGGGTTTCACTGTGTTAGCCAGGATGGTCTCGATCTCCTGACCTCGTGATCTGCCCGTCTCAGCCTCCCAAAGTGCTGGGATTACAGGCATGAGCCACCCTGCCCGGGCTCCACAATATTCTTAACCACTTGTATTAGGTCTCTTTCCATTCAAAGTTATGGAAACCCAGGTCACACTCCTTAAGTGGGTGAAAAGTAAAAAGTGCAGAAGTATGGGGATTGAGGATCAGACAACATAAACAAGGTTCTGTCTCTCTCTTGGCATCCAGCTCTCGGCAGACTACTACACACTGTGCATGATATACCAAGACTAAAAGACTCATAACCTACCCGCAGAAAGAGTGCATCTTCCATAGTAGCTCTGCAAAAAGATCCAAAAGAAACTGTTAATGGCCTGGCTTAAGTCAAATTGTGTCCGGAATTGGTGGGTTCTTCGTCTCACTGACTTCAAGTATGAAGCCGACCCTCACGGTCAGTGTTACAGCTCTTAAGATGGCGCCTCTGGAGTTTGTTCCTTCTGATGTTCGGATGTGTTCGGAGTTTCTTCCTTCTGGTGGGATCGTGGTCTCGCTGGCTCAGGAGTGAAGCTGCAGACCTTCGCAGTGAGTGTTACAGCTCTTAAGGCGGCGCGTCTGGAGTTGTTCCTTTCTCCCGGTGGGTTCCTGGTCTTGCTGGCTTCAAGAGTGAAGCTGCAGACCTGCGTGTTGAGTGTTACAGCTCATAAAGGCAGTGTGGACCCAAAGAGAGAGCAGCAGCAAGATTTATTGCAAAGAGCGAAAGAACAATGCTTCCGCAGTGTGGAAGGGGACCGGAACAGGTTGCCACTGCTGGCTCAGGCAGCCTGCTTTTATTCTCTTATCTGGCCCCACCCACGTCCTGCTGATTGGTCCATTTTACAGAGAGCCCGAGTGGTCTATTTTGACAGGGCGCTGATTGGTGCTTTACAATCCCTGAGCCAGACACAAAGGTTCTCCACGTCCCCACTAGATTAGCTAGATACAGAGTGTCGATTGGTGTATTCACCAACCCTGAGCTAGACACAGGGTGCTGATTGGTGTGTTTACAAACCTTGAGCTAGATACAGAGTGCCGATTGGTGTATTTACAATCCCCTAGCTAGACATAAAGGTTCTCCAAGTCCCCACCAGACTCAGGAGCCCAGCTGACTTCACCCGGTGGATCCCGCACCCACCGGGGCCGCAGGTAGAGCTGCCTGTCAATCCCGCACCGTGTGCCCGCACTCCTCAGCCCTTGGATGGTCGATGGGTCTGGGCGCCATGGAACCGGGGGCGGCACTCGTCGGGGAGGCTCTGGCCGCACAGGAGCCCACGGAAGTGGGGGAGGCTCGGGCATGGTGGGCTGCAGGTCCCGAGCCCTGCCCCGCGGGAAGGCAGCTAAGGCCCGGCGAGAAATTGAGCACAGCAGCTGCTGGCCCAGGTGCTAAGCCCCTCACTGTCCAGGCCGGCTGGGCTGGCCGGCCGCTCCGAGTGCGGGGCCGCCGAGCCCACGCGCACCCGGAACTCGCGCTGGCCCGCAAGCACCGCGTGCAGCCCGGGTTCCCGCCCGCGCCTCTCCCTGCACACATGCCTGCAAGCTGAGGGAGCCGGTTCCGGCCTTGGCCAGCCCAGAAAGGGGCTCCCACAGTGCAGCGGTGGGCTGAAGGGCTCCTCAAGTGCCGCCAAATTGGGAGCCCAGGCAGAGGAGGCGCCGAGAGCGAGCGAGGGCTGTGAGGACTGCCAGCACGCTGTCACCTCTCAAAATGGCTTTTCCTGGGTCAGAATCAATCATTATGGTTAAATGAGTAGAAGATATTGATGTTAGTGCTGGAGTAGGGGAAGAGACTTACACGACAAGGTCAGCTCCACATTGAAATATGTGCAATGCATTCCCCCTATGAAAGGTTTTCTGATAGCAGAAGAAGGGGAGAGGCTCACATGACAGACAAGACAACAGATGGCCACTCTATCAATCCTGTCTGGACACTCAACTGAAGGATTACTGGCCCTGGCCCTAGTTTATGTTTAACAAAGCTATCCCATTCCTAATGGAGAAAAAGTAGGAATGGTATATTTATTTCTGTTTTTAAACTAGCATCTAAAAAGAAACTGTTCTGCTTTCTAACTCCAGTGAAAATCACTAGTAATGTTGCTACTTATAAATCGGGGGTTGTATAAAAGCATTATATAACAGAAAAATTTTAATAGAATTATTTTCAGGCTAGGCATGGTGGCTCACACCTGTAATCCCAGCACTTTGGGAGGCCCAGGCGGGCAGATCACAAGGTCAGGAGATGGAGACCATCCTGCCCAACATGGTGAAACCCCGTCTCTACTAAAAATACAAAAATTATCCCGGCGTGGTGGTGGGCGCCTGTAGTCCCAGCTACTCAGGAGGCTGAGGCAGAAGCATCACTTGAACCCAGAAGGCAGAGGTTGCAGTGAGCCAAGATCACACCACTGCACTCCAGCCTGGGCAACAAGAGCAAAAACTCCATCTCAAAAAAAAAAAAAAAAAAAAAGGAATTATTTTCAAATGCAACATCACTATAATAAGACAACAGAACAAACACACAAAACAGTGTCTGTAATGTTTTATTATAACATTAGAGTGATAGTTATAAGTTGTCATCATCTCTTAAGAATGAAAGAAAAAAGATGCAATTCTCTTGTATGATAAAGTGAAGTGAAATGGTTCACAAACACAGTTTCAATTATAAGTGCATCAAAAGTTTTCAGTTTTTATTATTGATCCACTGGTTAGAATTTAATTGCACGCGTAAAAAGATTTAAAGCTGTTATTTTGTCCATAATTTCATATGCTCCTATCATAGTTAGTGCTCGAATTAGTTGATCTCTTAAAGCAGCAGCAGTTAGTGATAACTTGTTACTTTGTGTTTTCCATATAACAAGTGCTTGGTGGGCTCTCTCACTTAATGAAACAGTGCTGAAAAACATTATTAATAATATTAATAGTTAAATATTTATTAACGTTTAATATATTTAAATTACTGATAATTATCTGAATTGTCAATTAAGAACATTGCTTTAAACTCCTGTAATATTGTATATCTAGGTTTTCAAACCAATTTTATCAGACTGAAGTGAGGATGAAATTAATTGGTGAAGAGAATCTCTATAAAAATTTGGCATGGAGCTTGGGACATAGAAAGTGAATGTTAGCTCCAGCCCATCCCTTGTACCCTTATAGAAAATCAGCAATTCAATTTACATTCAGTTCTCAAGACCTCAAAATCATAATTGTGGGTTATTTCTAATAAACCAGTATATTACTGCTACTATACTATATGCTTTTTTTTTTTTTTTTTTTTTAGACAGAGTCTTGCTGTCTCCCAGGCTGGAGTGCAGTAGCACGATCTCAACTCACTGCAAGCTCCGCCTCCCGGGTTCACGCCATTCTCCTGCCTCAGCCTCCCGAGTAGCTGGGACTACAGGTGCCCACCACCACACCGGGCTAATTTTTTGTATTTTTAGTAGAGGCGGGGTTTCACCGTGTTAGCCAGGCTGGTCTCAATCTCCTAACCTCGTGATCCACCCGCCTCAGCTTCCCTAAATGCTGGGATTACAGGTGTGAGCCACTGCACCCAGCTACTATATGCTTTATAGCTTGATCTCACTTGATTCTCATGACAATTCTCTTATATGAGTATATTCATTTTACCAGTGAAGAAACCAAGTCATCAAGAAGTTAAAGGACTTGCCCAAGGTCACAAAGCCAGTTGTGAGTAAAAGTCAGTCTGTCCTCATAGCCTTTGTTCTTTATTATGTTATATGGCCTTCCAACATGGATCACAAACATGTAATAAACTAAAATCAGCTTTCTACAGCAAAGTAGAGATTGTGTTAATACGAATGTTTCAAAACCATGCAATATCAACATGATATACATCAGAATGAGAATAAATTTGTACTAAATGCTGTCATTTATACATACCTCTTTGTAGGCATATCAGTTTCTGAGTTTGCCAGGTTTAGTTTTTGACATAAAAATTCAAAATTGGTTTCAGTGATGTTGTTGGCAACTATCTTGAATATCTTCTCTAAAATTTTCTCTACGTTTGAACATAAAATAAAATGTATATCTTTTGAAAAAGATAATCTATTTTGAGTTCATATTATATCTAGTTTTCTTATTTCTGTGCTTCTATGAAATATATATGTTAAGTAAAACTGAAAATGACAATGCTGGCCGGGCACAGTGGCTCACGCCTGTAATCCCAGCACTTTGGGAGGCCGAGGCAGGTGGATCACCTGAGATCAGGAGTTCAAGACCAGCCTGGCCAACATGCAAAACCCCATCTCTAATAACAATATAAAAATTAGCCAGGCATGGTTGTGTGTTCCTGTAGTCCCAGCTACTCGGGAGGCTGAGGCAGGAGACTCACTTGAACCGGGGAGGCGGAGGTTGCAGTGAGCTGAGACTACACCACTGTACTCCAGCCTGGGCAACAGAGCAAGACTGTCTCAAAAAAAAAAAAAATGACAATGACAGCCATGCGCGGTGGCTCATGCCTGTAATCCCAGCACTTTGGGAGGCCAAGGCGGGTGGATCACCTGAGGTCGGGAGTTCGAGATCAGCCTGACCAACATGAAGAAACCCCGTCTCTACTAAAAATACAAAAAATTAGCCGGGCGTGGTCGCACATGCCTGTAATCCCAGCTACTCGGGAGGCTGAGGTAGGAGAATCGCTTGAATCCAGGAGGCAGAGGTTGCAGTGAGCCAAGATTGCACCATTGTACTCCAGCCTGGGCAACAAGAGTGAAACTCCGTCTCATAAAAAAAAAAAAAAATGACAATGACAATGCAGATCTAAATTATGAACTGAAATTTGAAACATTTGACATTTGTTCCATTTTTTTCTAAAATTTGAAAAATCCAACACTTAAAATGGCTGTTGAAAAGAATATTTATAAGCAACTTTTTTTTTTTTTTGAGACAGAGTTTCACTCTTGTTGCCCAGGCTGGAGTGCAATGGCATGTGATCTGGTCTCACCGCAACCTCTGCCTCCCGGGTTCAAGTGATTCTCCTGCCTCAGCCTCCCGAGTAGCTGGGATTACAGGCATGCGCCACCACACCCAGCTAATTTTTTGTACTTTTAATCGAGATGGGGTTTCTCCATGTTGGTCAGGCTGGTCTCGAACTCCTGACCTCAGGTGATCCGCCCTCCTCGGCCTCCCAAAGTGCTGGGATTAAAGGCATGAGTCACCACACTGGGCCTATTTATAAGCAACTTTAAAGTGACTTCCAAGCCCTTTAATTTCTCCAGGATTTGAAATGCATTTGACTGCTTCCTTCAATTCTGGCTTTTTTATGTGCGTGGGTGTGTTTTGTTTTGTTTTGTTTTGTTTTGTTTTGTTTTGTTTGGTGGAGAATATGGGCAAAAATTGTACGTGCTTCTTTATGTGCCAACTTGAGAAACTAAGTTCACATCTACTATAAATATGGTGTATAAGTGCATATTTTATATTCAAGTCAATTATTTAATAAGTTGGCTGAGCAATTAGTGATTTTAGTTTTTTTAATTAAAACTTCCAGCTAATTTGAACAAGATCCATTTTTTCTTGACAAAGGTACTGTGAGTTTTTTCTTTTCTTTCTTTTAGACAGGGTCTCACTCTGTTGCTCAGACTGGAGTGCAGTAGCATAATCACAGGTCACCACAGCCTCGACCTCCCAGGCTCAAGCGACTCTCCCACTTCACCCCCGCAAGTAGCTGGGACCACAAGCATGTGCCGCCATGCCTGGCTAATTTATTATTTTTAATTTTTATTTATTTACTTATTTTGAGACAGAGTCTGGCTCTGTCACCCAGGCTAGAGTACAGTGGCGGGATCTCATCTCACTACAATCTCCGCCTCCTGATTAGCTGGAACTACAGGTGCCTCCAGATTAGCAATTCTCCTGCCTCAGCCTCCCGAGTAGCTGGAACTACAGGCACGTGCCACCATGCCCAGCTAATTTTTGTATTTTTAGTAGAGATGGGTTTTTGGCATGTTGGCCAGGCCAGTCTCAAACTTCTGGCCTCAAGTTATCTGCCCACCTCAGTTTTTAAAATTTTTTGTAGAGACAGGGTCTCACTATACTTGATCTTAGCCAAAAGGCCGAGAAGCAATAGTCTCACTATATTGCCCAAGCTGGTCTCGAACTCCTGGGCTCAAGCAATCCTCCTGCCTTGGCCTCCCAAAGTCCTGGAACTACAGGCATGAGCCACTGCCCCCAGCCTGTGAGAATTTTCAGAACTCGAGATGTACCATCCCGCGTGATCAAATATGTTCTATTTTAAAAAGTTTTATATATACTCTCTCAGGCTATATTTCATGCTATGATATATATATATATATAAAATTCCAATCTTCTAAGTAAAAGTTTAAGAAAAAGGCTCCATTTGTTAATTGCAGATAAATACATCTCCCATACTGATTTCTTTCTGCCCTCACTGGATGCCAAGCCTGCAATATGAAGGCTCCTTGGGTGTAGGGAAAGGAGATAAATGGCTGAGATTCTAAGCCCTTCTCTAAAGTACTGTATCTAACAGAAATACTTTATGGATCCTAGAAAACCCCGAAAATCTTTATTCTATAGAAATAGAATTACCATAAAAGATCCTTTCATTTTTTAGACGGAGTCTCGCACTGTCACCCGGGCTGGAGTGCAGTGGTGTGATCTCGGCTCACTGCAACCTCTGCCTCCCGAGTTCAAGCGATTCTCCTGCTTCAGCCTCCTGAGTAACTGGGATTACAGGTGCCCACCACCATGCCCAGCTAATTTTTTGTATTTCTAGTAGAGATGGGGTTTCACCATGTTGGCCAGGCTGCTCTTGAACTCGTGACCTCGTGATTCACCCACCTTGGCCTCCCAAAGTGCCGGGATTACAGGTGTGAGCCACCACACCTGGCCAAAAATCCCTTTTTATAGTAACAATTAAGACAATCAACTTGCACAGTAAGTTAAAGAAGACAGCTACTGTGGCTTTTAATTTTGTATTTTAGGTTCCTTTATCAATAAAGCCCAAGTCTTGCAAAAGCCTCTAAATGATAGCCATGTATATGGATGTATATTGTGACTTTAAAGACTAAGCAATTTTTCATGACTGTCTCACTATGAAATTACATTAGTACAAGCTCCTGATTATGTAGACAAGATACATGATAGAATGATCTGAAGGGATAGTTTTTGGTATTCCATTTCCCCAAATCTGGATCATAACTGATTGTTCTCTTGCATTAAATTAGAGGACCAAAATCTGGATTCATTCTGACTAGTGATGAAAAGTGGCAAATCAGAGTCCTAGGGAAAAGCCTAACTGTTGCGAACCCAGCCCCAGGGAAAGAATTGGACAGTGAAGATTCCCTCCCAGACACTTGAAGCCAGTCTTCATCTAGTCCCTTTTAAAGAAAATGGGCCTGTTCTCAGAAATAATCAGACACACAACAGAGAGCTCAAGGACGGATGGGATAAAGACTATCAAAATATTTCAGACAGATGGTCATAGTGGGACTGACTGCCATCAGTGGAATGGCTCCATGGTTTTCCCTCAAGGCCGAATGTATTTTATTTATTTATTTATTTATTTATCTTTAAAATAGAGACAAGGTCACACACTATGTTGCCCAGGCTGGTCTCGAACTTCTGAGCTCAAGTGATTGTCCTGCCTTGGCCTCCCAAAGTGTTAGGATTACAGGCATGAGCCACCACACGCAACTCCAAATGTCTTTTAGAACAACTACATTTGGTAGAACAGATTGGAACTGACAGATTTATGTGTGGATTTTGAGTCTGGCCACAATCTCAATGAAACACCTATTGAAGGGCATTAAGGTCAATAGGGTAGGAAACAGCCCACCCCTCCTCCACTTGGATTTGCCTATTTTCAGTGCCTCAATTTGTGTGGACCTGGATTACGTAATCTGAATTATCAAAACAAACTCCTAAACTTAAGAAAAGAAAGATCATCAATATTTTCATATCTCTGCCAGATTGAAAGCCTCCAATTAAAGCAAACCATCTTTTAATTCATATCAGATAGTGTCTTGTGGCTTGGTGTGGTGGCTCACGCCCGTAATCCCAACACTGAGAGACCAAGACAGGAGGATTGCTTGAGCTCGGGAGTTCAAGACTAGCCTGGGCAACACAGTGAGACCCTGTCTCTACTAAAAGATTAAAAAATTAGCCAGGTGCGGTGACACATGCCTGCAGTCCCTGCTACTCAGGAGGCTGAGGTGGGAGGATCACTTGAGCCCAGGAGTCCGAGGCTGCAGTGAGTCGTGATCATGCCACTGCAGTCCAGCCTGGGTGTCAGAGTGAGACCCTGTCTCCAAAAATATTAAAATAAAATAAAATAAAAAAGAAATGACTTGTTAGATAGTCAATCACTCATCACCTACCATCTCTTTCATCTGCCCTCTGTAGATAGCGTGCAATAGTATACAACTGTTTTCCTTTACAGATTTCCACTGGAGGTCTCAGCAAAGGGTTGTCATCAAAATTTATCTCCTTCAGTGAAAAAATATTGTAGATAGCACTAGGTAGAGCTGTCAGATTATTTCCTAGTAGAAAAAAATTAGAATTGAATTACATCTTTCTATAAAAGAAAACTATGGAGACAAATAACATCTGTTATGTCTTGCTGGCAAAGTACCAGAGGACCCTCACAATGCAGCAGGTCATAAATTATTTCTGATGTCCACATGCTAAGAGCAAAAAAGAGTGTTTATAGAAAGACAGCTGTGGTTCCTTTCTCTCCTAGGGGTGGCAAAATGAGACAGAGACTATCCTCTTTTAATACAGCAAAGAACTTTATAGAGTGGATGTGATGGTAATTTTTAAACTAAACTGTTTATTTAGCATAATTTTTGATTCATAGAAATGTTGCAGAGATTGTAGCAAGTTCTTCTGCATTCCTCATCTAGCTTTAGTTTCTCCTAATGTTATCACATTATCATATTACATTTGTTTAATCTAAGAAACCAGTATTGGTATGTTACTACTAAATACACTTCAGATTTTTTTGGATTCATTAGTTTTTCCATCAGTGTCCTTTTTCTGTTTCAGGAAATCTCATTGCATACTTTTATGTCTCATTAGTCGCCTCTGGTTTGTGATAGTTTCTCAGTCTTTCCTTGTTTTTCATGACCTTGACAGTTTTAAGAAGTACTGGTTATGAATTTTGTAGAATGTACCATAACTTGAATTTGTCTGATATGTTCTCATTATTAGACTGGGGTTATGGGTTTTTGGAAAGAATACCACAGAGGTGAAGTGCACTTATCACATTATATCAGAGATACCTCATATCCGCATGACATCACTAATGATGTTAAATTTTATCGCTTGGATAACACAGTCTCTGCTAGCATTCTCCAAGATAATGTTATAATTTTTTTCCTTTCCATACTCTATTCTTTGGAAGTAAGTCACTAAATCTAGGCTACCCTCAAGGGGGAGTGGGAATTAAACTCTACCTTCCTAAATGTAATTTTTTCAATACCATCCTAATCCAATGTAAACCTAAGATAAAAAGTAAAACCAGTGGTTCACGCCTGTAATCCCAGCACTTTGGGAGGCCGAGGTGGGTGGATCACCTGAGGTCAGGGGTTCAAGACCAGCCTGGCCAACATGGCAAAACCCCATCTCTACTAAAGATACAAAAATTAGCTGGGCATGGTGGTGGGCACCTGTAATCCCAGCTACTCAGGAGGCTGAGACAGGAGAATTGCATGAACCCGGGAGGCAGAGGTTGCAGGGAGCCGAGATAATGCCATTGCACTCCAGCCTGGGAGACAAGAGCGGAACTCCATCTCAAAAAAAAAAAAAAAGAAGTAAAACTGTGGTAAAAATGAATTTGTAGTCATTTAGAGAGGCCTAAAATTTGCCTTTATATTATTTATATATTTTATAGTTATATTATTTATAAATATAGTTAAAGGAAACTGGTTCCTTTTAGTGAATAATCATATTTAGAAACCAAGATCTGGATACGATGCTTCTGGGAGTGTGTGTGTGTGTGTGTGTGTGTGTGTGTAAAATATATTTATTATAAACCTAGAATTTTATATATGTATATATACACACACATACATGTATAACATATATGTTATAAATCATAGCACATAGTCTTTAGGGTCTGACTTCTTTCACTTAGCATTACAACAATATCAGTGTTGTGTGTATCAATAGTTTTTTTCTTTTTAATAATGAGAAGTATTCCATTATATAGATGTAAATAATTTATCCATTTAATACATAAATGACATTTGAAGAGCTTCCAGTTTTGGCAATTACAAAGGAAGCTTCTCTATACATTTGTACTCAGTTTTTTGTTGAATAAGTTTTCATTTCATGTAAAAGAGTAGTTGAAGTGAGATTGATGGTTTGTATGGTTAAGTGTATGTACAACTATATAAGAAACTACCAAACTTTTCTAAAGGGTTGTACCATTTTGTATTTCTTTCATCAGTGTATCAGAGTTTCAGTTACTTGTATTTTGATAGCTTTTGGTATTATCAGATTTTAATTTTAACTATTCTTTTTTTTTTTTTTTGGATGGAGTCTCGCTCTGTTGCCCACGCTGGAGTGCAGTGGCGTCACCTCAGCTCACTGCAACCTCCACCTCCCGGGTTCAAGCAATTCTTCTGCCTCACTCTCCTGAGTAGCTGGGACTATAGGTGCGTGCCACCACACCAGCTGATTTTTGTATTTTTAGTAGAGACGAGGTTTCACCATATTGGTCAGGCTGGTCTCAAACTCCTGACCTCGTGATCTGCCCGCCTGGGCCTCCCAAAGTGCTGGGATTACAGGCGTGAGCCACCGCGCCCAGCCTAATTTTAACTATTCTAATAGCAATATTTCATTGTATAGTTAATTTGCATTTCTCTAATATGACTAATAAGCATAATATTTTCATATGCTTCTTTCTTTCTTTCTTTTTTATTTTGAGACAGAGTCTAGCTCTGTCACCCAGGCTGTAGTGCAGTGGTGTGATTTCAGCTCACCTCAGCCTCTGCCTCCAGGGTTCATGCAATTCTTGTGCCTCAGCCTCCCGAGTAGCTGGGACCATAGGCACAAGCCACCATGCCCAGCTAATTTTTGTATTTTTAGTAGAGATGGGGTTTCACTATGTTGGCTAGGCTGATCTTGAACTACTGACCTCAAGCGATCCACCTGCCTCAGCCTCTCAAAGTGCTGGGATTATAGGCGTGAGCCACCACGCCCGGCCTCTTATGCTTATTTTTCATTCATATAGCTTCTTAGTAAATTATCTGTTCAAAATTTATACCAATTTTTATTAAGTTGTTTGACTTCTTAATTTTGTTTTTAGTTTTTTTTTTTTTAAGTATTAAGCAAATATTTTCTTCCAATCCATGGCTTTGCTTTTCATTCTTTTAAAAAATGTCTTTTGGGCTGGGCACAGTGGCTCATGCCTATAATCTCAGCACTTTGGGAGGCCAAGGCGGGTGGATAACTTGAGGTCAGGAATTTGAGAGAAGCCTGGGCAACATAGTGAAACCCCATCTCTACTAAAAGTATACAAAAATTAGCTGGGCATGGTGGCAGGCGCCTGTAATCCCAGCTACTCAGGAGGCTGAGGCAGGAAACCCCAGAGGCAGAAGCTGCAGTGAGCCTAGATCGTGCCACTGCACTCCAGGCTGGATGACACAGCAAGACTCTGCTGTAAAAAAAAAATAAAAATAAAAAAATTTTAAAAAGCCTTTAGTCTTGCTCTTGTCAGCCAAGCTGGAGTGCAGTGGCAGCATCTTGGCTCACTGTAACCTCCGCTTCCTGGGTTCAAGCGATTCTCCTGCCTCAGCCTCCCAAGTAGCTGGGATTACAGGCGCCTGCCACCACGCCTGGCTAATTTTTTGTATTTTTAGTAGAGACAGGGTTTCACCATGTTGGCTAGGCTGGTCTCGAACTCCTGACCTCAGGAGATCCACCTGCCTCGGTTTTCCAAGGTGCTGGGATTACAGGCATGAGCCACCACGCCCAGCAGAGAAGTTTCCAATTTTGATGAAAACCAATTTATCAATTATGTTTATTTGTGGATTGTAATTTCAGTGTTGTATATAAGAAATCCTTGCCAAAGTTTTGATTTTTTTCACCTTTTTTTTTGAGACAGGGTCTGGCTTTGTCACCCAGGCTGGAGTGCAGTGGCACGATCTTGGCTCATTGCAGCCTCAGCCTCATGGGTTCAAGTGATCCTCCCACCTCAGCCTCTCAAGCAGCTGGGACTACAGGAGTGCACCACCATGCCCAGCTCATTTTTTTGTATTTTGTTTGTAGAGATGGGGTTTCCCCATGTTGCCCAGGCTGGTCCCAAACTCCTGAGTCTCAAGCAATCCTCACATCTCAGCCTCCCAAAGTTCTGGGACTACAGGCATGAGCCATGACACCCAGCCTTTTAATATTTTTTCACTTTTTTTTTTTTGCAAAACAATATTTTTCTATGTTCTTATCTAGAAGTTTTGTAGTTTTAGCTTTTACATTTAGGTCTGTGATTCATTTTGAGGTAATATTTTTATATAGTGTGTAGGATCAAAATTATATTGTGGTTATTTATTTGTTTTTGTTTTATTTTGTTTTGTTTTGGCTTTTGGACATCCAGTTGATCCAGCAATATTTGTTGAAAATAATGTTCTTTCTCTGTTGGATTACAGTAGTTCCTCCTTATCCATGGGAGATACCTTCCAAGACCCCCCAGCTGATGCCTACAAACCAAATACAGTATCAAACATGATTGCTGTCAATCAGATCACATCTGTTCATGTCTTTCACCCACAAATTTAATGCCTTTTCCTTCTTAACTGAGCACTTATCATGCACTGTGGCTGTAATTTTGTAGTTTGAGGTGCAACAGCAAAATTAGCACAAATTTCTTTTTCTGTCTTCACAATTTCATCGATAGAATATTCGTCCTTAGCGTAGATCTTAGCAACCTCATCATATGATTCTTTTCTTTCCAAGTTGAGAACTCTCACCTTTTCACTTAAAGGAAGCACTTTAAGGCTTCTCTATGGTGTATCCAAATTGCCAGCATCACTACTCTTGTGCTTTAGGGCCATTAATAAGTAAAATAAGGGTTACATGAACACAAGCACTGTGATACTGTGACAGTGGATCTGATAACTGAGACTGCTACTAAGTGACTGACAGGCAGGGAGCACATGCAGTGAATGGATTCACAACCCAGGTAGGACAGTGCAAGATTTCATCACACTGCTCAGAAAAGTGCACAATTTTAAATTTATGAATTGTTTATTTCTGGAATTTCCCAGTTAATATTTTCAGACCACTGTTGATCATGAGTAAAACCATGGAAGTGAAACTGTGAATAAGGGGGAACTACCATGGCAAAAATCAGTTGACCACATAGTGGTCAGTCAGGGTTCTCTAGAGGGACAGGACTACCATATAGTGGGTGTATTAGTCAGGGTTCTCCAGAGGGACAGGACTAATAGGATAGATATATATATATAAAAGGGAGTTTATTAAGGAGTATTGACTCACATAACCACAAGGTGAAGTCCTGCAATGGGCCATCTGCAAGCTGAGGCACAAGGAAGCAAGTCCAAGTCCCGAAACCTCAAAAGTAGGGAAGCCAATAGTGCAGCCTTCAGTCTGTGGCCAAAGGCCCAAAGGCCCTAGAGCCCCTGGCAAACCAGTGGTGTAAGTCCAAGAGTGCAAAAGCTGAAGAACTTGGAGTCCAGTGTTTGAGGGCAGGAAGCATCCAGCATGGGAGATAGATGGAGGCCAGAAGACACAGCCAGTCTAGTCCTTCCACGTACTTCTGCCTGCTTTATTCTAGCCAAGGTGGCAGCTGATTAGATTGTGCCCACCCAGATTGAGGGTGGGTCTGCCTCTCCCAGTCCACTGACTCAGATGTTAATCTCCTTTGGGAACACCCTCACAGACACATGCAGGAACAATACTTTGCATCCTGCAATCCAATCAAGTTGACACTCAATATTAACCATAATTGTGGATCTATTTCTAGACTCTCTATTCTGTCCCATTGATCCTTATGTCTGTTGTTTTGCCAATACTATCACTGTCTTCATGACTATAGTTTTGCATAAGTCTTGAAATCAGGTTGTGTGAATCATCCAACTTTGTTTTTCTTCTTCAAAATTGTTTCAGCTATTCTAGTTCCTTTGACTTTTTATATACATTTTAGAATTACCTCATTGTTTTCTGAAACAAAAAACTCTGCTAGGATTTTGTTGGAATTGAGTTGAATTTAAAGATAAGTTTTGGGAAAACTGACATATTAACAATATTGTCTTCCAATTTATAAACACTATATATCTCTCTACTTATTTAGGTTTATTTAGTTTTATCTATGTTACAGTTTTCAGCATATAGATCTTATATGTAATTTGTTAGATTTATTTATGGTTTTGGTACCATTTTAAATTGTACTTTTAAAGAAATCAATTTCCAATCATTTCTTGCTAGTCTGTAGACATATGATTGATTTTTGTATATTAACTCTGTATACGGCAATCTTGCTAAACTTACTTGTTCTGTAGATCCTTTGGGATTTTTGACCTAGACAACGTGTCTCTGTTATCAGAAATAATTTTTTCTTCTTCCTTCACAATCTATTTACTTTTTATTTCTTTTTCTTGTGTTGTTGTGCTAGTTGGGATTCCAGTTATAACGTCAAAAAGAAGTGGTGAGAAAGGAGAACTTTACTTTAATCCTGATCATAGTGGAAAATAAATCGTTTACCATGGAGTGTGATATTAGCTATAGGAGTTTTGCAGATGTATTTTTTCAAGTTGAGGAAATTCTCTTCTATTTCTAGCTTGCTGAGAGTTTTTTTGTTGTTGTTTGTTTTTGAAAATCTTGAATGGAAATTGTATTTTTTCATATGATATTTGCTTTTTTTTTTTTTTTTTTTGAGATGAGGTCTTGTTTTGTTGCCCAGGCTGGAATGCAGTGGCACAATCATAACTTACTGCAGCCTCAAACTCCTGGGCTCAAGCAATCCTCCTGCCTATGTCTCCCAAGTAGCTGGGATTACAAGCATAAACCACCACATCTGCTTGCTTTGCTTTTTATACTTACAGTGAGAAGTTCACATGGCTTTTCATAAGCCTGTTCAGATGGTGAATTACATGGATTAGTTTTTGAATATTGACTCAACCTTGCATTCCCAGGGTAAATCCCACTTGGTCACAATATGATATCATTTTTTATATTGATGGATTTAATTTGCTTTAATTCATTAAGGAATTTTGCATCGATGTTCAAGCAGGATGTTATTCTGTAAGTTTCCAAGTAATGTCTTTGTCTTATTATGGTATTAGGATAATGCTGGCCTCAGAATGAACTGAGACATGTTGTATCCTCAATTTTATGACAGAATTTTTTAAATTGGCATTGTTTCTCCTTCCTTCCTTCCTTCCTTTCTTCTTTCTTTTCTTTCCTTCATTCTTTCAGACAGAGTCTCACTCTGTCGCCCAGGCTGGAGTGCAGTGGCACAATCTCAGCTCATTGCAACCCCCGCCTCCTGGGTCTAAGCGATTCTCCTGCCTCAGCCTCCTGAGTAGTTTTGATTTTGATTACAGGTGTGCCCCACCACACCTGACTAATTTTTTTTTTTTTAAGTAGAGCCGGGGTTTCACCATATTGGCCAGGCTGGCATCAAACTCCTGACCTCAAGCAATCCGCCCCCCTCGGCCTCCCAAAGTGCTGGAATTACAGGCATGAGCCACCATGCCCGGCCTAACTTAATGATTTCTTCTTTGAAATACTTGAAAGAATTCACCAGTGAATCCTTTTTGAAATTGGCATTGTTTCTTCTATAAAATACTTTATAGAATTCACCAGTGAAGTTATCTGAGCTAGAAATTTTCTTTGTATGAGAGCTTTTAACTACAAATTCAATTACTCAAATAGAATTAGGGCTATCTGTTAGCCCACAATGATATCTACCTCCTGTTACCCCCTTGTGTAGTCCCCTCCCACATTATACCAAGGTTGGTCTGTGTGATCAATAGAATAGAGCAGAAGTGATGTTATGTCACTTCCAAGATTAGGCATTTAAAGACACTGCTGGCTGGGCATGGTGGCTCACCCCTATAATCCCAGCACTTTGGGAGGCTGAGGCAGGTGGATCACCTGAGCCTAGAGAGGTCAAGGCTGCAGTGAGCCATGATCTTGCCACTGTGCTCCAGCTTGGGCAACAGAGTGAGACCCTGTCTCAAAATAAATAAATAAATAAACAAACAGATAAATATATATGTGTATATATGTGTATATATGTATATATGTGTACATATATGTGCATATATATGTGTGTATGTGTGTATATATATATATAATCAACGCAGTATTTGTTGTACTTTGGGAAATCTTTTCTGATATCTTTAGAGTGAGTGGTTTATTTTCTTATCTACAATGTCATTTTTATTTTGTTTTGGTTATTGTAATGCTTTACCTTGTAAATGACTCCATGTAAGGTATTAGAGTATTATAGGGTATAGGAGAAGTATCAGGGGAGCCAACAGAGAAGGAAACGCAGAAAAAATGCTGACCTGAGGTTGTGTAGGTGTGTGTAGAGGAAGAGGTGAGGTTGGGTTCAGAAAGGGAAGAAATACTAAATGACTGGGTATAGGCAGAGAAGAGAGAAAATAAATGAAAATATGTTCAGGCTCTCCTACTCTTTCAAGGCAGGAACTGGACCTTATACTTTGCTTTCATTTTCTGTACCTAGGACAGTCATTTCCTTCTAATGGTGACTTAATACCTTATGTTGACTCTTTGCCATTCTGTATCTTGTCAGCAAAATTTGCAACTCAGACATTAATACTCTACTTATTGATTATGCTTACTGATTATGCTTGACACTCACCACTCAGGTTTAGTTGCTGCAGATCATTTAAAGATAGCAAAGATGGTGGAAGATAACTTATTTGATTATTGTATGCATGTAAACTAACCAAATTTCTCAATTCTCCTATATTTCTTGGAATCTCTCTGATTGCATTATTTGAGATATCAAGTTCTTTAAGTTGAGTCATATTAGATAGCTCTCCTGGAAGTCTTGTTAGCTGTAACAAAGATTACACAATTATACATTTATAAATACATACATATTTGCATGACTAAAACTTCTTCTAAAATCAAATGAAAGAGTTTTGTCTGTTTTTGTTTTTGTCTTAAAAAGGAGATTTTTTATTATGTCACAAATTCTTTGTGACTGACTCTCCCTTCTGACTAAAACCCACAAGATATTGTGCGACATCCAAGTACCTCCCCAATCTGACCAATGCTTCTAATTCAACCCTGTGGCTTGCAACCCACTTTGCTCACATTCCCATCACTCAGTGTTCATTACCTCCTTATCCCATTCTCTTCTCCCTAAATCTGACCCTGTTTTGGCTTCTTTCCCGCCCCCCTCCCAGAAGTCTTTTCCAACTACTCCATCCCACATTTGATCTCCTTATTACTAGTCCTATCAACATTGCTTTTTTTTTTTTTTTTTTGAGACGGAGATCTCGGTCTGTCACCCAGGCTGGAGGGCAATGGCATGATCTCAGCTCACTGCAACCTCTGCCTACCGGGTTCAAGCAATTCTCCTGCCTCAGCCTTTTGAGTACCTGGGATCACAGGTGCCCAGCACCACGCCCAGCTAATTTTTGTATTTTTAGTAGAATGGGGTTTTGCCATGTTGGCCAAGCTGGTTTCGAACTCCTGACATCAGGCGATCCTCCCACCTTGGCCTCCCAAAGTGCTGGGATTAAGGGCATGAGCTACCTCACCAGGCCCCATTGCTTTTTATTCATCATTTGTGTGCGTTTTTTTAGATTTTCTAAATGACATGATACACATGTTTTATACTTTTTGTATGTGTTTCCAAGCACAAAATGCATTTTGACCAAATGTTTAATAATGGAGTCACAGTTTGGCAATGTGACCTTAAATAAAAATTCCTACTATAAAAAGTGTTGCAAAATTGCAGGAATTAAAATATTCTGTTAAGATGAAGAAGAAATATGCATATTTAGAGAAAATAGGGCCATTATGAGTGGCTTTTGAAATAAAGGAAGTTCTATGAACAAAACAATTTTGAATGTATAGGCACCTCTAATAGCTAAACAACAAGGTACATTCTGCATGTTGTGCTATATGTTCTTCCAGGTATAAAGGAAGCATAAGAAATAGTCTCCAACTTCACGGAGATTAAATTTTATTTTAGGGAACAGAATATATCCTATGAAAAAATCAGGAAATGGAATGAAGCAATAGGTAATCCAATGCCAAAATAATACAATTAATAACTGATGAATGAAAGTTTAGAAAAGGTACATTACTACAAATCAGAGAACTAAAGTAAAGCTTCATGTAAAAAGTAGAACTTGAATAGCCTCTTAAGAATGAATAGGCGGCTGGGCTCGGTGGCTCACACCTGTAATCCCAGCACTTTGGGAGGCCAAGGTGGGTGGATCACAGGAATTCAAGACCAGCCGACCAACATGGTGAAACCCCGTCTCTACTGAAAACACAAAAATTAGCTGGACGTGGAGGTGAGTGCCTGTAATCCCAGCTACTCAGGAGCCTGAGGCAGGAGAATCACTTGAACCTGGGAGGCAGAGGTTGCAGTGAGCTGAGATCGCACCACTGTCCTCCAGCCTGAGCGACAGAGTGAGACTCTGTCTCAAAAACAAAAACAAAAACAAAGAATGAATAGAATTAGAAAAAAGTTACAGGACACTTAAGGCAAGATAAATATCATGAATAACAATGGCCAGTGAGAAGCTGACCAGCAAAGAAAGGTGATGCAAAGCAGAGGGAGATTTGTTTGGATAAGGAGCATGGAACCAGGCTATGGCAAGACTTGAGAGCCTGGCCTATGAAGTAGGAGTCAGATCAAAACAGATAGGTGGGTTCAGTTTTATTTGGCATTCATTGAAACAAATATTCTTTAATTACCTTCTCAACATTTACTAGAGGTGGTGTCTGAGAGCTGTATGATGATGGAATTCATATAGAAGGAAGGTTCCTTTTGGGCATCCTTCCTTTAATAAAATAAAAGCCCTGTGATTAATCTGACTTTTCTTCAGATAAGTGACCATCTGCTATTATATAAGTTAATTATTTGGGCATTTCATTTCCACCCCAAGGGGGTTATCAAGTGATATTTTCAACTACATGGGATATTCTTTTTGACAGGAGTTCTTGTAAATCATTTTTTCCATTTGATGACCTTTGCAATGATGTTGCAAATATGTGGACTGTTGCCTTGGGCAGCCATTCACTTTGAGTAGACAACAGATACGCAATTTGGATTCCTGACAGGCAAGTATGATACATGGACAACAGTCCTCTGCAATGAAGTCTGACAACTTTGATAAGGCTTGCTAAAAGGGAGGAGGTTCCTGGCATAAATCTATGCATGAAGTGAGTGATAACCAAGGACCAGGTTGTAGACAGTGACACTGGAAAATGAGGGAGATAACCCAACAGCTTTTTCAGAGGAAAAATAATACAATTTTGGTGTAAGATGAGGTATAACTGATGATGGAAAAGGAACAAGAATGATTTCATGAGTTTTAGCCTGGCAGGTTTAAAAGAAAAACTGGCATCACAAACAGAAATGGAGAAGTTTTGAAAGGAGATGGAAGAAAAATGAGCTGACTTTGAAGTTATATTGAGTGTGTGACAACAAAAGAATAGAACATGTATAATTTCCAGGAAAAAAAATGAGAACTATGGGACTACAGCACTGGTGTGAGATCAGCTCTAGTCATGTAGACTTTGGGATAATGTGCATGTAAGTGACAGCAGGTGTGGTGGGAAAGGAGTTAATAAAAAAGAGAGAGTTAAGGATATAACATTGGAGATACCAACAGTTATCTTACAAGAGGAGAAAATGAATGAGATGGTTATGAATCAGTCAATGAATTAACTGATTATTATATTGCAGATATAAAAATTGTCTGTTAGTGCAAAATCAACTTTTTAAATACAAGCTGTATCATTATTCATTCCATCTGCTTAAGCAAGTATTCCCTGGAGCAGTTTTTCTGGAAATGTAGTATATGACAGCTGTTATGTTAAAAATGGTCAAATAAGTTTGGGAAATATGGGAATATTTTGGGAAAATTAGTGCAAGACTCTTCAAAGCTTTTAATAGATCAGTATTCATTGTTATTCTTTAAGAGAAGAACCCAGTGCTTCTTAAAGCTATTTGATCACAGACACTGCTCCCCTCCTCCCTTTTTTTTTGAGCAGATGCTCATGGGACTAGGGCTTTTAGGAGTAGACTTTGGGAAGCCCTGCCTTAGATAATAGCTGTGTTCTTTTCATTTGTTTACTAAGATCTTCATATAAATCAGTAATGTTTTAGTTATTAAAAAATTATTTCCATAAAACTTACTCCTAGAGTTTCAGTAAGATAAAATGCTAAGCTCTAAAAATGTTAATTCTTATTGATCTAGCAATTCTTCAGGAAAAATTTCCTAAGGAAATAGTCTAAAATATGAAAAAGGCTATATTTATGGAAAAATTCATCACAGCATTATTATGAAGAAAAATTATAACATTCCTAAATGCATAACAAGAGGTTTAGATCTATAAATCATGTACTGGTTATAACAATTTATTGGGAAGATGGTTATATCAAAGAGAAATGCTTATTGGTTAAAAAAAGAAGAATTTAAAATTGAGTGTGTAGTCTTTTATAATTCCTTATAAAACCATATGCATAACGGGAAAAAAGACTAAAAGTTGTGTCAACGTATGCCCGTAGTTATAATACAATGATATGCTTGTGGAATGACTTTTGTCTTACTTTTATCACTTTCCAAACTTTCAATAATGTGTTTATATGACATTCATAACTTTAAAACTCCTTTTACAATTACACCAAAATAAAAAGGAATCTATAGAATTGTCAGCTTTCATTGCTTCATATTTCATTTTAATGAAGTATTTTCCTGTACAGCTTTTGTGTTGTGAATTGTATTTATAAGCCATGTTTGGCGGGGACGGGGAGGGCTTTCATTTAAAAAACAAAATATTTCAGCTCAACTTAAAACACACATACGGTACCCACAGATACACCACAGCTTGGATTCTGATCCTCTCCAGTCTCTCCTTCCCCACAAAGCCCACAATACCAGTCTCTTACCTTTCTCCCTTTTATCTGACTTATATTCAGCTGTTCCAGTGATTGAAGTTGGCACAGTTCAATAGGAAAATGTATAAATTGATTGCTTGAGAAGTTTAATTTCTGGATTCCTTTTAAATTACAGATGTCTGAAGAGATTTTCTGTAATTGGTTTTCCGAAAGATCAAGTACTTGCAAATTTTCTAAAGTACACAATTCTCTAGGGAAAGTTTCAAATTTATTACAGCATAAAATAAGTACGTGGAGTGATATCATATTAGAAATTGATGCTGGAATTTTCTTTATTTGGTTTTTACCAAGATCCAGGTATTTAAGATTAATAAGAGAACAAAAGTGCTCAGAAAATATGAGGAGTTTGTTTTCACTCAATTCTAAATGAAGCAGTTGTTTACTGAAAGATATATCCACAGGTATTTCTGAAATATAATTTCCATTAACACTCAAATAATAAAGAGAATCTAAAGCACACAGTCCCAATGGAAAATACATTATTTTGTTATAACTCAATTCAATTTTAATTATTTTTTGGCAGTTTTTTATTTCAATGGGAACATCTGTGATTATGTTTCCTGAAAATTCTAGACTGCATATGTTATTAAGATGTGAGATACAGTCAGTTATTTTTACCATATTATTTCTGTTTACATGGAGTTTTCTTAAATTGTTAAGCTTATGGATGTACTTAGGGAGTTCTGTTAATTTATTATCACTAAGACTAAGGCATTCCAACATTGCACAGCAAGATATTTTCTCTGGTATATTTTTCAATAAATTTTTATCAAGTATAAGAATCCTAAGTTCCCTGAAATTCTCAATTTTGTGTGAAATAACTTCCAATTTATTGTCGGCCAGTTGGAGTTCTTTTATTTTGAGTAACTGAAAAATTTCTACAGCCAGAAAGGTAAGCTTATTGTGATCCATTAAAAGTGTTTCTAAATTTTTAAGCTCTCTAATTTCTTTTGGCAAACTGCTTATTAGGTTTCCAGTAAGGTCTAGTGAAATTAACTTTGGAAGGAAGCAGAGAGCTTTAGGAAATGTTGTTAACTGATTATATTCCAAATTGAGAACCCTCAAGGTTTTTAAACTAGGCAGAGTATCTGGTATATGTCTTAACTTATTTTTACCCAAACTTAAAATTTCCAAGTTTCCAAGACATTCTAAGTCAGAAGGAAAATTTTCAATGTAATTGTTATAAAAAAAGAGTTGTCTGATATTCCCAAGCTGAGATATTTCTTTAGGTATATGTGATATGTGGTTATGACTGACATTTAATATCCTTAAATTATGAAGTAACTGAATTTCAGATGGAAGTGATGATAATCCATTTTCTTGCAGGGATAGAATTTCAAGTCCTAACAGATCACCTGAGTCTGCCCCTTGAAATGTTTTGATTTGATTCTTGTCTAAATATAGATATTTTACATATTTGATTTTTAAAATGTCCTTAGGAAATTCCTGTAAACCCTTGGCCTCAAGGTTAACTGTAAAGTTATCTGCCCCTAGGCCAAGTTGTTTCTGATTTTCTTCAGAGACTTGTGGACTAACTTCTCCTACTGTTTCATGAGATAGGAAGTTAACCAAAGCCTGATATTCTGCAGTCCTCCCAGTTAGTGATGATAAACTCTGTGAAGTTCCTGTTCTAGTGCTTGTTTCAGAAAATTGAAGATTTTTCTTTTGTTCTTCATTTCTCTTAGACTTCCTTCCAGAGGAAGATGTTGACTCTAATGTATTCTGTCTAGGATGTGTTTCATAAATCTGGTTAGAAGATTTCCCTTCCAGGTAATCAGAAGCTTCGTTTATCAAATTTGATGTTTCTTTAATAAAGCCAGGCTCCTTCATTGACTGTGATCTAGATTCTTTCCTAAATTGACTAATAGTATCCTCTAGCACTTCTGACATACCCTCCTTTTCAGACATCTTATTTGCTGATATGTTTTATGCCAATACAAAATTGTAACTTGATTTTAATTTTCATGTTTTTTCCTTTGAATCTACAAAACAAATGTTGAAATTAAAAGATGTAAGAGATGTCAAAATGACAAATAAATCTTAATACAACTATTTTATTTTATAAGAAATAATTTAATACAAATACAAATAATACATTTATAACAAACTAATTTTATATATAATTCCTGATTAAGGATGGTTTATTGATTGCATGTACTTATCACATGTTACTCTTGAAATCACTTTAAAATTACAGAAAGAAACAAAAAAGTTCAAAGAAAATTAGAAAAAAGCCATAAGGGACTGAGAGGATTCAGCAAATTTCATGGAAAACATAAAAGGGGGCCGGGTGCGGTGGCTCACACCTGTAATCCCAGCACTTTGGGAGGCCGAAGGGGCGGATCACTTTAGGTCAGGAGTTGGAGACCAGCCTGGCCTAACATGGCAAAACCCTGTCTCTACTAAAAATACAAAAATTAGCTGGATGTGGTAGCGGGCGCCTGTAATCCCAGCTACTGGGGAGGCTGAGGCAGGAGAATTGCTTGAACCCGGGAGGCAGAGGTTGCAGTGAGCCGAGATTGCACCATTGCACTCCAGCCTGGGCAACAAGAGTGAAACTCCATCTCAAAAAAAAAAAAAAAAAAAAAAGGTAACATAAAAGGGAGAGCCAGTGGCCTACCATGACAGGTAAAGAGTACCATTCTCACTGTGAACATGGATGTTTACATATGGTACTAGTGTCTTGCTCTAACAAATTCAGTACATTATGACAATTTTCCTGGGGGTAGAAGTGAAATGTCTTAAGGAAGGGTACGCTTTCTGTAAGAGTAAACTAGACATCAAATAGTCCTTGCGTGGATTGCAACCTTCCTGAGACTTCTGAGTGACTCCTGTGGTACCAGCACCAGCTGGGTAGCACCACTCCTCAGAGGTCTGGGTCCCAGCTCTGTAAGTCCCTCCTTCAAGCTTGCAGTTTCTAATGACCCAGTATTTTCCCTTTGTCCCTTTAGCCTTAGGGTTGGTAGCTACTTCCTATGTTTACTATCTCTGTGTTGCTGCAGTTCCATCTTTACCTTTTTAGTTCTCCAGTACTTGTCTAAGCAACTTCTTATATTAAATCCTGTCAAACTGGCATGGTTTCAGTATTTCACAAACTCTCCCAGAGAGTAGAAAAAGAGGGAACATTTTCCAACTTGTTTTATGAGGCTAGCACTAACCTCAATGTCAACAAGGACAATATGAAAAAGAAAATTACAGGCCAAATTTACTCAAGAACAAAAATGTAAAAATTCTAAACATTAGGGAATTATTCTAAATATTATAAAGCCATCAATATATAAAAAGCATACTACTTCATGAGTCAGTTGCATTTGTCCCAGGAATGCAAGTTTGGATTTAACAATAGAAAACTAATGTAATTTGCCACATTAAGAGATTAAAGAAGAAAATCCCATGTAAATATTGCAATAGATGTAGAAGTACTTGATAAGTTGCAACATTTTTCATAATTTACAAAGTAGGAATAGATGGGAATTTCTTTAATCTGCTAAAGGGTACCCATAAAAATCTGCAGTAAACATCATATCTAGTGGTGAAACACTGAAAACTTTTGAGATTGGAAGCTAGAAAAGGTTATGCTCATCATTACTTCTATTTAACATTGTACTGAGATAGTAATTAGCCAGTGGCATAAGGCAAAAAGAAAAGGTATATGGATTAAAAGGAAGAAATAAAATGGTCATTAGTCACAGATAATATATATGTAGAAAATCCAAGCTCATCTACAGTAAATTATTAGAATAAATAAGAACATTGAGTAATATTGCTAAATACAAAGTCAACATACACAAGTCAATTTTCTTTCTTTTTTTTTTTTTTTGTGGGGACAGTCTTCTCTGTCACCAGGCTAGAGTGCAGTGGTGCTATCTTGGCTCACTGCAACCTCCGACTCCCTGGTTCAAGTGATTCTCCTGCCTCAGCCTCCTGAGTAGCTGGGACTACAGGCGCACGCCACCACACCCAGCTAATTTTTGCGTTTTTAGTAGAGACGAGGTTTCACCATGTTGGCCAGGATGGTCTCGATCTCCTGACCTTGTGATCCATCCGCCTCAGCCTCCCAAAGTGCTGGGATTACAGGTGTGAGCCTGTAAACTTTTTAGTTTTGGTAATTGCACTATGATTATGAAAAATGTTGATATAAGGGGAAGATAGATGAAGGGTAGAAAGGAACTTTCTTTACTATTATTGCAACTTTTCTGTAAGTCTAAAATTATTTCAAAATAGAAAAATTTTTAAAGTAATCTGAGTTAAAATGTTCTAAAGTGTTTTTCATCTGGGGTAGTTAAGAAGTTATTCTGCTCAGCCGGGCGCGGTGGCTCACGCCTGTAATCCCAGCACTTTGGGAGGCCGAGGCAGGCTGATCACGAGGTCTGGAGATCGGGACCATCCTGGCTAACACAGTGAAATCACGTCTCTACTAAAAATACAGAAAATTAGCCGGGCATAGTGGCGGGTGCCTGTAGTCCCAGCTACTCGGGAGGCTGAGGCAGGAGAACGGCATGAACCCGGGAGGCGGAGCTTGCAGTGAACCGAGATGGCGCCATTGCACTCCAGCCTGGGCAACACAGCGAGACTCTGTCTCAAAAAAAAAAAAAAAAAAAAAAAAAAAAAAAATAAGTTATTCTGCTCTAAGATTCTGTTAAAAATGCTTGATAAGATTTGATTAAATATTGATTCAGGAGATTTCAAGTTCTAAAATTGACACCACAAAAGCAAGCTGTCTTCTCTCCTCCCACCAACAGAAGCCAAAAACAAATATACAGGGCCACGATTATTACCAGCAATATCCCAGAACTCAAACATGAGGAGGAAATAGTTCCTAAGACCGCAAAGGTGAAAAAATTCTAAGCAGACAATAAGAGAATTAGATATCCATATCCAAGATGCCCCTTTCTCCAATCTGCCTGGCACCAAGCATACAATTTTTTATTGTGATTCAGTTTCTAGAATGGGAAAGTGAGATCAAGGTGGACAGCTGGCTTCCCTGCCAACTTGGATTCCCTGGCAGGAGACCTGTCCCTGCCTCAACCCATGGGAAGTACTGGGAGTGCCTATAGGAAGAAATATCCCTGACAACAGCCAAAAAGAGGAGGCAAAACTACCATTCCCAGCCCTGAAATTCTGCTTTGTAACTTGGCCAAAGGAGACACCACATCAGAGTGCCTATTCAGCAGCACCATGCTGTAGGAGGTTCGTTCCACAGGTCACCTGGACATGAACTCCTACCTAGCCTTCTCACACTACCAAGATATCCCCTTTGGGATGTACCCCATCCAGAATGCGTACTTGACTATTTACTAGAACCAAGGCAAACCTAGGCTTAAGGTTCTATATAGTGCTGCAAAGGATGTAATGACTGAGTGGAGAAAAAAAAAAAAAAAAGAAAGAATCAACAAGTAAATTACAAAGAATCTGTAAGCAAACACATCCAGTAGAAACCCAAACAAGCCAGACGAAGACTGGAAGAAATAACTAATCTTTCAATGTACATATGTACATCCATAAGAAATAACAGCAATCAGGGATCCATGATGTCCCCAAACAGACAAAGCAAGGAATCAGTGGATGACCCCAACAAGATGGTAATATGTGAACTCTCTGACCAAGAATTTAAAATGACAGGTCTGTTTTGTTTTGTTTTTTTGAGACAGTCTTGCTTTATCACCCAGGCTGGAGTGCAGTGGTGCTATCCTGGCTCACTGCAACCTCTGCCTCCTGGGTTCAAGCAATTCTTGTGCCTCAGTTTCCCAAGTAGCTGGGATTACAGGCATGCACCACCATATCTAGCTAATTTTTGTATTTTTAGTAGAGACAGGGTTTCATTGAATTGGCCAGGCTGGTCTCGAACTCCTGGCCTTAAATGATCTGCCCGTCTCGGCCTCCCAAAGTGCTGGGATTATAGGCGTGAGTCACCGCTTCCTTAAAACTGCCATTTTAAGGCAGTGATCTCAAAATAACACACACAAAAAAACAGTGATCTCAAAAATAACACAAAAAAGCAATTCAGAAAATTATCAGAAAAATTTAACAGAGATTGGATAATTTAAAAAATCAAACAGAAATGTTGGAACTGAGAGGCTGGGCACGGTGGTTCATGTCTGTAATCCCAGCACTTTGGGAGGCCGAGACAGGTGGATCATGAGGTGAGGAATTCAAGATCAGCCTGGTCAAGATGGTGAAATCCCATCTCTACTAAAAATACAAAAATTAGCCGGGCGTGGTGGTGGGTGCCTGTAATCCCAGCTACTTGGGAGGCTGAGGCAGATAACTGCTTAAACCCAAGAGGCAGAGGTTGTAGTGAGCTGAGGTTACACCACTGCACTCCAGCTTGGGCGACAGAGAGAGATTTCGTCTCAAAAAAAGAAATTTTGGAACTGAGAAATACATTTACTGAACAGAAAAATTCACTAGAGGCTCTCAACAGTAGAACAGATCAAGCAGAGGAAAGAATAAGTGAGCTCAAAGACAGGCCATTTGAAAATACTCAAAGAAGGCCAGGCACAGTGGCTCACACTTGTAATCCCAGCACTTTTGGGAGGTGGAGGCAGGAGGATTGCTTGAGGCCAGGAGTTCAAGACCAGCCTAGGCAACATAGCAAGACCTCATCTCTACAAAAAATAAAAAAATTAGCCAGGCGTGGTGATGTGTGCTTGTGGCCCCAGCCACTTGGAAGGCTGAGGTGGGAGAATCACTTGAGCCCAGGAGGTTGAGGCTGCAGTTAAGCTGAGCCAAGATCATGCTGGCATTCCGTACTTGGTGGTAGAATGAGACCTTGAAAAAAAAAAGAGAGAGAGAAATAAAGAAAGAGAGAGAGAGAGGAAGGAAGGAAGGAAGGGAGGAAGGAAGGACGGAAGGAAGGAAGGAAGGAGGGAAGGAAGGAAAAGAAAAGAAGAAAGTACTCAAAAAAAGAGAAAAGAATAAAAAGCAATGAAGATCACCTAAAAGATACAAAAAATTACCTCAAAGTACCAGATCCAAGAATTATTGATATCCAAGAGGGAGCTGATCTAGAGCAAGAGGTAGAAATCTTATTGAAAGAAATAATAACAGAATACTCTCCAGTTTAAGAGCTAAATATCCAGATACAGGAAGGTCAGAGAATACCAAGCAGATTCAACCCAAATAAGGCTACTTTAAGGCATGTAATAATCAAACAAAGGTCAAAGACAAAGAGAGGATTCTAAAAGTGGCAAGAGAAAAGGCGCAAATAACATATAAAGGCACTCTAATTCATCTAGCAGCAGACTGAAATACAATAAAGGCGTTCTAATTTGTCTGGCAACAGACTGAAATACAATAATAGTAGGGAATTTCAACACCACACTCTCAATAATCAATAGATCATCCAGTCAAAAAATCAACAAAGAAACACTGGAGTTAAATTACACACTAGTCCAAATAGGCCTAATTGACATTTACAGAACACTTCACCTAATCGCTGCACAATACACATTCTTTTCATTAGCACTTGGGACATCCCACAGAATAGACAATATCTTAGGACACAAAACTGGTCTCAACAAATTCAAAAAAATTGGCACTAACATCAAGTATGTTTTCTGACAACAATGGAATAAAACAGGAAATCAATATCAAGAGGAACCTTGGAAATTACACATACACATGGAAATTAAACAACATGCTCATGAATGACCATTGTGTCAATGAAGAAATTAAGGAAATTAAAAAGTTTCTTGAAACAAATGAAAATGGAAATACAACATACCACAATCTATGGGATACAGCAAAAGCAGTATTAAGAGGGAAGTTTGTACCAATACAGGCCTATATAAAAAGTAGGAAGATTTCAAATAAACTAATGATGTACCTCAAAGAAATAGAAAAGGAAGAACAAACCAAATTAAAATTAGTAGAAGAAAAGAAATAAGAAATATCAGAGCAGAAATAAATGAAATTGAGACTAAAAAAGAATACAGAAAACAATAATGGAAAAAGTTGTTTTGAAAAGATAAATCAACAAACATTTGTCTAGACTAAGAAAAAAAAAGAAGACCCAAATAAGTAAAATCAGAATCAAATAAGGAGATATAACAACTGAGACCACATAAATACAAAGAATCATTAGAGACTATTAAGAACAACAATACATCAACAAATTGGAAAACCTAGAGGAAATGGATGAATTTCTGGACACATGTAACCTACCAAGATTAAACTATGAAGAAATAGAACACTTCAACAAACCAGTAATGAGAAATGACATCAAATCTGTAATAAAAAGTCTCCCATCCAAGAAAAGTCCAGGCCTAGTGGCTTGACTTCTAAATTCTACCAAACATTTAAAAAAGAATTAATGCCAATTATACTCAAACTCCTCAAAAAAACTGAAGAGGGAATTCTCCCAAACTCATTCTACGAGGCCAGTGTTACCCTGATACCAAAACCAGGACACAGCAAAAAAAGAAAACTACAGGCTAATATCTCTGATGAACATAGATGCAGAAATCCTCAACGAAATACTAGCAAAATGAATTCATCAACACATTAGGAAGATTATTTACTATGATCAAGTGCGATTCATCCCAGGGATGCAATGATGGTTCATTCAACATATGAAAATCAATAAACATGATACATCACATTAATAGAACCAATAACAAAAGTTATATCATCATTTCTATAGATGTTGAAAAACATTCAATAAAATTCAACATCCCAAATTAGCTGGTGTGTTGGCACATGCCTGTGGTCCCAGCTACTTAGGAAGGTGAGATGGGAGAATCACCTGAGCCTGGGAGGTCTCAGGTAAGCCATGATTCTGCCACTGCACTCTCTGGCCTGGGTGACAGAGTGAGACCAACCCTGTATCAAAAAAAAGAAAAAACAAACAAAACCCAACATCCGTTTATGATATCAACCCTCAACAAAGGAACATACCTCAAAATAATAAAGGTCATATATGATATCTACAGCTAACATTATACTGAACAGGGAAAATTTGAAAGCATTTCCTCTAAGATCTGGAACAAAACAAGGATGTCCACTCTCACCACTCTTATTCAACATAATGCTGGAAGTCCTGCCCACATAATTAGGCAAGAGGAAGAAGTAAAGGGTGTCCAAATTGGCAAGGAAGCAGTCAAATTAGCCTTGTTCACAGGCGATATTATTTTACACTTAGAAAAATCTAAAGACTCCACTAAAAAATTTGTTAGAACTAATACATTCGGTAAAGTTTCAAGATTCAATATCAACATACAAAAATCAGTAGCATTTATATATGCCAACAGTGAACAATCTGAAAAAAAAAATCAAGAAAGCAATCCCACTTAGAATAGCTGCAAATAATATAAAATAGCTAGGAATCAATTTAACCAAAGAAGTGAAAGATCTATATAAGGAAAACTAGAAAACACTGATGAAAAAAATTGAAGAGGACGCAAAAAATGGAAAGACATTCTATGTTCATTGATTGGAAGAATCAGTATTGTTAAAAATGACAATACTACCCAAAGCAATTTACAGATTCAATTCAATCTCTATCAAAATACCAATGACATTCTTCACAGAAAGGAAAAAAAAATCCAATCCTATAATTTATATGGAACCACAGAAGACCCTGAATAGCCAAAGCAATCCTGAGCATAAAGACCAAAGCTGGAGGCATCATCCTTCCTGACTCCAAATTATACCCCAAAGTTATAGTAACCAAATCAACATGATACTGGCATAAAAACAGACACATAGACCAATGGAATAGAATACAAAACCCAGATATAAATCCACTCATTTACAGCCATCTCATTTTTGACAATAGCACCAAGAACATACAATGGGGAAAAGACAGTCTCTTTAATAAATGGTGCTGAGAAAACTGGATAACCATATGCAGAGGAATGAAACTAGACACCTATCTCTCACCATATGCAAAAATCAAATCAAAATGGCTTACATACTTAAATCTAAGACCAGAAGCTATGTAACTACTAGAAGAAAACATTGGGGAAACACTTCAGTACATTGGTCTGGCCAAAGTTTTTTTGTGTAAGACCTCAAAAGTACAGGCAACAAAAGCAAAAATAGACAAATGGGATTACATCAAGCTAAAAAGCTTCTGCGCAGCAAAGGAAGCAATCAACAAAGTGAAGAGACAGCCCACACAGAATGTGAGAAAATATTTGCAAACTACCCATCTGACAACGAATTAACCAGAATATGTAAGGAGCTCAAACAACTTAAAAGGAAAAAAAATCTGATTTGCAAAAGTTCTGAATAGACATTTCACAAAAGAAGACATAAAATGGCCAAGAGGTATATTAAAAAATGCTCACCATCACTAATCATCTGAGAAATGCAAATCAAACCACAATGAGATATCATTTTATGCCAGTTAAAATGGTTTTCATTAAAAAGACCAGGAATCACGGATGCTGGCGAGGATGTGAAGAAAGTGGTTCTGCGATATCGTTGATGGAAATGTAAATTAGTATAGCCACTATGAAAACTGTATTGGAGTCACCACAAAGAAAGTAAAAATAGAACTAGTATATGGTTCAGGAATTCCACTACTGGTATATATCCAAAATAAAGAAAATCACTATATCAAAGAGATATCTACACTCCATGTTTATTGCAGCACTGTTCACAAAAGCCAAAATATGGGATCAGCTTAAGTATCTATCAACAGATGAATGGATAAAGAAAATATCATATATATACACAATGGAATATTATTCAGCCATAAGAAAGAATAAAATCCTGTCATTTGTAGCAACATGGATGGAACTAGAGGTCATTTGTTGAGTGAAATAAGCCAAGCACAAAAAGATAAATATCATATGTTCTCACTCATATGTGGGAGCTAAAAAGTAAATGAAGATAGAGAGTAGATTGGTGGTTACCAGAGGTCAGGAAGGGTAGGGGTAAAGGGATCATGAGGAGAGGTTGATTAATAGGTACAAATAAACAGTTTGATAGACGAAATAAGGCCTAGTGTTTGATAGATCAGTAGGGTGACTATAGTTTACAATAATCTATTGTATATTTCAAAATAACTAGAAGAGAATAATTTGAATGTTTCTAGCATAAGGAAAAGGCAAATATTTATGTTTATGGCTATCACAGCTTCACTGATTTGATCTTTACAAATTACATGATTGTATTAAATTATCACATATACCTTGAAAATATCTACATATATTATGTATCAATTAGAATATATATATATATATATATATATATATATATATATATATTTTTTTTTTTTTTTTTTTTTTTTTTTTGAGACAGAGTTTTGCTCTTGTTGCCCATGGCACAATCTCGGTTCACAGCAACCTCTGCCTCCCGGGTTCAAAGTGGTTCTCCTCCCTCAGCCTCCCGAGTAGCTGGGATTACAGGCATGCGCCACCATGCCCAGCTAATTTTGTATTTTTAGTAGAGATGGGGTTTCACCATGACGTCCGGTCCTAAAAAAATATTTAATAAAACTTTAAGTTTTGAAGGTTATTAAGATAATCTATGTCCAGGCTGGGCGTGGTGGCTCACACCTGTAATCCCAGCACTTTGGGAGGCCAAGGTGGGTGGATCACCTGAGGTCAGGAGTTCAAGACCAACCTGGCCAACATGGAGAAACCCCGTCTCTACTAAAAATAAAAATAAAAAAATTAGCTGGGAGTGGTGGTCCATGCCTGTAGTCCCAGCTACTTGGGACGCTGAGGCAGAATTGCTTGAACTCAGGAGGTGGAGGTTGCAGTGAGCCAAGATCACACCAATGCACTCCAGCCTGAGCAACAAGAGTGAAATTCCATCTCAAAAACAAAAACAAAACACAAAACACAAAAAAAACCCATAATGTGTGTCCATATTATCTCCACTCAAAGTTTCTCAAAATATGTAGTTTATGGTCTTATCTGTTTTTACTATGGCTGAGTCAAAGTATTTAGGTTTGTAATCTTCTATTTCCATAATGTTTTTTGCCATATTTCAATTTTATGGTTTTTTGCTTTTTGTGCCTTAAGAAATTCTTCTACATTTACTTCTGTATCAGAGTCCTACAAGAAAGAGATGATCCACTCAAATTGAGTAATTTGAGGAAACTTTAACAGAGTGCTGGCCAGGCGTGGTGGCTCATGCCTGCAATCCCAGCACTTAGGGAGGCCAGGGCAGTTGGATCACCCGAGGTCAGGAGTTTGAGACCAGCCTGACCATCATGGTGAAACTCTGTCTCCACTAAAAATGCAAAAATTAGCTGGGCATGGTGGCGCACGGCTGTAATCCCAGCTACTCGGGAGGCTGAGGCAGGAGAATCGCCTGAACCCATTGAGGCAGAGGTTGCAGTGAGCAGAAATCACGCCATTGTACTCCAGCCTGGGCAACAAGAGTGAAACTCCATCCCAGAAAAAAACAAAACAAAAAAACAAAAACAGAGTGCTTATTTACAAAGGTGTAGCCAGAGTGTAAGGAAACCATAAATTCTAAAAAATGCTATGCTTTGCTTTTCACAATTAGGTTTTTAATCCACATGGAAATGATTTTGTGTATGCTGTGAAATAAGGATCTAATTTATTTTCTCATGCCTAGTCAATTGTCTCCAACAATTTATTTTTCAATAGTAAATTATTCATTGATTTCTAATTCTTCAATCATAGTTCATATATGTGTGGAGATGTTTCTGAACTTTCAGTTCTATTCCTTTTTATCTAAGTTGGTATCAATACCACATGTTTTAATGATTATAACTTTGTAATAAATCTGGATATCTGGTAGAGAAAGTCCTCTCACTTTATCCTTTTCTTAAAAACTATGGTGGTTATTCTCAGTTCTTTACATAGCCAGATCAATTTTAGGATAAGTATGTCAAGTTCCACAAAGTATCTTGCTTGGATTTCAGTTAGAATTAAATTAAATTTGTAACTTTATTTGGGAAAGAAGTGATATACCCATGGTATTGAGTCTTCCTATTTAATAACATGGCATATTTCTTTTGCGATGGAGAATAATATCTTTTTTTAGTTTTTAAAATACTGTCATATAGAAACTACTACTAATTTTTATATGTTGGTCTTGTATGTAGCAATCTGACTAGGTTCTCTTATTAGTTCTAACAACTTTATACATTCTCCTAGACTTTCTATAAAGACAATATTCTAAGTATTGACAGTTGTTTCCAATTGTATGACTTACTTATTTTAGTGTCTTATTGCATTTTTTAACCCCTTTAGTACAAAGTGGAATAGTAGAGATAATACCAGCTATCTTTGTCTTGTTCCTTTAATCACTGGTGTGGTATATTACATTAAGAGATTCTCTCATTTTTTTTTTTTTTTTGAGACAAAGTCTTGCTCTGTTGCCCAGACTGGAGTGCAGTGGTGCAATCTCGGCTCACTGCAACCTCCGCCTTCCAGGTTCAAGTGATTCTCCTGCCTCAGCCTCCTGAGTAGCTGGGACTACAGGTGCATGCCACTATGCTGGGCTAATTTTGTATTTTTAGTAGAGATGGGGTTTCTGCATGTTAGTCAGGCTGGTCTCGAACTCCTGACCTCAGGTGATCCACTCGCCTCAGCCTCCCAAAGTGCTGAGATTACAGGTGTAAGCCACCATGCCTGGCCACATTAATAGATTATTAAGCATGAGGCATTTCTTGGATAAGTCAAACTTGGTTATGATATAATACTTGTGTGTTTGTGTGTGTATATATATATATATATAAAACAAGAATATATTACTTGTATAATATATAAATAATAAAAATATAAGAAATTTATTACTTATACAAGTAATATACAAATGATATATAAATAATATATTACTAATTACTATAGTTTATACATGGTAATGAATATTAATACATAGTAACATAATATGACATTACTTATCAATTATTATATATTATAAATCTGGTCACATTATATTACTGAGTAAATGTAACATTTACTCAGATTTTTTATGCCCATGTTCATTAGTAATTTTGCTGATTTTTTTTTAATACTCTTTGTCCAGTTTTGGTTTCAAGGTTATACTACCATCATAGAATGAGCTGGGAAGCCTATTCTAATTAGCTATTTGTTGAAGCATTTTACATATTTTGGGATAATGCATTCCCTGAAGGTTCAGTAAAATTTATTTTGTGCTCTCTTTAATGGTTAGTGGTTTGTTCAGATTTTCTTCTTCTTCTTGAGAACATATGGGGATATAATTGCCTTCCCTGGCTTCATATTTCCTTGTGGAGGAAATTCTACACATAATGCCCCTGACCTGGAGCTTTATTGCTACAATTTCTCCTCTGTGGAGAAGACAGGCAGATGACTCATGAGCTCAGCTCCTTCTGGGCTCTTACTTTCAAGGCTGTCTGCTTGCAAGATTTATGTTCTAGTCAGCTGTCTTCCATAGAATAAGGGGACTGTATACTTGTGTGGGGAGGCCAAGGTTGTGTGTGATGACAGACTAATTATGCCAAATTCCTGAGCAAATTATTGCAGTCTACTTAGCTGCAGATCAACACCATTTTCTCTAAACTATTTTATCAGTAACAAAGATGATATTTTGACCTACATCTGCCTGACTATATTTGATGATACAGAACTTGGGAGGGGAAGAAAGGGTGTTATTCTTTAAACAGCACAGATATGCAATGAAATTTCCATTAATCCAGAATATACATAGTGGTTAACATGCAGTGATTTGAAATAAAATATTATTTGAAAAGCTATTTTTATAGCTGCAAAATATTGCATTGAAGAGGCTGCCACCAATTATTTGTTTCCATATGAGCATTTTAAAGGCTGATACACAACATTTTAAAAATGTATATGCACCTTGAGAGGCCCAGGCGTGCAGATCACGAGATCAGGAGATCGAGACCATCCTGGCTAACACGGTGAAACCCCGTCTGTACTAAAAATACAAAAAATTAGCCAGGCGTAGTGGCGGGCGCCTGTAGTCCCAGCTACTCGGGAGGCTGCGGCAGGAGAATCGCTTGAACCCGGGCGGTGGAGGTTGCGGTGAGCCGAGATCACGCCATTGCACTCCAGCCTGGGCAACAAGAGCAAAACTCCGTCTCAAAAGACAAACAAAAAACTATATGAAAAAGTCTCTCATTATTTTCACAAGCATTAAGAATCTCACTTAAAAACATGGCTGGGCGCGGTGGTTCACGCCTGTAATCCCACCACTTTGAGGGGGCGAGGCAGGCAGATCACTTGAGGTCAGGAGTTCGAGACCAGCCTGGCCAACAGGGTGAAACCCCGTCTCTACTAAAAATACAAAATTAGCCGGTCGTGGCGGCGCGCGCCTGTAATCCTAATTACTCGGGAGGCTGAGACAGGAGAATTACTTGAACCCAGGAGGCAGAGGTTGCAATGAGCCGAGATTGCACCACTGCACTCCAGCCTGGGCAACAAGCGCGAAACTCTGTCGCAAAAAATAAATAAATACATACATACATACATACAAATATTGCCAATTTGATAGGCAAAAATATATGCAAATTATGTTTTAACAAATATTAATAAAGTTGAACAATGGCCCAATGTAATTTGTTACCTATCTGAAAGACATGCACATTCAGGGAGTTACAGTACTTTTTCATGTCTTGCAGCATCAACAAATTGTTTTCTAAATGTGGAAAAAGAGACATTCAGTACAGGCTAACGTAACGTGGGACAGCATGCAAAGCCATGAGAAGTGGGAAAATGAGAGAGAATCTGGGCGTGGCTTACAGGGCTGCTGAAGTAAGACACACCCTTCGCTTCACCTGTGGCCTCCCGCGGCGGCTGCGGCTCCTTCGCAGGACCGGTAGGGGGCGCGCGCGGTTGAGTCCAGCAATTGCGAGGACCTCCGCAGGCGCAGCCCAGCACTGACGCCTCTCCGGGCCGTGGCTCCTCTTTCCCAGGCCGAAAGCGGCCGGGCCCTCTGCTCCGCTGCGCCCTGGCGCGGCCGCACCCACTGCGCGTTTGTGAGCTGGCCATCGGTCACACTGGGATACTCGAGGAGGAGGCCTGGGGCCTGCATTCAATTCCCTAAGAGGGACCCGCGCTGGCCGCTGCAGGCGGGTGGAGAACGGGCGTCTGAGTCTTTGGCTTTCGTACCGGAATCTCCCCGGGAGATTTTACAAGCCCCTCCGAATGTTCTGATTGAATTGGTCTGGGGGGGTCGGTCCGGGCATCTAACGAGCAGCCGGGATGGAGAA
This sequence comes from Homo sapiens, assembly GCF_000001405.40. NCBI lineage: Eukaryota > Metazoa > Chordata > Mammalia > Primates > Hominidae > Homo > Homo sapiens. The sequence goes on from NC_000007.14 coordinate 92,179,442, forward strand.
TTACTAGTCTGGATTCTGGTCCTCAGAGGTTCACTCACGTTAATCAACCCGAGTCCATCTTGGTGGGATTGTCTTGCTCCGAGGCCCTCCCACTGAGCTTTATTTTCCTGCCTGATTTCGGGGTCCGCTAACAGGATGAACAGCGGACCATACAGGCACGGTGAAAATGACACTTGGTGACGTGGAAGACCCAGCTTGCCACAGTTGAGGCAGAGCTCCTCAGGGTCTTTTGTCTTAGTTATCCCCGAGCTATTTTTCAGGAACCGACAGGCTCCCCCACCCCAACACCGGATGAAGGCCAGCAACTGGAGGCCAGGAATAATCAAGCACGCTCTCATTTCAAAGAGGTGACGATTGTGCCCGTGTTTAAAAGGGATGCCTGAGACCATGAGGATTTGGAGTTTTGGAGGCGGATCTGCCTTTGGGGAGTGAGCGTAGGGCCCTAAGATGTGGTTGTGCTTTGAGACAGTTCCCAGGGTGATGTGTCCCATCATCCAAACATTGCAGGATAAGTCAAAGTTACAGAAAGACTCTAGTTTACTTCCAGCCTAACATTACCAAAATACGGTATTTGTCAGAAAACATGTAGTATTTGTATAATTTGAGAATGTAATTGAAGAACCCGATATAGAGCTTTTAGAAAGGGGAAATAGAAAACTTAAAAAGAATCTTGCTTGGTATATTAATACCAACATCTAAAATATAATAAAATTGAATAAACCAGTGAGTTTTATACTATGATTGAAATAAAATGCCACTATGTTCTTAAGAGTGCTAGTTTAACAGGAAATCTCCAATGCATTATTATCTAGACTCATCTCAAAGGCTCACTTTTCATTTGCATGGGCCCTTGCTATTTGTAGGGTAGGAGGCAGCACCTCGTTCTGGTGGCTGCCACCTTCATGAGGAGACACTCCTTGTTAACAGGATGGTTAGCCCACGGCTCTTCCCAGCCCCCTTTTCCACACCCAGTAAATTGTTTTAGTTTATGGCCCTCAGCTGCAGTTGCAATCATCATCAAATTCCAGTTTTGAATTTAAAGGTGAATAATGAATGCAATGAACTTTCTAGAATTTATGAAGGGCAGTGATGTTCCTTTTTATCTAATAATTCTACATGTGTAGCCTTTCAGTATGCTATTCTGTGGACTGAATTTACAAATTGTCATTTGTTTAATGAACTGTTAATATAACATGATGACTAACTGAAAACACATACAATTTGCTGGTATTCCAGAAGTCTATGGATTTCGTTGTTTTGTTTAAATAAAAGGCATTAAAAGCAGCTGCTTAGTATACTTACCTTCTTCACTCAGCATAAGGTAGAGGTGAAAAAACCTTCTTAATTTGGCAATTTATATAACCTTTTGTTTTTGGAATACAGTTTTCTTCCCCTTTACATTCGTTCTTTAGCCTAAATCCTAAGTTTCCGACTTGCGATTTAAACTCCACATGAGAGAACAGGTTGGAATTTTATCTTTAATAATTTTATTTATAACTCGAAAGTAAGTTTCAAAATATTTTGTCATAGTAACTCCTATAAGTGTTTATTTAATCCATCTTGTAAATTTTCTATTTCTGTATCTTTAATATATTTAACTATTCATTTGACTGTTAATGACTAAAAAAGGGGGAACATTAACTTCACTGCAATCAGGAAAACTCTTTCAAACTGTTATATAAAAGAATATATATGGTGTACGAACACCCATGTATTTTTAAAAAGTAAATAACAGGTAAACCAAAGCTCAGATAAAATCCAACTTTTAAATATATATAATTAATTGTTAGAGAACTGGCTAAAATAAAGATACAGGTTGGCTTTTCTTCCTCCTAATGGTTATGTGTACAAAACTAAATTTAGTATTAATTGAAAGCAAAAAACCCAGAAAGGGAAAATGGCACACATTTGATTTAGGTGAAAATTATTTACTCATTTTTCTATCTGCAGGTGATTTATCATTTTAGGTTCTTTCCCTTCCACTGTCCAACTGGTATATAATCAGTAAATACAAACAAAAATACCAACATCTGTAAAATATAACTAGGAAGGCACGCTATGAAACATAACATAGCATATTCCAAAAGTCAACAACGGATTTGCTGGTTACTGGATTGAAATTATACTTATTTGCTCATAAAATTGAGTTCATGGCATAATTACATAATTCTGTGGCAAAGCATTTGGTATGCTCTAGGGGAGACATGTTTTAAAAACAATTGCCTTGGGTTTTTTTAATTTTAAAAATAATTACAAATTTTATTTTTAATTCAGGGACATGTGCACATTTGTTACATGGGCATATTGCATGATGCTGAGGTTTGGGGTATGATTGATCCCATCATCCAGGTACTGAGCATAGTACCCAAACGTTTTTCAACCCTTACCCCCATCCCTCCCTCCCACCTCCAGTAGTCCCCAGCGTCTGTTTTTGCCATCTTTATGTCCATAAGTACCCAGTGTTTAGCTCTCACTTATAAGTGAGGGCTTGCGGTATTTGGTTTTCTGTTCCTGAACTAATTCACTTAGGATAGTGGCCTCCAGTTGCATGCACGTTGTTGCAAAGGACATCGTTTCATTCTTTTTTGTGGCTGTGTAGTATTCTATAGTGTGTATATACCACATTTCCTTTATCAAATCCACCGTTGATGGGCACCTAGGTTGATTTCATGTCTTTGCTATTGTGAATAGTACTGTGATGAACATACAGGAGTATTTGTCTTTTGGGAGAATAATTTATTTTCTTTTGGATATATACCAAGTGATGGGATTAATGATGAAAAGGTAGTTCTAAGTTCTTTGAGAAGTCTCCAAACTGCTTTCTACTGTGGCTGAACTAATTTACAGTCCCACTCACAGTGTATAAGCATTTCCTTTTCTCCAAAGCTTTGCCAGCATCTATTTTTTCACTTTTTAGTAATAGTCATTCTGACTGGTGTGAGGTGGTATCTCATTGTGTTTTTGATTTGCGTTTCTCTGATTATTATTGATGTTGAACATTTTTTCATGTTTGTTGGCCGCTTGTGTGTTTTCTTTTGATAAGATCTGTTCATGTCTTTTGCTCATTTTTAATAGGGTTTTTTTTTTTGCTTGCTCAATTAAGTTCTGTATAGATTCTTTAGAATTTTAGACTTTTGTCAGATGCATAGTTTGCAAATATTTTCTCCCATTCTGTAAGCTGTTTACTCTGTTGATAGTTTCTTTTGCTGTGTAGTTTTTTAGTTTAACTAGGTTCCACTTGTCAATTTTTAGTTTTGTTTCAATTGCTTTTGAGGACCTAGTCATAAATTATTTCCAAAGGCTGACGTCCAGAATTGTGTTTCCTAGGTTTTCTTCTAGGACTCTTACAGTTTGAGGTCTTATATTTAAATCTTTAATCCATGTTGAATTAATTTTTGTATATGCTGCTAGTACGGATCAAGTATCATTCTTCTACATATGGCTAGTCAACTATCACAGCACCATTTATTGAGTAGGGAGTTCTTGTCCCAATGCTTATTTTTGTCAACTTTGTTGAAGATTTGATAGCTGTAGGTGTGTGGATTTATTTCTGGGTTCTCTATTCAATTCCATCCGTCTATGTGTCTGCTTTTGTACCAGTACCATGCTCTTTTGGTTACTGTAGCCTTATAATTTGAATTCAGGTAGTGTGATCCTCTAGCTTTGTTCTTTTTGATTAAAACTGCTTTGGCTATTAGGGCTCTTTTTTGGTTGCATATAAATTTTAGAATGTTTTTTTCTAGTCCTGTGAAAAACCATATTAGTAGCTTGATAGAAATAGTGTTCAATCTGGGCCAGGCATGGTGGGTCACACCTGTAATCCCAGCACTTTGGGAGGCCAAGGTGGATGGCTCACCTGAGGTCAGGAGTTTGAGATCAGCCTGGCCCACATGGTGAAACCCCGTTTCTATTAAAAATACAAAAATTAGCTGAGTGTGGTGGCATGGGCCTGTAATCACAGCTACTCGGGAGGCTGAGGCAGGGGAATTACTTGAACCCAGGAGGCGGAGGTTGCAGTGAGCTGAGATTGTGCCACTGCACTCCAGCCTGGGTGACAGAGCAAAACTCCAACTCAAAAAAAAAAAAAGTATTGTCTGTCGAGTGCTTTGGGCAGTGTGGCCATTTTAACAATATTGATTCTTCCAATCCATGAGCATGGAATGTTTTCCCATTTGTTTACATCATCTATGATTTCCTTCAGCCGTGTTTTATAGTTCTCCTTCTAGTGATCTTTCACCTCTTTGATTAGATACATTCCTAGGTATTTTATTTTTGTTTATGGCTACTGTAAGTAAGATTATGTTCTTTTATTTTATTTTATTATTATTATACTTTAAGTTTTAGGGTACATGTGCACAATGTGCAGGTTAGTTACATATGTATACATGTGCCATGCTGGTGTGCTGCACCCATTAACTCGTCATTTAGCATTAGGTATATCTCCTAATGCTATCTCTCCCCCTTCCCCCCACCCCACAACAGTCCCCAGAGTGTGATGTTCCCCTTCCTGTGTCCATGTGTTCTCATTGTTCAATTCCCACCTATGAGTGAGAACATGCGGTGTTTGGTTTTTTCTCCTTGCGATAGTTTACTGAGAATGATGATTTCCAATTTCATCCATGTCCCTACAAAGGACATGAACTCATCCTTTTTTATGGCTGCATACTATTCCATGGTGTATATGTGCCACATTTTCTTAATCCAGTCTATCATTGTTGGACATTTGGGTTGGTTCCAAGTCTTTGCTATTGTGAATAGTGCCACAATAAACATACGTGTGCATGTGTCTTTATAGCAGCATGATTTATAGTCCTTTGGGTATACAGCCAGTAATGGGATGGCTGGGTCAAATTGTATTTCTAGTTCTAGATCCCTGAGGAATCGCCACACTGACTTCCACAATGGTTGAACTAGTTTACAGTCCCACCAGCAGTGTAAAAGTGTTCCTATTTCTCCACATCCTCTCCAGCACCTGTTGTTTCCTGAATGACTGCCATTCTAACTGGTGTGAGATGGTATCTCATTGTGGTTTTGATTTGCATTTCTCTGATGACCAGGGATGGTAAGCATTTTTTCATGTGTTTTTTGGCTGCATAAATGTCTTCTTTTGAGAAGTGTCTGTTCATGTCCTTCACCCACTTTTTGATGGGGTTGTTTTTTTCTTGTAAATTTGTTTGAGTTCATTGTAGATTCTGGATATTAGCCCTTTGTCAGATGAGTAGGTTGCAAAAATTTTCTCCCATTGTGTAGGTTGCCTGTTCACTCTGATGGTACTTTCTTTTGCTGTGCAGAAGCTCTTTAGTTTAATTAGATCCCATTTGTCAATTTTGGCTTTTGTTGCCATTGCTTTTGGTGTTTTAGACATGAAGTCCTTGCCCATGCCTATGTCCTGAATGGTAATGCCTAGGTTTTCTTCTAGGGTTTTTAATGGTTTTAGGTCTAACGTTTAAGTCTTTAATCCATCTTGAATTACTTTTTGTATAAGGTGTAAGGAAGGGATCCAGTTTCAGCTTTCTACATATGGCTAGCCAGTTTTCCCAGCACCATTTATTAAATAGGGAATCCTTTCCCCATTGCTTGTTTTTCTCAGGTTTGTCAAAGATCAGATAGTTGTAGATATGTGGCATTATTTCTGAGGGCTCTGTTCTGTTCCATTGATCTATATCTCTGTTTTGGTACCAGTACCATGCTGTTTTGGTTACTGTAGCCTTGTAGTATAGTTTGAAGTCAGGTAGCGTGATGCCTCCAGCTTTGTTCTTTTGGCTTAAGATTGACTTGGCAACGCGGGCTCTTTTTTGGTTCCATATGAACTTTAAGGTAGTCTTTCTCCAGTTCTGTGAAGAAAGTCATTGGTAGCTTGATGGGGATGGCATTGAATCTATAAATTACCTTGGGCAGTATGGCCATTTTCACGATATTGATTCTTCCTACCCATGAGCATGGAATATTCTTCCATTTATTTGTATCCTCTTTTATTTCCTTGAGCAGTGGTTTGTAGTTCTCCTTGAAGGGGTCCTTCAGGTCCCTTGTAAGTTGGATTCCTAGGTATTTTATTCTCTTGAAGCAATTGTGAATGGGAGTTCACTCATGATTTGGCTCTCTGTTTGTCTGTTATTGGAGTATAAGAATGCTTGTGATTTTTGTACATTGATTTTGTATCCTGAGACTTTGCTGAAGTTGCTTATCAGCTTAAGGAGATTTTGGGCTGAGACAATGGGGTTTTCTAGATATACAATCATGTCATCTGCAAACAGGGACAATTTGACTTCCTCTTTTCCTAATTGAATACCCTTTATTTCCTTCTCCTGCCTGATTGCCCTGGCCAGAACTTCCAACACTATGTTGAATAGGAGTGGTGAGAGAGGGCATCCCTGTCTTGTGCCAGTTTTCAAAGGGAATGCTTCCAGTTTTTGCCCATTCAGTATGATATTGGCTGTGGGTTTGTCATAGATAGCTCTTATTATTTTGAGATACATCCCATCAATACCGAATTTATTGAGAGTTTTTAGCATGAAAGGTTGTTGAATTTTGTCAAAGGCCTTTTCTGCATCTATTGAGATAACCATGTGGTTTTTGTCTTTGGTTCTGTTTATATGCTGGATTACATTTATTGATTTGCATATATTGAACCAGCCTTGCATCCCAGGGATGAAGCCCACTTGATCATGGTGGATAAGCTTTTTGATGTGCTGCTGGATTCGGTTTGCCAGTATTTTATTGAGGATTTTTGCATCAATGTTCATCAAGGATATTGGTCTAAAATTCTTTTTGGTTGTGTCTCTCCCTGGCTTTGGTATCAGGATGATGCTGGCCTCATAAAATGAGTTAGGGAGGATTCCCTCTTTTTCTATTGATTGGAATAGTTTCAGAAGGAATGGTACCAGTTCCTCCTTGTACCTCTGGTAGAATTTGGCTGTGAATCCATCTGGTCCTGGACTCTTTTTGGTTGGTAAGCTATTGATTATTGCCACAATTTCAGAGCCTGTTATTGGTCTATTCAGAGATTCAACTTCTTCCTGGTTTAGTCTTGGGAGGTGTATGTGTCCAGGAATTTATCCATTTCTTCTAGATTTTCTAGTTTATTTACGTAGAGGTGTTTGTAGTATTCTCTGATGGTAGTTTGTATTTCTGTGGGATCGGTGGTGATATCCCCTTTATCATTTTTTATTGTGTCTATTTGATTCTTCTCTCTTTTCTTCTTTATTAGTCTTGCTAGTGGTCTATCAATTTTGTTGATCCTTTCAAAAAAACCAGCTCCTGGATTCATTAATTTTTTGAAGGCTTTTTTGTGTCTCTATTTCCTTCAGTTCTGCTCTGATTTTAGTTATTTCTTGCCTTCTGCTAGTTTTTGAATGTGTTTGCTCTTGCTTTTCTAGTTCTTTTAATTGTGATGTTAGGGTGTCAATTTTGGATCTTTCCTGCTTTCTCTTGTGGGTATTTAGTGCTATAAATTTCCCTCTACACACTGCTTTGAATGTGTCCCAGAGATTCTGGTATGTTGTGTCTTTGTTCTCATTGGTTTCAAAGAACATCTTTATTTCTGCCTTCATTTCATTATGTACCCAGTAGTCATTCAGGAGCAGGTTGTTCAGTTTCCATGTAGTTGAGCGGTTTTGAGTGAGTTTCTGAATCCTGAGTTCTAGTTTGATTGCACTGTGGTCTGAGAGATAGTTTGTTATAATTTCTGTTCTTTTACATTTGCTGAGGAGAGCTTTACTTCCAAGTATGTGGTCAATTTTGGAATAGGTGTGGTGCGGTGCTGAAAAAAATGTATATTCTGTTGATTTGGGGTGGAGAGTTCTGTAGATGTCTATTAGGTCCGCTTGGTGCAGAGCTGAGTTCAATTCCTGGGTATCCTTGTTAACTTTCTGTCTCGTTGATCTGTCTAATGTTGACAGTGGGGTGTTAAAGTCTCCCATTATTATTGTGTGGGAGTCTAAGTCTCTTTGTAGGTCACTCAGGACTTGCTTTATGAATCCGGGTGCTCCAGTATTGGGTGCATATATATTTAGGATAGTTAGCTCTTCTTGTTGAATTCATCCCTTTACCATTATGTAATGGCCTTGTCTCTTTTGATCTTTGTTGGTTTAAAGTCTGTTTTATCAGAGACCAGGATTGCAACCCCTGCCTTCTTTTGTTTTCCATTTGCTTGGTAGATCTTCCTCCATCCTTTTATTTTGAGCCTATGGGTGTCTCTGCCCGTGAGATGGGTTTCCTGAATACAGCACACTTATGGGTCCTGACTCTTTATCCAATTTGCCAGTCTGTGTCTTTTAATTGGAGCATTTACTCCATTTACATTTAAAGTTAATATTGTTATGTGTGAATTTGATCCTGTCATTTTGATGTTAGCTGGTTATTTTGCTAGTTAGTTGATGCAGTTTCTTCCTAGCCTCAATGGTCTTTACAATTTGGCATGATTTTGCAGTGGCTGGTACTGGTTTTTCCTTTCCATGTTTAGTGCTTTCTTCAGGAGCTCTTTTAAGGCAGGCCTGGTGGTGACAAAATCTCTCAGCATTTGCTTGTCTGTAAAGGATTTTATTTCTCCTTCACTTATGAAGCTTAGTTTGGCTGGATATGAAATTCTGGGTTGAAAATTCTTTTCTTTAAGAATGTTGAATATTGGCCCCCACTCTCTTCTGGCTTGTAGTTTCTGCCGAGAGATCCGCTGTTAGTCTGATGGGCTTCCCTTTGTGGGTAACCCGACCTTTCTCTCTGGCTGCCCTTAACATTTTTTCCTTCATTTCAACTTTGGTGAATCTGACAATTATGTGTCTTGGAGTTGCTCTTCTCGAGGAGTATCTTTGTGGCGTTCTCTGTATTTCCTGAATCTGAATGTTGGCCTGCCTTGCTAGATTGGGGAAGTTCTGGATAATATCCTGCAGACTGTTTTCCAACTTGGTTCCATTCTCCCCGTCACTTTCAGGTACACCAATCAGATGTAGATTTCGTCTTTTCACATAGTCCCATATTTCTTGGAGGCTTTGTTCGTTTCTTTTTATTCTTTTTTCTCTAAACTTCCCTTCTCGCTTCATTTCATTCATTTCATCTTCCATCACTGATACCCTTTCTTCCAGTTGATCGCGTCAGCTCCTGAGGGTTCTGCATTCTTCACGTAGTCCTTAGCCTTGGCTTTCAGCTCCATCAGCTCCTTTAAGCACTTCTCTGTATTGTTGATTCTAGTTATACGTTCGTCTAAATTTTTTTCAAAGTTTTCAACTTCTTTGCCTTTGGTTTGAATTTCCTCCTCTAGCTTGGAGTAGTTTGATCGTCCGAAGCCTTCTTCTCTCAACTCGCCAAAGTCATTCTCCATCCAGCTTTGTTCCGTTGCTGGTGAGGAACTGCGTTTCTTTGGAGGAGGAGAGGCGCTCTGCTTTTTACAGTTTCCAGTTTTTCTGCTGTTTTTTCCCTATCTTTGTGGTTTTATCTACTTTTGGTCTTTGATGATGGTGATGTACAGATGGGTTTTTGGTGTGGATGTCCTTTCTGTTTGTTAGTTTTCCTTCTAACAGACAAGACCCTCAGTTGCAGGTCTGTTGGAGTCTGCTAGAGGTCCACTCCAGACCGTTTGCCTGGGTAACAGCAGTGGTGGCTGCAGAACAGCGGATTTTCATGAACCGCGAATGCTGCCGTCTGATCATTCCACTGGAAGTTTTGTCTCAGAGGAGTACCCGGCCTTGTGAGGTGTCAGGTTGCCCCTACTGGGGGGTGTCTCCCAGTTAGGCTGCTCAGGGGTCAGGGTTCAGGGACCCACTTGAGGAGGCAGTCTGCCCGTTCTCAGATCTCCAGCTGCGTGCTGGGAGAACCACTGCTCTCTTCAAAGCTGTCAGACAGGGACATTTAACTCTGCAGAGGTTACTGCTGTCTTTTTGTCTGTGCCCTGCCCGCAGAGGTGGAGCCTACAGAGGCAGGCAGGCCTCCTTGAGCTGTGGTGGGCTCCACCCAGTTCGAGTTTCCCGGCTGCTTTGTTTACCTAAGCAAGCCTGGGCAACGGCGGGCGCCCCTCCCCAAGCCTCGCTGCCGCCTTGCAGTTTGATCTCAGACTGCTGTGCTAGCAATCAGCGAGACTCTGTGGGTGAAGGACCCTCTGAGCCATGTGCGGGATATAATCTCCTGGTGCACCGTTTTTTTAAGCCCGTTGGAAAAGCGCAGTATTAGGGTGGGAGAGACCCGATTTTCCAGGTGCCGTCTGTCACCCCTTTCTTTGACTAGGAAAGGGAACTCCCTGACCCCTTGCACTTCCCAAATGAGGCAATGCCTCGCCCTGCTTTGGCTCGCGCACAGTGTGCTGCACCCACTGTCCTGCGCCCAGTGTCTGGCACTCCCTAGTGAGATGAACCCAGTACCTCAGATGGAAATGCAGAAATCACCCGTCTTCTGCATCGCTCACGCTGGCAGCTGTAGACCGGAGCTGTTCCTGTTCGGCCATCTTGGCTCAGGACCCCCCTCATATCCTCGAGATTATGTTCTTGATTTGGTTCTCAGCTTTAACATTTTTGGTGTATAGAAATGCTACTGATTTTTGTACATTGATTTTTGTATCCTGAAACATTATTGAAGTTATCAGTTCCAGAAGCCTTTTGGCGGAGTTTTCAGCGTTTTCTAGGTATGGAATCATATCATCAGCAAAGAAAGTTTGACTTCTTTTTATATTTGGATGCTTTTTCTTTCTCTTGCCTGATTACTCTGGCTAGGACTTCTAGTTCTGTGTTGAATAGGAGTGGTGAGAGTGGGCATCAGTTTTGTTCCAGTTCTCACTGGGCATGCTTCCAGTTTTTGCCCATTCAGTATGATGTTGGCTGTGGGTTTGTCATAGATGGCTCTTATTTTGAGGTATGTTCCTTTGAAGCCTAGTTTCTGGAGGGTTATCATGAAAAGATGTTGGATTTTATCAAAAGCTTTTTCTGCATCTGTTGATATGATCGTATGGTTTTTAATTGTTTGTTATGTTTATGTGGTGAATCCCATTTACTGATTTCTGTATGCTGAACCAACCTTGCATCCCAGGAATGAAGCCTGTGATCATGGTGAATTAATTTTTGAATGGGATGCTGGATTCGATTTGCTATTTTTGCTGAGGATTTTTGTGTCTATGTTCATCAGGGATATTGGCCTGTAGTTTCTCTCATTGTCTTTGTCAGGTTTTGATATCAAGCTAATGCTGGCTTTGTAGAATGAGTTAGGGAGGAATCTCTCTTCCTCATTTTTTTTAAAGAATAGTTTCAGTAGAATTGGTACTAGCTCTTCTTTGTTTATGTCTGGTAGAATTCAGCTGCGAATCCATCTGGTTTGGGGCTTTTTTAGATTTTTTAAAAATTACTGATTCAATTTTGGAACTCGATACTGGTGTGTTCAGGGTTTCAATTTCTTCCTGATTCAATCTTAGGAAATTGTGTTTCCTGGAACTTAGCCATTTCCTCTAGATTTCCTAAATTGTGTGCATAGAGATTTAATAATAGTCCCTGAGGACCTTTTGTATTTCTGTGGGAATGGTTGTAATGCCATCTTTGTCATTTCTGACTGCGTTTATTTAGATCTTCTTTTTCTTTGTTAATATAGCTAACAGTCTACCAATCTTGTTTCATCTTTCAAAAAACATTTTTTTTGAAAAGATAAAAAAATTGTTTGTTTTTCATTGATTCTCTGTATGGATTTTTGGGTCTCAATTTCATTCCATTTGGCTCTGATTTTAGTTATTTCTTCTCTTCTGCTAGCTTTGGGGTTCATTTGTTGTTTTTCTTGTTCCTCTATCTGTAATGTTAGATGGTTAATTTGAGATCTTTCTAACTTCTGGAGGTAGGTGTTTTGTGCTATAAAATTTCCTATTAACACTGTTTTGGCTGCATCCCAGAGATTTTGGCACGTTGTGTCTTTGTTTTCATTTATTTCAAAGATTTTAAAAATTTGTCGTTTACCCAAAATCATTCAAGAGCAAGTTGTTTTATTTCCATGTTGTCATATGGTATTGAGAGATCTTCTTGGTAGTGATTTCTATTTTTATTCCACTGTGATCTGAGAGTATGGTTTAGTATAATTTTAACTTTTTTGAATTTATTGAGACTTGCTTTACAGTTGAGCATTTGGTTGACCCTGGAGTATGTTCCATGTCCACATGAGAAAAATATGTATTCTGTGGTTGATGGGTGAATTACTCTGTAGATATCTAGTAGGTCTAAGTGTTGAATTTAAGTCCAGAATTTCTTTGTTTTCTGCCTTGATGATCTGTCCAGCACTCTCAATGGGGTGAAGTCCCCCACTATTATTGTGTGACTAAGTCTTTTTGTAGGTCTAGAAGTACTTGTTTTATGAACCTGGGTGCTCAAATGTTGGGTGTGTATGTATTTACAATAGTTCAGTCTTGTTGTTGAACTGAACACTTTGCCATTATGTAGTGCCCTTCTTCGTCCTTTTTCACTGTAGTTGGTTTAGTCTTTTATCTGATATAAAAATAGTGACCTCTGTTCTTTTTTGTTTTCTGTTTGTGTGACAGATCTTTCTCCAACCTTTTACTTTGAGCCTATGGGTGTCGTCATGTTTGAGATGGGTCTCTTGAAGACAGCAGATGGATGGGTCTTGTTTTTTTAATCCAACTTGCCAGTCGATAACTTTTTTTTTTTTTTTTTTTTTGAGACAGAGTTTTGCTCTGTCGCTCAGGCTGGAGTGCAGTAGCGTGATCTTGGCTCACCACAACCTCTGCCTCCCAGGTTCAAGAGATTCTCCTGCCTCAGCCTCCCAAGCAGCTGAGATAACAGGTGCACGCCACCACACCCAGGTAATTTTTGTATTTTTAGTAGAGATGGGGTTCACCATGTTGGCCAGGCTGGTCTCAAACTCCTGACCTCAGGTGATCCACCCACCTCCCAAAGTGCTGGGATTACAAGGCATGAGCCACTGTGCCCAGCCTCATTCTGCGGACTTTTAAGTGGGGGTGTTTAGACCATTTGCATTCCAGGTTAATATTGTTACATGTGGTTTTGATCCTATTGCAAAGCTGTTAGCAGGTTGCTCTGTAGTTTCTATTGTGTAGTTGCTTAATAGGTCTATGGGCTATGTACTTAAATGTGTTTTTCGGTAGCATGCATTGTTCTTTCACTTCCATGTTTAGAACTCCCTTGAGGATCTCTGGTAAGGCTGGTATAGTGGTAAAGAATGCCCTTTGTGCTTGCTTGTCTGGAAAAGATTTTATTTCTCCTTCGCTTATGAAGCTTAGTTTGGCAGGATATATTATTACTATTATTGAAACAGAGTCTCATTCTGTCACCCAGGCTGGAGTGCAGTGGCATGATCTTGGCTCACTGCAACCTCTGCCTCCCAGGTTCATGTGATTCTTATGCCTCAGCCTCATGAGTAGTTGGGATTACAGATGTGCACCACTATGCCCAGCTAATTTGTGTATTTTTAATAGAAAAGGGGTTTCACCATGTTAGCCAGGATGGTCTCAAACTCCTGGTCTCATGTGATCTGCCAGCCTCAGCCTCCCAAAGTGCTGGTATAATGGGCATGAGCCACTGCATCCAGCTATATTATTTTAAACTACACAATTTTGTTCCATTTTTTAGGGCGCTGTTAGAAAACTGTCATTTTTTCCTTGCTGAATTGTAATGCATACAATTTACTCCCTAGGCAAGTAGGGAAAAATATCAGTAAAGCACAGCAAATGAGAAAGTGGGGGCAGCAAGCTCATTCTCAGGTGGTCCTCAATGTGGGATCATCAAAAGAATGGGAGTAAACATTTTTGAGGCTGGGCGCAGCAGTTCACACTTGTAATCCCAGCACTTTGGGAGGCTGAGGTGGGCAGATCACTTGAGGCAAGGAGTTTGAGACCAGCCTGGCCAACACTGTGAAACCCTGCCTCTAATAAAAATACAAAAATTAGCCAGATGTGGTGGTGCTCGGTTGTAATTCCAGCTACTAGGGAGGCTGAGATGGGAGGATCACTGGAATCCGGGAGGTGAAAGTTGCAGTGAGCCGAGATAGTGCCACGGCACTCCAGCCTGGGTGACGGAGTGAGACTCTCTCAAAAACAAAAACATTTTTGAGACTGCTTTCCAGGGCTGGCCAAAATATATTCCCATATGTTGTCTCAGTCTTGTGCTATCATTCAATTTTATTAACATAATCAGTTTTTATTATTCCATATAATTTTAACTAATTTAATAAGCTTCTGTTTTACATTTTTGTTAGGAAAATTTATATTTCCCCATTTCTAAAATTCATTTGCATTTCCAAGCATACAACTTCTCTGTTAATCTTCTTTGACCACTCACTAAATGGATTTTGGGTACAGACATATTTCTAGTTAAATCTTAATTTTTGGCTGGGCAAGGTAGCTCATGCCTGTAATTCCAGCACTTTGGGAGGCCGAGGTGGGTGGATCACCTGAGGTCAGGAGTTCGAGACCAGGCTGACCAACATGGTGAAACCCTGTCTCTCCTAAAAATACAAAAAGTAGCTGGGCATGGTGGCCCATGCCTGTAATCCCAGCTACTTTGGAGGCTGAGGCAGGGGAATCACTTAAACCCGGGAAGCAGAGGTTGCAGTGAGCCGAGATCGTGCCATTGCACTCCAGCCTGGGCAACAAGAGTGAAACTCTGTCTCAAAAAAACAAAACAAAACAAAACAAAAAAAACTTAATATAGTTTTGAATTTTCAGAACTTGGTTAGCAAGTGCTGATTCTTTAAGTGTATTTTGAAATTTGTCCAGTAAAATTTCCTTTGATAATCAGTTCTGTGAATTTTGACAAATATACTATGTCAATCATAATCAGAACATCCTCTCCCCTACCACCAAATTTCTCCATGCTGCCCCTTTATATTCCCATATTCCCCCCACACCTATCCTTAACCTTTGGTAACCACTATCTGCTTTCTGGTCCTACAGTTTTGCCTTTTCCAGAATGTTATCCAAATGGAATGTTACGGTATACAGTATAACCTTTTGAGTCTGGCTTCTTTCAGTTAGCATAATGCATTTGAGCTTTATCCATGTTGTTCATCAATAGTTTCTTTTCATTGTTGAGTGGTATGCCATTATATGGATGTACCTGAGTTTATTCATTCACTCAGTGAAGGATATTTGGGTTGCTCCCAGTTTAATTATGAAAAAATTAAAGATGTATTCTACAAACATTTGCATATGAATTGTGTGAATATAAGTTTTAGCTGCTTAGATAAATAATTGGGAGTGGAATGCCGGGTCCTATAGTATATTTAACTTACAAGAAACGAAACTGTTTTCCAAAATGGTTGTTCCATTTTGCATTCCTACTAGCCATGTATGAGCTCCAGGTCCTCATTCTTTTGCTTTGCTTTTGATGTTTGTTCATGTACATTTAAAAAGCATTTTATTCACCTATCCCTCATACGCATTTAAGAAACATCCATAAGCGAATGTGCTCTGACACTAAAATATGCTGGTCTGCTTTTCCCTAGCAATATTAAATGTTATTTTAATATTTAAATTTTGCCCATATAAAATCTATTGGATACACATATGGAGAATAGTGCCAAGCTATTTCTTTTCTATACTGATATTCACTTAACAGGATGCTTTGTGGATTGTCCTAAGTTTGCCCATTTCTCAAGTGTTGTCATTCTTTTGCTTGCTTCTCACTGTGCTCTCTTCCTGGGTGGCTTCAAATCTATTCGTGGAGTTTCAATTGTCATCTCCTGAGAGCCTTTTGAACTTCAGGCCTGGGAACCCTATTGTCTATTGACCATCTCCATCTATGTGTCCCTTGGGAGCCAGGAACTCAAAACATTTCTTCAAAACTTCCTCCCCTATTCCCTATTTTAGGCAGTATATGGTACCATTTTCCCATATGTCCAGGACAGAAAGAGGATAATTACTCATTACTCCTACCTCTTCCTTATTTCCCATATCTAAAAGGTCACTGGGTTTTGTCAAAATATTTTCTCCCATTGCCATTATCTTAGCTTAAGTCCAGATTGCATTATACCTTCTTGCTCAGAACCACCTCTTTAAGCCCTTCTGTACATTGACCCAGGGTGATCTTTCAACACACACATCTGAGCTAATCAAGTCCTAAGGGCTCCAATGGCTCCTCATAAACAGGAAACACAACACCCTTCAAAACTTGATCATTTTTGTTTAACCACTCCACCTATATCTCCTTTACCTGACAAATGTCTGAATTCAGAAGCCAGACTGCCAGATGTTGAATTCTGACACCCCAACTTACTAGTTTTTGACCTTACACAAATAACATAGCCTCTCTGTATACAACTGTGTTCAAAGTTATACAATATACAAAAATGAAAACATTTACATCACTCTGTTAGAAACTATGGCTCCTAAGATTTTAAAGATAGAAAACAAGTATTATTTTATGTTTTTATTATAACCATACATGATGTATCTGACTGACTTATACTCTGGAGTTTGGCTGCCGAGGTATGAATCTGAGCTCCACCACTCATTGGTTTGGAAAGTAATTTAAACCAACTTCAATTTTCTTATCTGTAAAATGGGAATAATAGTATCTGCCTCATAGTGATTGTTGTCAGGAATAAATGAATTAATATCCCAAAAGTGCTTCAAATAATGCCAATAGTGTAGTAAGTGTCACTTAAAGTAGTAGCTATTATTATAATTTAAATAATGGGGACATAAGTTCCTAATTTCCCACCCATGTGGGTGCCCTTCCAATGAATCCTGAACAACCTGGTACTTCCTTTTATCACAGAAATTAGCACAATGTATTGAAACTGTTTTTCTCATCTACACCCTAAGATGTCTGAAAGATATTCTTTGTCTTAAATACTCTGGCCTCGAAGATCCCCAAAAGCTTGATGCTTCTGCTTTAGGGCCTTTACAGTCTGCCTATGTCTCCCTCTCCAAACACCATAAATAATTCTAGAGGTTTTCTGACGTGCTTATGAATACAAACATCAAATGAGAATCATACCATCATAGATGGATTTTTGGTGAGAAAATATTTTCTTGCATGCACTCAATCCTATCTCTCTCTGTGTCTCTATCCATCTATTCTCACACGCATTCAAGCCTATCTGGTCTATCATCTAATCCTTGCATGCATGCAAGTCTACCTAATCTATCATCTACCTACCAACCTACCTACCTAGAGTCGGGGGCTTGCTCAGTCACGCAGCCTGGAGAACAATGGTGCAATTATAGCTCACTGCAGCCACAAACCCCTGTGCCCAAGAAATCCTCCCACCTCAGCCTCCTGAGTAGCTGGGACTACAGATGTACACCACCACTCCTGGCTATTTTTTATTTTTGTAGAGATGGAGATCTTGCTATGTTGCCTAGGCTGGTGTGGTCTTGAACTCCTGGCCTCAAGTGATTCTCCCACTTTGGCCTTCCAAAGCGCTGGGATTACAGCGTGAGTAACCATGTCCAGCCTCAAGCCAATTAAGTGTCTTAATCAGTTTTCTACACAGTGCAGCAAAAACAAATTATGCTTTGACAGAAATTATTTTCACTGAGAGCATTGTTTTCTATGTTAATGATAAGGCAACAAATTGATTCCCCAATCCGTTTTTTGCACATATAAATTCTTTTAGAGGGCCAGACACAGTGGCTTATGCCTGTATCCTAGCACTATGGGAGGCCGAGGAAGGTGGATCACCTGAGGTTAGGAGTTTGAGGCCAGCCTGGCCAACATGGTGAAACCCTGTCTCTACTAAAAATACAAAAATTAGCTGGGCATGGTGGCGCACGTCTGTAATCCCAGCTACTCAGGAGGCTGATGAGGCAGGATAATTGGTTGAACCCAGTGGGGCGGAGGTTGCAGTGAGCTGAGATCATGCCACCGCACTCCAGCCTGGGCGACAGAACAAGACTCTGTCTCAATCATTCAATCAATCAATAAATATTCTTTTAGAGTTTTTGCCATTGATTTCTCAGGATCAAATAAAAAAATCTAAATTTTATTAATGCAATTCCTCTATTAAGTTTGGTCAATAACCGGAAAGTTTTACTTTGTTGAATATTTCTATCAAGTCTAATTTTTCTAGGGTCAATTTTGGCAACTTTTTTCTTATTTTTTTTTCTTTTTTTGCCCATCATTGGCTAAATTTTGGCAATTTTTAATCTTGTGGTTCTTCAGTAAGTTTTCTCTAATACATTTATCATGTGCAGTATTAGCTATTCTGGTTTTATTTGTATAATGAAAATTAATTTGTTGTGATTTGGATAAACAATTACTTGAATTTGGATCACAACTGAAAATGAGTAATTGTAAATCCCCTCATCAGTTCTCCAGGTCTGTCTTTTGGGGTCAAAACATCTCACCTCATTTCCCTTCCAGCTGTACTGCCTTCACATAACTAATTCCTGCTCACATGTCAGATGCCAACTCAAGCATCACTTGCTCAGGAAAGCCTCTCCTGATCCCTACTAGATCAAGGGTCCCTGTTAATGCTGAGATGTTTTTCTTTCATCACAGTAATTAGAGTTACAATTACATATATCCATGATAATTTATTGTCTCCCTCAGACTTTGTTCTCTGAAAGCAGGGATTTTGTTTTCCTTACCACTGGGTCCCTGGCACATAAAAGGCACTCAAATTTACTGAAAGAATGATGAAAGGAAAATGGTATCTTATCTTGATCCCTACAGCACATATAATGCCTGATCAATACCAGGCATTCATTAAAAGCTGTTTAGATTTCCCTATTTTTATTTCTGGATTGTTATGGTCTGAAAGATAATGATCAATTTTTTTCTCAATAATAATTTTTAAAATTGAATTTTTAATGCTATATATTTTTAAGCCTTTAATAACTATGCTACTCTAATAGTCTCCTATTCCTTTCTTATTAGGGCTGCTATACTGTACATCTTCAGGAGGGTAAACTGTATTCCACAGAGCAGGAGGTTGTTTGATGTGGTATCACTGCATCCTCACCTCTCTCTGTGAAAGGAAACACATTCGGCTATCTCCTAAAGTTGCTTATAATTACAGTTCTAATTCCTAACTGTACATAGTAAGTACACAGAATACTTCAAGAACAGAAATGCTTGGGTCTCACTCTAAAATTACTGAATCAGAAAGTACTGAATTTCCCCACATGACTGAGGAGTTAGGAAACAGTGGGAGCATAGAATGAGTATGGGAGAAGTGGTTAGACAATAATCTTGATAGGCAGCTTAGCAACAGTGTACTAAGGGCCTTGGTTTCAATACTAAAGAATTCGGAATTTAATTCTACATATAGTGGTAACCATTAATGATTTTCACAGTGTAATGAAATAATCGGACTGATGAGAAAGCTTAACTTGGCATCAGTGTGGCAGATAGGCAGGAAGGGTACAGAGCCTGAGTCAGGGGTAGGAAGCTACTACAAGCTAAAGAATGGATGGTGAGGACTTGAACTAGACTGGCTGCAGTGCAAGCAGGGAGGAAGGAAATGAGAAAGGACTCCCAAAACATCAGACAGGACTTTGATCCACAAAATATGTAAGTTGGGGAACGGCTGAACACCGTAACAGTATTTCCAGGCTAAGCAACTGAATGCAGTTCGATGATGTCATTAACCAAATAGGGAATATAGTGGAAGGACAGAATGAAGCAAATAGAGGAAATAAATTCTGTTTCCAGCTATGATTCAACTGAAGTTCTCTGTAGACCATTTAGATGGACCTAGAACAAGTATAACTTGGAAATTAAGATTTGAAGTTCAGAAAAGAAGTTGAGGCTAAAATCTTAGGTTTGGGAGTCAACAGGGTATTTGGTAACAGTTGAGGACATTAGAATGAAGGGAACTGAAAAGGGTATTGTTCATGTAGAATCAAAAGTACCTAGCACAGAATTAAAGATAAATCAGGCTTTCTTGTTAACTTTACTTAACCATACAATCTTAATTTTAATAAGGCCTACATATAGTACCATTAAAAATAAGCAGAAGTTAATGTGAAGAATAGTAATATAAAAATTATCTGCAAACTGTAGGACAACTTTAAATATGACTATATCTCTGAACTTATTTAGAATTCATCAGTTTATTAGTTTGGAAAAACTGTAGTTTCTAGCTTATGAATAGCACATTCATCAAGTTGGCTCTTCATCTATATCACTACTTTCCTAAATGAAACAATAAGATATCTGGTGATTTACTTCCTACAAAGCAAAGTCAATATACATAAACTATTAAGTCAACTCATAAAAAATACAGCATGTATTTAACAAATGCAACTTCTAATATCAAGAGATTATCACTTAAAATGTGTCTATGTATGTGTGTGCTTGTGTGCCAGGCAGTTTTGTGAAATTTCTCAACTTTAATAATCGAAATTCCTTATTGGGTCTGAAATTATTCTAACAGCAAAAAAGAAAAAACAAAACCAAATTTAAGTTCACAAGGCCATGCTACTTCCAGAGAGTGAATGCCCTTGTTTAGAATGGGTCTCTGAAATCTTCATTTTTAAGAGGCATCTAGGTAATTATGATGCAAGGAGTTCATGAACTATACTTTGAGAAACACTACTGTATATCAGATTTACATTTTAACTAAGACTTTTAAAAAAATGTTGAGAAATGTTTATAGACTGCAGAAAACTGTTTTAAATAACAGTGTTATGTGGTTCAAGTAGAAAATACATTTTCTTTATTCAAATCATGTTGACGTTCAGTATATTTTGAAATACACATGAAGTTATACCAAAGCTACATTTTAATCTCATCACATTCCACCCCAAATTCCTTACCATTTACCAAAAATAACTTTTTATAAAGCTTACTATTTTGTCTAATATTATACAGACTATCAATCTATAACTTTTTGTGTTTCTCTCAAAAATTAGAATAGCTTATGAGGATATTATATAAAACTAATTGGTATATTACACACCAAACATAAGTACAGATTCTGTACAATGTAATAGTATACATATATATTACAAGAGACTATATGCCTTGTTGAAAGTAATTTTTTTTTTTTTTTGAGATGGAGTCTTGCTGTGTCACCCAGGCTAGCGTGCCGTGGTGCAATCTTGGCTCACTACAACCTCCACCTCCTGGGTTTAAGCGATCTCCCACCTTGGCCTCCCTAGTAGCTAGGATTATAGGCGCCCGCCACCACACCCAGCTAATTTTTGTATTTTTGTAGAGACAGGGTTTCACCATGTTGGCCAGGCTGGTCTTGAACTCTGACTTCAGGTGATCCGCCTGCCCCAGCCTCCCAAAGTGCTGGAATTACAGGGGTGAGCCACCATGCTCGGCCAAAAGTAATATTTTAAGAAATCTTTCACGGAAAAAAAACTCTGCATTACAAAATGTGGTGGCTTGAGTAACAGTTACTTCTCTTTCATGAATTTCTTTCAGTGGGCATTAACTGTCCATTTAGCTTCATTAACAGTTTTACCACGAGACCAGCCTACAAAGTAAAACATGTCAATAATAAATATAAAACATGTAAGAATCTTTAAAGGACATTCATGACATTGGGCAGTTCCCTATCTATTTGAAAGGGAACTTTCTTATCAGGAGACAGCTTGTTAAGAGAGAGTATAGAGGGGGATATTTACTCAGGCTTTTTGAAGTGACTTAAGAATCAATCTGCTGGATACAGCTAGGGGGCACAGGTAGGTCAAGGACAGGGAAGGACTACCTAATAACTTGATAGATGAGACAGGTAATACTGACCAGAATGAAAAGACATGGCAAAAGAGTTTGTTATAAAAGTGAAATAAACTATTCAGGTAAGTTTCTGATTTTTCCTTGCTTAGAAGGCCTGGCTTTATTCCTTGGTCTTAAATATTTTAATTTCATGAAATATTACAGGTTTTCCTTGAAGTTAAATGGATGTCACTTTTTTAAAAAAAGAAGTAACTTTACTAACACAATAGTTTATGAAGTCCAAAATAAATGATACTTACCTGTTTTGTATGTACTATAAAGCTCATTTTATTTTCCATGCTATGGATCTGAAAACAAGTATCAGTATCTCCCAATTGCCACATAAAACAACCATACTTAAGACTGATGAGTAAAGCCTGCAACATAATTGGAAACAACTATATTGAAATACATATTAAAAACTTCACCTATTTTCTCTTACTATCTACATTTATGTTGTCTGCTCTAAATATAATAGTTCAGAATGCTTTTTCTAAAAATTATTATACTTTAAGTTCTGGGGTACACGTGCAGAATGTGCAGTTTTGTTACATAGACATACACATGCCATGGTGGTTTGCTGCACCCATCAACCCGTCACCTACATTAGATATTTCTCCTAATGCTATCCCTCCCCTAGCCCCCTACCCCCTGAGAGACCCCGGAGTGTGATGTTCCCCTCCCTGCGTCCAAGTATTCCTCATTGTTCAACTCCCACTTATGAGTGAGAACATGCGGTGTTTGGTTTTCTGTTCTTGTGATAGTTTGCTGAGAATGATAGTTTCCAAGAATGTTTTAATGAAGCCTTTTCAAAGCACCCCGCACTAACCTCACACAGCCTGCAGCACAGAATCACATAGATTGGTAGACTCTCAGGAGAGTGCTGTGAGCAATATTTGTCATATAAGATTGACAAACATTTTTAAAGATGTCAATTCTATCCATGGCTTTCAGGATAATGAAAGGTACTACCTTTATTTTCTTTCTGCAGGTTAAAAGCTATCTCTTTATTCAGTATCTTTCTTTTGAATATTTACATAGTACTTTCAGATTGTAGTTTATGCAACTGGGTTAACATGTTTACTTCAACAATCTCATCCCACTGAAAATAAGTACACTGATATATTTATTATAAAAGTAAGCATAATTTAAAAAATTACTAACATACCTTTCATAAATTCATCAGAGCTATTTTTTTAAGGATAGTCAAGTGAAGCAGTGGGAGTGGAGAAGAACTGTAATTGATTGTGATCAAAGAGTTGTAAACACTACTGCACATGGACCAGCCAACAACAGAACTATTTATAAAGCAGTATTAATGATTCCTACACTTTCCTAATATAATACTGTATATAAGCAGACATTCAATATATCCTTGTTAATAACAATTCTCTTCTAGCAGTAACTTCCATTTTCTTGCCCTAAACATGTATTATTTGTGTACATATAAACAAAGAAAGTGTTCATGGCATTTTTAAGATACATATGTTTAGAAGCATTCAGTTTCTATAAATACCAATTCTTATAATATTGACCACAAATACTAAACTAAGAATGTGCCAGAAAGATAATGGGTTAGGGGATTTTTAAAGTGAGGTTCTGTCTGGGAGGCGGAGGTTGCAGTGACCCGAGGTCACGCTACTGCACTCCTGCCTGGGCAACAGTGAGACTCCGTCTAAATAAATAAATAAAATAAATAAAGTGAGGTTCTGTGAATGAAACACAGGTAATTTATGTGAGTATACATTAAGTATAAGGAAAAACTAATAGTATCTTTTAAAAATGGCTATCTACATTTATATTGTAAAATATAACCTTATACATAGGAGGATATACTAAAATAGCTACTTATCAAGGTACAGACTGAACAGAGTCAAGATATCATACTACCTTAAACTGCCTTCTCTTTTAAATCAATCACCTGAAATTTCTTTATTCAAAAGCCACAAAACAGTCCATTAATATGGCTTCAAAACAGTTCAATATACAGAAAAAAATACAACTGTAGTATAGTTACTTCTCAATTATAGAAGTCAAATTTCCAACAAAAGTACTGAGCCTGTAGTTATAGAAGGTAGAAACAACTGACACAAAAAACACAACTGTGTCCCATGGCTTTTCCTATCTCTGACACTAATGTATCCCATGTAGTGTTTTAAATGCAAATGAAGGTATTTTTGCAGATGAAGGTGTTTGCTATGTTTTTGCTAAGCTTGTTGAATGCAATCCTAGTAGACCTTGGTGAATCTAAGACAACTGAGGACAAGCTGGTTGTTCCCACATTTGACGGCTGAAATATGCAACTATCTTAAAGCTTTCAAAGGTGCCATAAATTTATCAGTGGTTTACAGAGAACAAGGTAATGACTAGATGGATAGAAAATACCTTTACTCTTTGGTTCAATCACCTGTTTAGATACCCAAGGATAGCATTTCTATTTATAGTTCAAGAAACTGAACCTCTTATCTAAGGAAAAAGCAGACTGTTAATTAAGAATATTATTGTCATCCTTCTGTCTGTTACTGCTAACTCATTTATTTGAATCCTGGATCAAAGTATTATACATAATATGAAATGTTATATTTAAGTGTTAAATAATATCACTAAACCTTCATTTGAATACTATATAAAACTTTGTATTATTGCCAAAAATTGGAAAGCTAACAAACATAAAATATAGTTTAGAGAAATGGCACAGCATC